>NC_000003.12:141887392-142190422 GCF_000001405.40 Homo sapiens
ATATCAGTAAGTCCAACATCATCCTCAGCTTCTTCCCTGGGTAACCCCCGTTAAGTGTGTAAATGCTTTTTAAAAGGTAATATGTGGCATATCCATAAAGGTCCGGCAGTGTCTTATAAAGGTAAATATATACCCACCCCCTGAGCCAGCAGTTCTACTCTTAGGTGTGTTTATCCAAGAGAAATGAAAACATACGTTCACAAAATGCTCTTGTACAAAAATATTCATAGTAGCCCTATTCATAATAGTTCCAAACTGGGAACAGTTCAGGTTTTTATCAGCTAGGCGATAGATAAACTTGCATGTCTACACAATGGAATACTACTCAATGGTAAAAAGGAATGAACTACAGATGTACAAAATGTGATGAATCTCACAGGTTGACTGCGAACGAAAGCCTTACCAAAGAGAGTACATACTATATGGTTTTATTTATGTGAAATTCTAAAATAAGCAATTCTTACCTATGCTGGAAAAAAAAACCCAGAACGGTGGTTGCCTTTAGGGCAGTGGACAGGGAGAATGACTAGGAAGGGACGTGACGGAACTTTCAGGGTGATGATAAGTGTTCTGTATCTTGAATAGGGCTTTGGATCATAAGTGAATGCATTTGTCAAAACTCATTAAGTGGTATATTGGAGATTTGTGTATTTCACTGAATATGCATTTTTTCTCAATTTTAGTTAATACGCATGCTGAATTGTTCTCTGATGTTTGCAACTTGAATCTTTAAAATGAGATAAATACAGTAAAATGTTAATTGTAGAATCTTGATGGGTTTATGGGTGTTCACTTTTAGGTTTCACTCAACTTTTCTGTGCATGGGTAAACATTCCTAATTGAGTGTTGGAGAATATGAATACATTCGTGTGTTTCTCTCTACCTCCTTCACCAGTCTCAGAGTGTTTCCTACAGATGACTATCAGGTTTCCTGTCAGTCCTTTTTTCAGCACCATTTTTATATATGTATATAAACATGTTTCTGTATATATGTGGAGTATATAGAAATAAGTAGGTTCTTGTCTACCTTTACCTGAGTAATAGGAAACTCATATGTTCTGGAACTTGATTTTTTTTCACTTAATATGTTTTGGCTGTATATATAGGTTTGTGTCATTCCTTTTCATAGCATAATGTATTCGTCTATTTTCACACTGCTATAAAGAACTACCTGAGACTGGGTAATTTATAAAGAAAAGAGGTTTAATTGACTCACATGATATGGCTTGGCTGTGTCCCCACCCAAATCTCATCATGAATTGTAGCTCCCATAATCCCCACATGCCATGGGAGGAACTGAGTGGGTGGTAATTGAATCATGGGGGCAGGTCTTTCTTGTGCTCTTCTTGAGATAGTGAGTAAGTCTCATGAGATCTGGTGGGTTTTATAAATGGGAGTTCCCCTGCGCACGCTGTCTTGCTTGCCGCCATGTAAGATGTGACTTTGCTTCTCATTCACCTTCTGCCATGATTGTGAGGCCTCCCCAGCCATGTGGAACTGAGTCAATTAAACCTCTTTCCTTTATAAATTATCCAGTCTCTGATAAGTCTTTATTAGCAGCATGAGAAGAGACTAATACACTCACAGTTCCACATGGCTGGGGAGGCTTCAGGAAACTTACAATCATGGCAGAAGGCAAAGGGAAAGCAAGGCACTTCTTATTCTTACATGGTGGCAGGAGAGAGAGAGAGCCAAGGGGGAAGTGCCACACACCTTCAAACAACCAGACTCATGAGAACTCATTATCACAAGAACAGCAAGGGAGAAGTCTGCCCCCCATGATTCAGTCACCTCCCACCAGGCCCCTCCCCCAGCATGTGGGGATTACAATTTGAGATGAGATTTGGGTGGAGCACAGTGACAAATCATATCACATAATATTCCATAGTGTGGAGATTATACTATAGAATATATATATTTCTTTCTGATGAATGTTTAAATTGTTTCCAATTTTTATCTTAAAAATTGCTGCAGTGCAACTTTTTATCTAGGATAAACTGAGAAATGGAATTGCCAGTTTATAATATGTATTTATTTTTATGAATATATTGTTCTGAGTGGGCACAATAGCTCATGCCTGTGATCCCAGCACTTTGGGAGGCCGAGGCAGGCGGATCACCTGAGGTCAGGAGTTCAAGACCGCCTGGCCAACATGGTGAAACCCCATCTCTACTAAAAATACAAAATTAGCTGGGCGTGGTGGCAGGTGCCTGTAATCCCAGCTACTTGGGAGGCTGAGGCAAGAGAATCACTTGAACGCAGGAGGCAGAGGTTGCAGTGAGCCAAGACTGCACCACTGCACACCAGCCTGGGCAAAAAGAGCGAGACTCCGTCTCAAAAAAAAAAAAAAAAAAAAAAATATATACACACACACACACACACACACACACACACACACACACACGTATATCTACATATATGTGTGTATATACATATACATATATATATATATACAGTTCTCCAAAAAAGCTGTACCAGTTTATACTCCCACCAGCAGTGGATAAAAGTACCTTTTCTCCTCAAGCACTGGATATTATAACAATATTGTACAATCATACAAAAATATTGTGCAGTTTTTTCCATTTTGATAGGATGCTGGTATCTATCTGGTTGGTTTAATTTGTAATTTCTTCAATATTTTTATATTTGCTCAATTTTAATTTTTAAAAAATGCCTGTAATCTAATTTTTTTTCTTTTTTTTTTTTTTTTTTTTTTGAGACAGAGTGTGGCTCGGTCACCCTGGCTGGAGTGCAGTGGCATGGTCTCGGCTCACTCTGCCTCCTAGGCTCAAGCGATCCTCCTGCCTCGCCTCCTGAGTAGCTGGGACTACCTGTGTATGCCACCACACCTGGCTAATTTTTTGATTTTTGTTTGTTTGTTTTTTTGTGGGGCTTTTTTTTTTTTTTTTTTTTTTTTTTTTTTTTTTTGAGATGGAGTCTTGCTGTGTCACCCAGGATGGACTGCAGTGACATGATTTTGGCTCACTGCAACCTCCACCTCCTGGGTTCAGGTGATTCTCCTGCCTCAGCCTCCCAAGTAGCTGGGATTACAGGTGCCCGCCACTACGCCCGGCTGATTTTTGTATTTTTAGTAGAGATGGGGTTTCACCATGTTGGCCAGGCTGGTCTCGAACTCTTGACCTCAAGTGATCTGCCCGCCTCAGCCTCCCACAGTGCTAGGATTACAGGCGTGAGCCACCACGCCCACCTAATTTTTGTATTTTTAGTAGAGACTGGGTTTTGCCATGTTGCCCAGGCTGGTCTCGAACTCTTGACCTCAAGTGATCTGCCCACCTCTGCCTCCCACAGTGCTGGGATTACAGACGTGAGCCACCACGCCCACCTAATTTTTGTATTTTTAGTAGAGACTGGGTTTTGCCATGTTGCCCAGGCTGGTCTCAAACTCCTGAGCTGAAGCGATCTGCCTGCCTCAGCCTCCCACAGTGCTGGGATCACAGGGGTGAGTCACGGCCCCCAGTCTGTGTTATGTTCTTACTGGTTAAAGGAAATTTTGATACACTTTGAATATTAAGCCTTTGTTATACTTGTAAATATTCTTTATGGACTCATCTTTTTGTTCTCTTGTCTCTTAACTCTTACTTTGGTTTATTTTTTTAATTGTAATGGTTTTAAATGAACATTATCACAGATTTAACAGTCTTCTATGTTCTTTTCTTAATCACTTATCCCTATATGTTGTATAATCCATCATTTCCCCAATGATATGAATTGGCAACTTTGTTAAATGAAAAATTCCATTTTATATGGATTCTTTTTAGGATATTGTTTTGTTGATCTGTATCTTGATTCCTGTGTATCATCACACTATATAGTAGGCTCTGTATTCGTGATTGTAAAGTAAAATACATGTGTAAATTTGTGTCAATACTACCTGTTCAGTTTTAGTATCCAAATAGTGCAAGCCTTATAAAAACCATTAAGGTAACTTACAGAGCATACACAAAGAATAGTTTATGTATAGAAAATAGTCTGTTCTTTCCATTTTGAGAGAACCAACTAAAGCCATTTAGACTTGGTGTCTTTTACTGGGGTAAACCTCTTTTTTGTAAAAATTCATGGTTTGAACATTTTAATTTTCCTAAAAAATTTTATATTTCATCTGTTTTCACATTTACTAATTGAAAACACTTTTGATCAAGTTGATTTATTATTTAAATGTATTGAATGGTTTTGGTGTGGTTTTTCATTACATTTTGTGTCCATTAACTTGTGTTTTCATCTTAAATCTCTCCTACTTTCTTTGTATTTATTTTAGTCTTGAGCTAAAAATCTGGCTTTTTTGTTAGTCGTATATTTTAATGATGTTTTAATGAATGCATCTAGGGCTATGGGTTTTACTTTGAGTTCTGCTCTGATTACATTATTTTGAATTTTTGGATATCTGTGTTTTTTTAATTCAGGGATTGAGATACAACTTTCTAAATTTGTATTGTTAATTTCTAATGTATTTATTTTGAGATGTTAGAGAATGTGGCCTCTTTTTTTTTTTTAATGTTTTTTAGTTTTGAATTGTGTTTTGTTTTTGTAATGTAAGTCATGGTCAGTTTGGGGACAGTGCTCCAAGTTTGTAGAGAGTACATTTCTTGGTGACTACAAAGTTCTACGTATACTAGGTAACTGTTGTGTTTTAAAAATACATATTGCCCTTTTTATTGTCCTTTACTCAATCTGTGGGTTTCTGGAGAGGTATGTTAACATCTCTGGTCATGATTGTGGTGAATTTTATAACTCTGCTTTTGCTTTAATCATTTGAAGCCACTTAGCATCACAGAGGTTCATGGCTATTATGCTGTATCTTCTTTATGTGTTTTTATTTACTTTTATTAAATACACAGTATCTTCACCCTTGCAAATGCTTTTTTACTTGAATTCTAGTTTGCATACAGTAATAATGCCATATCTACATTTCTTTTGTTAGCCAAGACCTATTTTATTTTCCTGTTTATTTCAACCATTGGTGTTTAATTTTAGATTGTCTTCTATAACAGCATTAAGTGGATTTTTTAACTGACTCTGATAATGTCCTTTATTATTACCACTTTTAAATTATTCCTGCCATATTATTGACATTTTAATTACAAATTGTTATTGAATATAGGCTGGGCGCAGTGACACACGCCTGTAATCCCAGCTACTCAGGAGACTGAGGCACAAATATTGCTTGAACTGGGAGGCAGAGGCTGCAGCAAGTGGAGATCGAGCCACTGCATGCAGCCTGGGTGACAGTGAGACTGTCTCAAAAAAAAAAAAAAAAAAAAAAAAACAGTTATCGAATATAGACAAATTTAAAACTTTAGCCTTATGTAAAATACAAACACAGTGACAAAATCATTGGCTGCCTGGGGAAGGGTGTGTAGATTGCAAAGGGGTACAAGGAACGTTTTGGACATGATGGTAATGTTCTATATCTTTAATGGAGCGGTAGCTTCACAGATTATACAACGGTCAAAACTAACTGGAATTGTATACCTGAAATGGAGGAAACTTACTATATGCAACTTATTCCTCAGAATTGATAAGGAAAAGCAATTAAAACATCTTAGATGTTACCAGTAAGTCTTAGCAGATCTCTGCTCACCATTGCCTTATGTAGTTTTCCTCTTGGCCTTAGTTTTTTCTTTTTCTCACCCAGGCTGGAGTGCAGTGGTGCCGTTGGTTCACTGCAGCCTCCACAAGCTTCCACCTCTCAGGTTAAAGCAATTCTCCTGCCTCAGCCTCTCGAGTAGCTGGGATTACAGGCACGCACCACCACACCTGACTAATTTTTTTATTTTTAGTAGAGACGGGGTTTCACCATGTTGGCCAAGCTGGTCTCGAACTCCTGATCTCAAGCTATCCACCCGCCTTGGCCTCCTAAAGTGCTAAGATTACAGACGTGAGCCACCACACCCAGCTCTCTTTATTCTTGATGTTCTAAAATTTTACCTTTTTATTTCTAGGTATAGGATGTTTTCCAGTATTTTTTAACATTTCCAATCTAGACACAAGCTTGTTATTTCTTTGAGAGTTCTTGCCCCACCCTCTTTTCCTGTGGAGTTCCTATTAGATTTGTTTGTATTTCTGGTTCTCTCCCCAATGTCTCAACAATTTTTCATATACTCCTTCTCTGTTAGCCCACTGTCATAGAATACCTGACTTGATCTTTAGCTCACTGAATTTTTCTTCAGCTTGACCAGTTCTCCTGAGGTTAAGTTTTTGTTTGTCTTTAACAGCTTTATTGAGGTATAATTAACATACAATAAACTGCACATATTTGAAGTTTTGGTATACACTCATGTATATGTGTGTGCATATGCTGTATTCATGAAACTGTCACTGTAATCAAGATAATGAACATTTATCACCCCAAACATTCCCTCTTGGCACTTTGTAACCCATCTCTGTTCTTACCTTCCCAGGCTCCAAGCAAAAATCTGCTTTTTGACAGTCTGTATTAAATACAGCCATGCCTTCTGAGAAATGTGCTTAGCTGTGTTCATTGATTTCATTGTTGTGCAGACATTATAAAGTGGACTTACACAAATCTAGATGGCATAGCCCTCTAGACATATAGGCCATATGGTATAGACTGTTGCTCCTAGCTGCAAACTTGTACAACATGTTACTGGATGAATACTGTTAGCAATTGTAACACAATGGTAAGTATTTGTCTGTAAACATATCTCAACATAGAAAAGGTACAGTAAAAATACCATGTAAACATAAAAAATGGTATACCTGTATAGGGCACTGACCTTGAATGGAGCTTGCAGGACTACAGTTGCAGTGAGTGAGTGGTGAGTGAATGTGAAGGCCTAGAACATTACTGTACCCTACTGTAGACTTTATAAACACTGTACACTTAGGCTACACTAAATTTATTAAAATTTTTTTTACTTCAGTAATAACCTTAGCTTACTGTAACTTTTTACAATTTTTTTTTTTAATTGAGATGGGGTCTTGCTATGTTGCCCAGGCTGGTCTCGAACTCCTGGCTTCAAGCAATCTTCCCATCTCAGCCTCCCAAAGCTATGGGATTGCAGGTGTGAGCCTTCATACCCAGCGACTTTATATACTTTTAATAACACTTAGCTTTTAAAGCACAAACACATTGTACAGCTGCATAAAAATATTTTCTTTATATCCTTATTCTATAACATTTTTTCTATTTAAAAGTTTTAACTTTTTAAACTTTTTTGTTAAAAACTAAGACACAAACATGCACATTAGCCTAGACCTACACAGAGTCAGAATCATCAGTATCACCGTCTTCCACCTTCATCTCTTGCCCCACTGGAAGGTCTTCAGGGGCAGCAACACGCATGGGGCTGTCCTCTGTGATGACAATGCCTTCTTCTGGATACCTCCTGAAGGATTGCCTGAGGCTTTTTACAGTTAACTTTGTAAGTAGAAGGAGTACACTATAAAATAACAACAAAAAGTATAGCATAGTAAATATATAAACCCATAGCAGTTTATTATCATTATTAAGTATTATGCATTGTACACAGTTGTTGCATACTAGACTTTTATGTGACTGGTAGGTTTGTTTATACCAGCATTGCTACAGACACGTGAGTAATGCATTGTGTTGCGACATCACTAGGCCATAGGAATTTTTCAGCTTTATTATGATCTTAATGGGACTATTGTTGTGTATGCAGTCTGTCACTGACTGAAATGTTACGTGGTGTATGTCTGTATGTGGAATCATGCTTTATGTTTTTTTTGGGGGGAGGGTCTCATAGGAGATGACAGCTCCTGTGCATGTTATTGTCTCTTTTTTCTTTCTTTTCTTTTTTTTTTTTTTTTTTAAGATGGACTCTTACCCTGTTGCCCGGGCTGGAGTGCAGTGGCGTGATCTCAGCTCGCTGCAACCTCTGCCTCCCGTGTTCAAGCAATTCTCCTGCCTCAGCCTCCCGAGTAGCTAGGATTACAGGTGCCCGCTACCATGCCTGGCTAATTTTTTGTATTTTTAGTAGAGACTGGGTTTCACCACGTTGGCCAGGCTGGTCTCTAACTCCTGACCTCAGGTGATGCACCTGCCTCAGCCTCTCAAAGTACTGGGATTACAAGCGTGAGCCACTGCGTCCCGCCTCTTTTTTCTTTAGCATAATTATTTTGAGATCCATCTGTGTTTCCATGTGTATCCACAGTTCTTATTGCTGAATAGTATTGCATTGTATGGATATAGCCAAATTTATTAATTCAACTGTTGGTGGATATTTGGGTTGTTTGCAGTTTTCAGTGATTATAAATAAAGTGTCTGAACATTCACATTTCCCTACTGTGTGAACATGGGCTTTTATTTTTCTTGGGTAAATATCTAGAAGTAGATTGGCTGGATCTTTTGGTAGGTGTGCATGTTGCTAACTTTTCAAAAAATTGTCAAACTTTTCTTTTTCTTTTTAAAAACAACAACAGCAACAAAAAACATTCCCACCAGCAGGATGTGAGAGTTTCAGTTGCTCCACTTCTGGGTCATTACATGGTACGGTCAGTCTTTAAAATTTCTAGCATTCTGGTGGGTATGTAGTGGAGCTCATTATAGTTTTGATTTCTCTTCCCTGGTGACTAATGATTTGGAACACACTTTTTATGGGCTTATTTTTGCAATCCTTACATCTTGGTGAAGTTTCGGTTCAGATCTTTTGCCTGCTTCAAAAAATGTGTCTTGGACTGGGTGCGGTGGCTCACACTTCTAACCCCAGCACTTTGGGAGGCCAGGGTGGGAGGATCACTTGAGTCCAGGAGTTTGAGAGCAGCCTGGACAACAGAGCAAAATCCCCTTCTCGGCTGGGGATGATGGTTCACGCCTGTAATTCTAGTACTTTGGGAGGCCGAGGCAGGAGGATCACTTGAAGTCAGGAATTCAAGAACAGCCTGGCCAATATGGTGAAACCCCATCTCTAGTAAAATTACAAAAAAAAAAAATTTTCTTAAGAAGACCCCCTTCTGTACAAAAAAAATTTTTTTTAATTAGCTGGGCACGGTGGTATGTGCCTGTAGTCCTAGCTACTGGGGAGGCTGGGGCAGGAGGATTGCTTGAGCCCAGGAGTTTGAGGCTGCAGGGAGCTATGATTGATTGTGCCACTGCACTCCAGCTTGGGCAGCAGAACGAGACCCTGTCTCTAAAATAAAATAAGTAATATGTTTTGTTGTAAAAGTTCTTCATATATTCTAGATAGGAGTGAGTCATTTATTTTATGTTTTGCAAATATTTTTTCCCAGTCTTTGGTTTGCTTTTTCATTTTCATAACTGTCTGGGTTCTTCTTCAGTTTTGATTCTTCTTCAGTTAAGCTTTTCTACTAAGTTTTTTATTTCAATAATCAGAATATGATATCTAATTTTTAAAAATTATCCTTCACCTTCTACTGTTTTAATTATGCTTATTTTTCTTTGTTCTATTTGCTGATACAGCCCAGTGTTTTCAGGCATTGCTGTCTTTGTTGAGTTTGGTACTTTTCTTTATGGATTAGTTTTATTTTGAATGTGTGATAATTATTGGTTTTGTGCTCCTCTTCTGTGTGTTTAGACTTTCCTATTACAACATTCAGGGATGGAGGTAGCCTGTATAGCCAAGAGCAGCCTGGGTGTGGAGGCTGTCTGCTCCTGTAACCTTTCACCAACCCATTCAGAACATGGCCCACTTTTCCAGCCCAAGCTCCCTGTTCCCACTTCAAGCAGATGCTGCTGCTACTGTTGCTAGTTGCTTGGCACCAGGGGCTCATGCATACTGAGAGAAGCAAAGCTGTGCTCACCTGACTGCTCCTGCTGTGGTACTCCATCTCATCACCTAGTCTTTGACCCAGAGCTCCCTCCTCCTCTCCATCTTTGGTGAGCCAACTACCTTATTTCTGGGTGGCCTTCTCTGATGTCCCTTTTCTTCCTCTTCCTGCTAGAGAGGATTCTTTTTGTTTTTTTTCCTAGCATCCAGTATCTATAATTCATTGTTTACATATTTGTCATTTGTAATAACTGAACTCTTGTAGAGAAGCAGCAGATATTATTCACATGTGAATTTCTATCACCCTGAGTAACACAGAATACTTGAATGAGACATTTTTATTTAGAGAATGGGAGTTTTAATAGAAAAGACAATAGAGCTTGAGACTCCCTGGGAGAGCAGGCCAGACATGGAGAGATACTGGTCTATTTCTTTTACTGGTAGGTTAATCTTAGGCAGGTTATTTAATCTTGTTTAATCTTTTATATTACAATAATTTTAATTATATAAAATGTGAGAGTGTGTGTATACATACATATATGTGCATACATTTTATTAAAACAGTACATGTTCATCGGGTTTTTGTTTTTGTTTTTTGTTTTATTTTGAGACAGAGTCTCACTCTGACACCCAGGCTGGAGTGCAATGGCACAATCTTGGCTCACTGCAACCTCTGCCTCCTAGGCTGAAGCGATTCTCCCACCTCAGCCTCCTAAGTAGCTAGGATTACAGGTACATGCTACCATGCCCAGCTAATTTTTGTAATTTTAGTAGAGACTGGTTTTCACCATGTTGGCCAGGCTGGTCTCGAACTCCTGACCTCAGGTGATCTGCCTGCCTCGGCCTCTCAAAGTGCTGGGATTATAGGCATGAGCCACTGTGCCTGGCCAACAAATAGTTTTTTAAACAGTAGTGGGACAACTGGATCTTTCCATGCAGAACAATGTAGGTGGACCCCTACCTCAAACCATATACAAAAATTAACTCAAAATGGATCAAAGACCCAAACTTAAGAGCTAATTTATAAAATTCTTAGAAGTAAACATAGATGCAAGTCTTTATGACCTTGGATTAGTCAGTGTTATTTTAGATATGCCACCAAAAGCACAAGCAACCAAAGAAAAAATAGATAAGTGGTTCTTCATCAAAATTAATAACTTTTTTGCTTAAATAACATTATTAGGAAAGTAAAAGGATAACTTGTGGAATGGGAGAAAATAATTGCACATTATATATTTGGTAAGGGGCTTGTATCTATATATAAATAACTTCTAGAACTTAATAAAAAAGGCAGATAACCAAATCTAAAAATGAGAAAATGATCTGAATAGACAGTTCTCTGTAGAAAATATACAGATAACCAATGAGTTTATGAAAAAATGCCCAGCATCATTAGCCATTAGGGAAAATGCAAATTAAACCCACAAAGAGATACTACATTGTATCCACTAGGATAGCTGTATGAAAACACAGTAAAAGAAGTGTTAATGAGGTTGAGGAGGAATTGGATCCCTGCTGTAGGAGTGTAAAATGGTGAAACTGCTTTGGAAGACAGTCTACCAGTTACTCAAAAGGCTAGAGTTACCATATGACCTAGCAGTTTGACTCCCAGGTATATACCCAAGAGAAATGAAACCATTTATTTATACAAAAACTTGTGCATGAATGTTTATAACATTATTCATAATGGCCAAAAGATATAAACAACTCACATGCACATCATCTGATTAATGAATCAATAAAATATTGTATATCCATATACAGTGGGATATTATTCAGCCATAAAAAGGAATGGAGTACTGATATATGCTGTAGCATAAATGAACCTTGAAAACACCTTACATGGAAGAAGCCAGTGACAAAAGCCATGTATTACATGATTCCATTTCTAGGAAATGTCTAGAAAATAGATCTATAGAGACAAAGTAGACTAGTGATTGCCAGGAACTGGGTGCAGGGAGGGAGAGGAATGGGAATGGGTATGGAGTTTTGGGAGGAGGTGTTGAAAATATTTTAAAATTTATTGTGGTGATGCTTATACAACTCTGAATATAAAATGTAAACTTCACACTTTACATATGTGAATGGTATGCGAATAATATTGTTAAAAATCAGTATTGTTTTTAAAAATTCAAATATACAAAAGATTATAAACTTGCACCTGTTCATATAATGGATTTTTTAGAAATTATACATGTCTCTGCTTTAAAATGTTTTAAACTATAAACAGAATGCTAGTTTATTTACCAAATGGAAATGGTTGCTAGTCATCAGTATTTTCTGAGAGGCCCAATCTTTCTAGCATCTAGGTCCCTGAAGATAGCTAGAAAGTGTGCAGAGGTTGAGAGTAAGATCACAGGGTCTAGTCATGTGTTGAGGGGGCATATTTCCAGGCCCTCATGAAGCCCAGTGACTTTTCCCTGTGTCCAGATTATGTGTGCTGGTGTTGCATAATAAAGAATTTGTTGGCTGGATGCAGTGGCTCACGCCTGTAATCCCAGCACTTTGGAAGGCTGAGGCAGGCAGATCACCTGAGGTCAGGAGTTCGAGACCAGCCTGATGAACATGGAGAAACCCCGTCTCTACTAAAAATACAAAATTAGCCAGGTGTGGTGACACATGCCTGTAATCCCAGCTACTCAGGAGGCTGAGGCAGGAGAATCACTTGAACCCAGGAGGCAGAGGTTGTGGTGAGCTGAGATCACACCATTGCACTCCAGCCTAGGCAACAAGAGAGAAACTCCATCTCCAAAAAAAAGTGTCAGTTGAGTGTGGTGGCACACAACTGTAGTCCCAACTTCTCAGGAAGCTGAGACAGGAGAATCACTTGAGCCGAGGATTTTGAGGATGCAGTGAGCTTTGATTGCACCGCTGTACTCCAGCCTGGGTGACAGAGAAAGACCCTGTCTCAAAAAAAAAATTTTTTTTTTGTTTGATGTTTTTTCCAGGTTCCTGGCACAGAGCTTCTAAAGACCCTGGAATTTGAGTAGTAGGAGTGTCTTTATTATGCTAATGAAGTGACTGGCAGTGGGTCCCTAGATAGCTTCAAGATGGAGCATGGTCCCCCAGAAAGACCAAACCAAGTCCCTACATGGTTGGGACTTTGAGCTAGCCAGACCTCCAAGGAGGGCAGGAAAGAGGGCTGGAGACTGAGCTATATTGTGTGGCCTGTGGTTTAGTCAATCATACCTACATAATGAAACCCCAGTAAAAACTCTGGACACTGAAGTTCAGTGGAGCTGCCAGGTTAGGAAACACATGTGCTGGGAGGGAGATAGCCCTGATTCCTCAAGGAGAGGACACAGAAACTGCCTTGCCTCCCAGACCCCATTCTACATGTATCCTTTATAATAAAACTGAAATCCTAATTTGAGCACTTACTTTCCTGAGCTCTGTGAGTCATTCTAGTGAACAAACTTGAGGGTGCAGTGGAAACCTCCTGTATTAGTTACTAGTTGGTCAGAAGTGTGGGTAGTGGGAGGACCTCTGCAGCAGCATTTCTATGGAGGACTGAGCCCGTAGCATGGGGTAGTTGGTGCCAGAATTGAATTGTACGCCCAGTGTGGTTGAGGCAGAAGAGCTGGACAGGGCCCGTTTCTCCTTCCCCTGGATGACATGGTGGTTCCTAAGTCTTGCCAGGTTTCTTGCCTGTCTGGTTGTTTTCTTGTTTTTGTTTTTTTGAGAAGGGGTCTCTCTCTGTCACCCAGGTCGGAGTGCAGTGGCACAGTCTCGGCTCACTGCAGCCTCTGCCTCCTGGGTTCAAGCAATTCTCCCATCTCAGCCTCTCAAGTAGCTGGAATTACAGGAGTGCACCACCACGCCTGGCTATTTTTTGCATTTTTAGTAGAGACAGGGTTTCATCATATTGGCCAGGCTAGTCTCGAACTCCTGACCTCAGGTGATCTGCCCGCCTTGGCCTCCCAAAGTGCTGGGATTACAGGCGTGAGCCACTGCACCTGGCCCATGTTAGTTTCTTTAGTTGGGTAATAAGGAAATTTCTTGAAAGATTTTAAACTAGCTAGGGAACGTTAGTAATATGATAGGTACTATTTAGGCTGTATTTGCTGTTTTCTGCTTACATCAAGTAGCACTGAGGCGGGCATGGCACATTGAATAGGTTCCATGAACACTATCCATGACTAAGTCAGGACGCCGCCATTTAGAGCCCCATCAGCAAACTACATCTGAGTAACTAATTTAACTGCCATTTTACACCTGGGTAAGAGCAGCAATTTACAACTTCTGTTTTTATTTTCTGTTGTTTTTTCTTTTAGGGGGAAGAGGTGGTTGATAAAGTATATTTATATGTGAGACTGACTAGTTTAAGTTTTTAAAAATTAGATTTGGTTCTTGGCAGAAGGATCTTGTTCAAGTAAGGAAAACTCACTTCACTGCTGGAAATAACTTATTTACTTGTTTCTAATGGCCACTAGTATATGGCATCAGATTTGGGACATAGCTGTTGATTTGTGTATATATTGTATGAATGTAATTCTTTATACTCATTATTTTCATTGTGTAATAGTTCCTTAGAAAGCAGATTTGGATATAGTTTGTTCATATCTGCTATATATTTATTTGCTTTATAACTATTTTGTAAATTTAATTTACATTATTTTCCTAGAAATTTAAAATCAAAATGTTCAAAACAGTATTGTAACAAGAATATTTTAAGATGACTTAAAAACACTGCTAAATAATTAAACTCTTAGCAATTTTGTTTCAGACATCTCCACTTTAATGTCAACTGCATGGGTCAACAAACTACTGTGGCCCCAGTCTGCCTATTTTTATAAGCAAAACCTTATTGGAATACAGCCACACTCATTACATTTAAGTTTCTGTCAGCCCTGGTGTAGAGGATTTTATCCCTTCGTTCCTGCAGACACCTAGATCTCAAAGAATTTCTCTTCTGTATCTTATTAAACTGGCCTGTGGGCTTTCTGTGTGTTTCATTTCCCTCTATAGCAAACTGTTTACTTCTTTGAGATTGGTCTTTTCTTTTTCTGCAACAGGATCGCAGTATGTGGTAGGGAAGTGATGCTGTCTGAAGGTGACATCCTGTTCTCCTCTCTTCTGTCCTCTCCATCCTTATTTTGGCCACCTGGTAATTGGGGGGGAGGGGTAGAATGCTAGTCTAAATTATAAAATGAAATTGCTTTAACTATTTCCCCTTTACTTGAAAAAGGGGGTTGGGGGTGATTCCTGCCTTGCAGTTGAGAAATAAAAGTTATCTAGCTTTCAGCACAATCTGTTTTGGGGTCATGGGATCTTTTGAGAATCAGAAGAAAGTTGTGGAGCCACTCCCTGGGGGGAAAATATATTCAGAAATATATTATTACAGAAATGAATCTTTGATCAGTTTTTAAACCTTGAAATACAAGTGACTTTACCAATGTATTCTAATATACTTGTTGGCAGCCACTTCTGATGTTAGAACTTTGAATATAGACATTTGAGAAAAATAATTGATTTTAAGTGTTCCCAAAGTAAATCACTGGTTCAGGATAGATCTATCTTAGTGTTCCCAAATTGTGAAAGGAAAGAGATTAAGCCCTTAATGTTGAAACGTGTGTCTCCCAAATCTTGCTTTGTGCTTAGCAGTAGAGCTATGAAATTCCATTGATCAGAGGGCTTGTTTCTGACCTTGTCCTTTTTTCACTTTTGCACGAGCCCTGCCATTTGACCAGTGTGTCCTAAACTTTATTCATTGAGTGCTGTCTTCATAAGTTGGCCTTATCTGCACATTTCCTGATATTCTTTCAATGAACTCAGTTTTTAAAATATATATTTTTTTAATTTTTTAAATATGGAACGACTCACAAATTTGCATGTCATCCTTGCACAAGGGCCATGCTAATCTTCTCTGTATCGTTCCACTGTTAGTATATGTGCTGCCAAAGTGAGCACCTAATTTTTTTGTAAAGACAAAGTGTTTCCTGGGCTAGTCCCAACTCCTGGGCTCAGGCGATCCTCCCATCTCAGCCTCTCAAAGTGCTGGCATTACAGGTGGGAGCCATTAACTCACTTTTTAAAACTTAAATTTAAGCAAATAATTACTGTCTGTGAAATATGCGTTTCATGTACTAATTCTTTTATATTCGCCACTTAAAGGATCATGTAAATATTGGGGGTTTTGTTTACCTAAAACCATCTTGTATCTTTTTAGAGGGCATCAAGTTCATTTTGGGAAACATTCCCCTATGTACTGGAATTTTAAAGCTTTGATTTTGAACCAGAGTATGAATGGTGGAAGCTGCTTTAACTTGGAAATACCAGGGAAAAGGAGGGGTCATGGGATGGGTGGGTGCTGTCTGCTGAAATACCCCTTGCTTGGGCAAATTTATGTGTCCTGAATATGAGGATATTTGGCTATGTGCATGGCAAAGCTTGGGATCGTACCCTTGCAAGAACAGTTGGTTTGTTTTTTAACCTGGCCAAACATGCATACACACACACACGCACGTGCACATTTCATAAGTTTTATTTTCTTTTACAGGTTTGATCTTGCTCTTCTACCTAGTTTTTTATGGGTTCCTGGCTGCACTCTTCTCATTCACGATGTGGGTTATGCTTCAGACTCTCAACGATGAGGTTCCAAAATACCGTGACCAGATTCCTAGCCCAGGTAATTATCTTGCAGTTATGACTTTGTTTTTTGTTTTTTGTTTTTTTTTTGAGACAGAGTTTCACTCTTGTTGCCCAGGCTGGAATGCAGTGGCATGATCTTGGGTCACTGCAACCTCTGCCTCCCAGGTTCAAGCGATTCTCCTGCCTCCTCAGCCTGCTAAGTAGCTGGGATTACAGGCATGCGCCACCACGCCCGGCTAATTTTGTATTTTTAGTAGAGACAGGGTTTTTCCATGTTGGTCAGGCTGGTCTCGAACTCCCGACCTCAGGTGATCTGCCCCGCCTTGGCCTCCCAAAGTGCTGGGATTACAGGCGTGAGCCACTGTGCCTGGCAGTGGTTACGGCTTTTAACAAAATTGAGTTATAGTTTATCTTCACCATAAATCTGTTTTATATAGCAGATAGAAGATAGCTAAACCTTGGAGCTGAGTAATGTGAAGGTTTTAATTTTTGTTGTTGTTGTTTAATATTTACATACTGATTTAAAGACCTTCACATTTATATACTGATAAATCTTGAGAGTTTGAGTGGGTTTGTTTTGTTTGTTTCGGTTTCTTTTTTTTTTTGTCAGAAGTAAGCAAATGAATATTGAGAATTCTAGTAAAAGCCACGTTTGAAGAATATAGTTATAGTTATGAGTGACTTATGAGTATCGTAGAGCAGTTTTACTTTGCCTTGAGTAATTAAGGTATATATTTTGGCACTAGCTTCAGTTAGAGCTTTGGACTTATAAAATACATACTTTGTCGTTCTAAATGGTTAGTTATGAAATTGGTAAGTTGTTAAATAATGATACCTCATAGAGAACAAAATGAATATACTCTTCATATGTTTAATTCTTCTTGATTTTCTTCTGGAAAAAAAATTCATTATACAGGAGAATGTATGCAGTAAAAAACTGAAACATCTAAACCACATTTTCTACCTCCTGATTTTATTCTTTTTAAACAGTCTTTTTTTTTTTTTTTTTTTTTTTGAGACAGGGCTTTGCTCCTGTTGCCTAGGCTGGAGTGCAATGGTGTGATCTCGGCTCACTGCAACCTCTGCCTCCCGGGTTCAAGCGATTCTCCTGCCTCAGCCTCCCAAGGAGCTGGGATTACAAGCATGTGTCACCACGCCCAGCTAATTTTTTGTATTTTTAGTAGAGACGGGGTTTCACCACGTTGGCCAGGCTGGTCTCGAACTCCTGACCTCAGGCGATCCACCCGCCTCGGCCTCCCAAAGTGCTGGGATTACAGGGGTGAGCCACCACACCTGGCCTAAACAGTCTTTGAATGCCAGCTCTCCCTTGGTGACTGGACATGACCCTTGTCCTCAGATGCTGATAATTAGAAAAGTAAGAAACAGTAATGTGCAGAACTTCAGTGTGTATAATTCCAAAGACTGTAAACTAACTGCTATAGATGACAGAGAAGGGAAGGTTCTACCTAAAGAAGAAAGTTCAGTCCTAGAGGAGTGGGATTTAGAGGGCAGGAGAGTGGGGAATCGGGCCAGGAAGGTGGGAGTCTAGCAGGTTTCTCTCTAGAGCAGTGGTTTTCAACCACTGAGTCATATGGCAGCGTCTGGAAATATTTTTGGTTGTTACAGCTAGAGAGGTGGTACTGTGAATAGAGGCCAGGGATGTTGCTAAACATCCTACAGTGCATAGGGCAACCCCCACAACAAAGAATTATTCAGCCCAAAATGCCAATAATGCTGAGATGGAAGTGCCCTTATCTAGATCCTTGCTCACTGTATAGACTTCTGAGCTATATCACCAGCCAAACTGAACTAATTGTCTCAACCATTTTTTTTCCTAGAACAATTTTTTTCTAATGATTTCTTTTGTTTACAGCTAATCTTAGTCTAAATGTCTTGAATAACTCTTTTAAAACTCTTAGTGTATTGGAGCAAGTGTCAGAGATTAGTTCCATGCTACTTTTCCTTCATCTCTCATTGTAGCACTGTTTTTTTCTACCTCAGACTAATTCTAAGATTATTCTTTACTTGCTATTTAAGTGATGTGACTTACCATTGAACATAGTCTGATCTATTCAAAAACACTGAACTCTGTTTATAATTGCATGAAATATATAAGCATATGTGTTAAATATTTTTAAGTACACAGTTTTTAAACTGAGTTTCTTAAAATTATTTGTCGATTATTTTAGTACTTAAAGTATCATTAGTTTAAATAAATATACATGCATACACATGTACATATAATACATATATATTACATATGGGACATATTAAACATTTCCTTATTTAATATATCACATGTACATGTAATACATATATAATATGTATTTATGTGTTGTATATTATATACATATAATATGTATTATATGTACATGTGTGATATATTAAATATGGGAATGTTTGAAGGCTAGAGAAAATTTTAGGATTGTTTTAAAGCCTATGTGCAAGGTTGAATTAATCTAGATCTAATGCTTTTTTTTTTTTTTGAGACGAAGTCTCGCTCTGTCGCCCAGGCTGGAGTGCAATGGCACGATCTCGGCTCACTGCAACCTCTGTCTCCCAGGTTCAAGCAGTTCTCCTGCCTCAGTCTCCCAAGTAACTGGGACTACAGGCATGCACCACCACACCCACCTAATTTTTGTATTTTTAGAAGAAATGGGGTTTCACTATATTGGCCAGGCTGGTCTCGACCTCCTGACCTCAAGTGATCCGCCAGCCTCGGCCTCCCAAAGTGCCAGGATTACAGGTGTGAACCACTGCACGCAGCTGATCTAATGCTTTTTAAACAAGGAAAACTTACATTAAAGTTGGAAGCCTGATTGCTTGCCTTATCTTCATTAGTAAGCTTAAGCAACATGGTCTGTATTACATGGGTGTCAACTTCTGATAGGAAATTGTTGGTGGTTATACTCCAAATTCAGTATGTGAAAACCACATTTTAATTACAGAGCAATATCTGCTATTGAAGGAAGAATATTTGCCATAAAGTTTAAAATGCATAGACCTTTTTCATTGAAAAGGAGTTAGCTGTCTTATGAATGTTTCCATACAATTTAAATGACAAAAGTACGTAGGCTTTGATTTGCTCAAATTTTTTTCCTTGTATTAATGGCACATTGACAAAACCTAAAAATGTTATTTGATTTTTTAAAAATGCATATAGAAAGTTCAAAGTAAAATTGCATCTTTTAAAAAGGAAGATTATAATTAACTGTAGATAACCAAATTTAGGGACAGTTTCTAATCGGTAATGTCTGAGATGGTTTTGAAGGTTTGAGTTATTTTTAATTTTAGATGTCTATGCCTTCATAATTAGAATTGGGAAGTTCTTGATAGTTTCAGCATACTGTCAACACAATTTTCCATGTAATTTGCTGAGATCTGCTTTTTAGAGATAAGAGGAAGGAAAAGAAGAGAAGGAAATTTGATAATCTCTCCCTTTTATGTCTTTATAGGACTCATGGTTTTTCCAAAACCAGTGACCGCATTGGAATATACATTCAGTAGGTCTGATCCAACTTCGTATGCAGGGTACATTGAAGACCTTAAGAAGTTTCTAAAACGTGAGTATGTTTTCTTAGAGTAAGGTCAGAGATTTTAGTTATAGAAATTAGTACCAAATTGTGGGCCGGGCACGGTAGCTCACGCCTGTAATCCCAGCACTTTGGGAGGCCGAAGCGGGCAGATCACCTGAGGTTAGGAGCCAGGTCTTGGACCTGGCCAACATGGTGAAACCCCTGGCCAACATGGTGAAACCCCATCTCTACCAAAAATATAAAATTAGCTGGGCGTGGTAGCACGCGCCTGTAATTCCAGCTACTCGGGAGGCTGAGGCAGAATAATCGCTTGAGCCTGGGAGGCAAAGGTTGCAGTGAGCCAAGTTTGCGCCATTGCACTCCAGCCTTGGCAACAAGAGCGAAACTCCGTCTCAAAAAAAAAAAAAGAGTCCCAAGTTGTGATTACATTTAGACACATCATTCTTAGAATGTGTATTACCTTCTATTTCCTTCTGTTAAGCAGACAACTGAGCAAGTGCATTTTATAATTACTTGTGAGACTGTTCTAACTATAGAAAGACACAGGGGCTTACTCATGGGTAGTAGATTTGATTTTTCTGTCTTATAATAAGGACACTAAATTTCTTGAAATGTAACATTTATTCTGCATTAAAACTAAATATTTTAATTAATAGAGCAAATCTATATTTTATGAAATAGTGTCTCTGAGGACTTGGATTTTTTTTTGCCATTTTATTTTATTTCTTTTTTTTTGTAGCTGATATACATTTATGTTGAATTTGAAATAGGTCAGTATAGTTATTGAGAAGGAAGAATCTTTTTTTTTGTGCCAGGCATTCTTTTTTTTTTTTTTTTTTTTTATTATACTTTAAGTTCTAGGGTACGTGTGCACAACGTGCAGGTTTCCAATGTAGTGCTTGCTTGGGGGATGGGAAATTATGTTTATTATTTTAAAGTTATGTCTGTGTCTGATTTTTAATACATCCGTTTTTCAAAGTTACCAGTTTGTAACGCTCTTTGATAGCCATCCTAGCCCAGTTTTTCCTCCTGTTTTGCTTGGCCGAGCCATTTATGTGAATGGTGTTAACAGTCACATGAGTAATCATCGAATGTCCTGGCCTGCTGGTTCATGATCAGCTCATCTCTTCCTCAGCCACAGACACCTGCAACTGCTCCCTAGAACATTACTTTATCTCATCTCCCACCCCGTCTTCCCTTTTATGTAGCTTAATTCCATGGTTGTTATTTCATTTTTACTTTTACTGGTGCTCTAAAATCCCAGACCTCTCAGTCTTCATGTCACACCCTGTGGGAGTACCCCACTCCTGGATAAAGCCATATAATTACTGGATGTAGCTCATCCTTCTGTGCCCCTGCCCCTGAGCAGATACTGAGCAGGACTAATTAGCACTGTGAGTACTTGAGCACCTCCCTCAAATGGACTTGCTTAACTGCCTGGTAATCCTATGGAATTTCTCTGGATAATTCTCTGAAAGGATTATTTCCAACTTTCACTCAAGCCTCTAACCCCTTACCTTTTTCCTTACAACTCACTCTCTTCATATAACCTGATTTCTTGCTTCAAGAGATAATAGAAGAACTCAGATGGGAGCTCCTCCAGTTTCCCCATTACCAGTAAAACAAATCTACAATGGCAGCCATTTTGTCTGTCACATTCTTCCTGCTCTGACTGGGGGCTGCCCTTCCTTTCACCTGAGGCCACCTGTGTCACTCCTGCTTTGGATCTCATCCTCTCTCAGTGTCTCAGAAACATACTGTGTACTCTCTCTTCTTGTGTGTATTTAGCCTTTCTGTCTGTATTGGATCCTTCCTGTCAACTTGAAAAAATCTTCAACTCTCTCCTATCTTAAACCAAAAGCTGCTTCTGATCCCACATTATCTACTAGCTGTCTTCCTAAGTCTCTTTTCCTTGACAGTTAAATATGTACTCATTATTTAAAAAAGACTTTTGTGAAAGTATTATCCGTGGTTTAATAGCTTTAAAAGGTCTGCAATGAAGTGTTCCCTGCCCTCCTCCCTTCCAGCAGAAGTCCTATTAATTTATTGACATATTTTTTGAGGGCCTGCTTTGTGGCAGGCACTCATTTGGGTTCCAGCAATGAACAGAAGAAAAATTCCTGTCTTTCTGGAGCTTAGACTCATGGTGAATTAGAAGATAGTACATCCTGAGGGGGAAAATAAAACAGAAAAAGGAGATAGGGTAAGTTGGGAAGGATTGTGGTTTTTACATGCAGAGTGGTCTGGGAAAGCCTTATGGAAAGGGAACCTTGAGGGAAGAGCTGAAGGAGGTGAAAGAACTAGCCCTGGAAATGTCCAGCACAGGAAGCAGTAGGTGCAAAGGCCCTGAGGCTTATGGTGCTGATGTGTTGAAGATTCATCAAGGAAGTGAGAGGGGCTGAATGGAGTGAGCCAGGGGAGAGCAGTAGGAGACTGAGGTTAGGGAGTTAAAGGAGATCCAGACTGTAGGTCCTTAGAACCCATTGTTAAGTTCTTTGGCTTTTACAGTGACCATGATGAGGGATTTTAAGCAGTGAACAATAACATGATCTAATTCAAATTTTTAAAGGATCCTGCAGGCTTCTCTTTGAAACTAGACTAGAAGGGGGGAATTGGGGAAGCCAGTTAGGCTATTACAATAATCTAGGTAAGTGGAGATGGTGGCTTGGCAAGGGAGAGAGCAATGAAGGTTGTGAAAAATAGTCTGATTCTGGACACATTTCTTTTTTCTTTCTTTCCTTTGTCTATTTGTCTGAGATGGGGTCTCTCTCTGTCACCCAGTGGCACAATCACAGCTCACTGCAGCCTCAGTCTCCTGGGCTCAAGTGATCCTCCTGCCTCAGCCTCTTGAGTAGTTAGGAATACAGGCTCACATCATCACGCCTGGCTAATTTTTTAATTTTTTGTAGAGCTGGGGTCTTGCTATGTTGCCCAGGCTGGTCTTGAACTCTTGGCCTCAAGTGATCCACCTGCCTCCGCCTCCCAAAGTGCTGGGATTACAGGCGTGAGTTACAGTAGCACCTGGCCTTTGGATGTGTTTTTGATAGGGAATTAACTTCATGCTTCTGAACTTTTTCTTACGGTGTTTTTCTTCCATATCTATAAATATTACACTTTTCCTGCTGGTTCTTGACTTTTTACTTTTCTACATTATCACTTTTCTTTATTAATTATTATTTATCACTTTTATACATTTTCTTAGTTCACATGTCTCAGACCTTCCCTCCTTTCTCAACTCAATAATAATTGATTTACTATTTTTAGTTTCATTATTGGTTGCCTTTTTATACTTGGTCTTTATATCTTCTTTTATCATCTATAGATACTCTCTTCTGACTTCCTTATTTGTAAACTATCATTTGAGGTATTTTCTTGAGTCTCTTTTCTGGAAAACTCCTTCCTGGAGCCCTTTCCCTCCTGCTGCACTCTACTGTTTCTACATCAGCCTTTTACTCCCAACTGTCCTTTGGGGAACTTCCTTTTACCACTTTCTTTAGTTGGACCCACTGTTTCTTGGCTCTTGCCCTGCCCCCCCCTTTTTTTTAATTATTTTTATTTTTTCTCTTAATTTACTCCTTAGTTTTGATGGAGTACATTCTCAAGTAATTTTATAAGAAAAGACACCTGAAATGTAAATTTGAACCCTTTTATTTCTGAAAATGGCTTATTTCTGCCTTTATATTTGCTAGTTTATCTCCATATAGAACTCAGTTCTTTGTAATTTGCCTTTTCTCTTCTCTGAAAGTTTTTCATTTTTTTTTTCAATTTTCTTTATCTCTTTTGGATTCTAAAATTTCTATCTGGATTTCTGTCTCTAAAGTATTTTGCTGAGACTTGACTGCAGGTTTTTCAGGATGAAGACTTAAGTTCTTCAGTTCAGGGGAATTATCCTCTGTTACCACTTTGATAATTTCCTCAACTCAATTTTCTGGTTTTTTCTTTCTAGAACTATTCTGTTTGTTGGGTCTTAGACCTCTTGTTTTTCTCTTACTTTGTTTTTACTTAATTAGACTTTCTGGGGGTTTACTTTAATTTTCAACTCCTTTTTGGTTTTTAAAACGTTCGACTGCTGTCAATCCTTATGCCCTCCTTTTTCATGTTTGAAAGATACTATAATATATCTGGTTAAAAAATAATGTCTTCTCTATTTTTTTTCCTGCAGATACTAATTGGACTTAAAAAGTTTTATTTTGTTCCAATTATCTCTTTCCTTTAGGGTCATTCATTCCTCCAGTTATCTTGGTCTTTTTTTTTTTTTTTCTTCATTGAGACAGTCTTACTCTGTTGCCCAGGCTGGAGTACAATGGCTTGTTCTCAGCTCACTGCAACCACCGCCTCCTGGGTTCAAGCGACCCTCATGCCTCAGCCTTCCAAGCAGCTAGGATTACAGGCTTGCGCCACCACACCTGGCTAATTTTTGTATTTTTAGTAGAGACAGGGTTTCACCATGTTGGCCAGGCTGGCCTCAAACTCCTAGCCTCAAGTAATCTGCCCATCTCAGCCTCCCAAAGTGCTGGGATTTCAGGCATGAGCCACTGCGCTCGGCCTTTGGTCTTTCTTATTTTAGGCGTTCTTCAGATGCATAGGGCTCCTTGGTTACTCTGGGGTCAGTGACCTTTCTATGTTCCCATCATGCCTTCTGCATAATCTTACTGGTCATCACACAGTTCCTTACACTTAATAGTATGGAAGTGGAAGTCAGCATAATAAAAAAGCAAGGTCACTGATGAACTGACCTATACCAACAGAGTCTATGCAGTAGAAGCCCTTGGGGAAATTGGTGAAGGGCTTATTTTTTTGCAAAGTGTTGGATGTCATGATGCTGTTTTGTTATAAAGTTTATCTCTACCCCCACAAAATACCTGAATCATTCTTTGCTTTTAAATGAGTACATAGTCCCACAGTAACCTAGTTTCTGGTAAGTATAAGATGAAACCAAACATTTTGACAGTGATTTTTTTCCCCCAAGGTAAAGACTTTACACTTCCTTTTTGAGGCATACTCTTTGAAATTTGGTTCTTATTTATTTATTTATTTATTTATTTGAGATGGAGCCTCACTGTGTCGCCCAGGCTGGAGTGCAGTGGCAACCTCCGCCCTCTGAGTTCAAGCGATTCTCCTGCCTCAGTAGAATCCGAGTAGCTGGGATTACAGGCACCTGCCACCGCACCCAGCTAATTTTTTTGTGTATTTTTAGTAGAGTCGTGGTTTCACCATCTTGGCCAGGCTGGTCTTGAACTCTTCATCTCGTGATCCACCCGCCTCGGCCTCCCAAAGTGCTGGGATTACAGGCATGAGCCACTGCGCCTGGCCTGGTTCTTACTTTCATTGAATTCAATACCTTTTTCTGGTACCAATTGCACCCACACACCAATAGTTCTTCCTGAGGCACTGTTATATCATATGTTAATTATTTATTAGTAAGCATTGTCCACTAGATTAAGTTAATTGAGGGCAGGGGTCACATCAGGCTTGCTCACTTTGTGCCTCTTGGGCTAAACACTGTGCCAAGTACGGAGCAGAATTGTATTGTCTGTTGCATATTTCTCCTCCCTCTTCCCTCCCATTACCAAGTTCTAACCATTTTACTCCTTTATCACTGTAAACTCCATCTCTGCTAAAAACCCCCTTCTATGAGCTAGTCTCTCACCTGGGCGGCTTTAATAGTCTCCTAACTTGTTTTCCGGATCCTTTCTTTTTCCCTTCTGGACTGACTCCACAGAAAAGTCAGAGTTAATTTCCTAAGTATGTTCATACTATCCACTTGCCCTGGTTTAAAACATTTTAGTGGATTGTTAATTGATGTTTGGCAAAACACCCACCCACACCCCTCAAAATTCTTTAACATAGTTTACAAGACTCTATATGGTCTGGCTTCTACCTTCCTTCATTGGAAGTGCTTCTCCTAGCTTCATTAACTCCCACATACCCTTCTGCATTCAGCTCAGTTGCTTTTTTTTTTTTTAGTGTAGGTTGTCATAACACTACATCTTCATACCTCTGCAATTCTGATTTTATACTCACTTAATGACTCTCTTCCCCACAAAACCGTAAGCTCCATGAGGGCAGCAGCAGTGCCTTTTTACATCCTCTCCATTGTATCACCAAGCATGCAGAAGGCATTCAGATAATGCTTTAGCCATGGCTGGTACTGCCACCTAATGGTGACAGAAGAGATGGATCTATAATCCAGTTTGTATGATTATTGAAATGCAGTAACTTTAGAGAACTAGTTAGCTGTTAAAAGGTAAAGGGGCAAACTTAACATTCTTTCCCTAAAGTTATCTGGTAATTTACATTGCTGTTTTTGTCTTTGAAGAACATTTTCCAAAGGTTAATATATTCCTGGTTGTTTTTAGTACCTTTTTTGGCTGATCTAGCACACATATATGTTTCCTTTTTAGCATATACTTTAGAAGAACAGAAGAACCTCACAGTCTGTCCTGATGGAGCACTTTTTGAACAGAAGGGTCCAGTTTATGTTGCATGTCAGTTTCCTATTTCATTACTTCAAGCATGCAGTGGTATGAATGATCCTGATTTTGGCTATTCTCAAGGAAACCCTTGTATTCTTGTGAAAATGAACAGAGTACGTACATATTTTACCTCTGCTGCTGCTTTTTTCTAATATTCTCTTTTAAGGAGGCAACTATTTTTAGATTGTTGTGGTTGGGTTAATGCCTTCCTTATTAAAAGTTATCATTTGGGGGGTAGCTTGCTTTAAAGACTAGCAGTAATGTTTATTGATCACTGGAAGAAAGTTTATATGGCAAAAAAAAGAGGTTCATAGATTAATCATGGAGTAAGGAGTTAAAGTAACTTTTAAACTTTTCTTCTTTGGAAATAGCTACATGCATTCCAGCACACATTAATGCTCCAAGGGGCAAATGTTCTCCTTGTCATAACCAAAGCAGAGACTTGTTAGGGTGCAGTGCTCATCTGTGAATCCTGTGTTGTAAAATAATTTAAAATTCCACAGACTCCATAAAGTTTAAACTTATTAACTTTTTCGAAATAGTAGCAAAGCATAGTTTTATAGTATCAGTATATATATATGTAATTAGATAACAGAAATACAAATAAAATCCCATTCTAACGAGTTCAGTGGGATGTTGCAGTTGTATCCAAAGTAGCAGCATTTTGCTGTTTTACAGAAGGGTGCCTAAATTGTATAGTAATGAGCAAAGGAAGAAGCTAATGTTCTCTGTGTGACAGGAGTAATGAATTAGGGTCATTGTGCAAAGGAAGATGATACGGCTTTTCTTGAGTCATGAAGTGATCCCTAGCCCCCGTGCCTTGCTGCTCTGTAAATGTACTTCAGAGTTGTGTTCTGATGCGCTTACTGTTTTGAGGCCTGCAAGGTCTCCCTTGAAGAGTGAAGTCATTCATGGTCATTTAAAACAGGTGTAGACTTCTCAAAATCATGAGTTTATGAATCACTAAAGTCATCATTGGTGAGCAAATTGCCACCATCCCTAATAAAAGTAAAATTTGGATCTTTTGAAGTTGGCACTGCTAAATAAGAAGCTTCCCTGTAGGGAGAACCAGCTAGGCCCTGAGGTGCCCAGACTGACACCCCTCCAACCTCTGCTTCATCCCTTTGGGAGGCCTTGGACAACTGACAGCTTCCAGATTGTCCCATAGCATTCTAGGTGCTCAGTAAATGATTAGTGGAATGTTTCAACCAGACCTTATTCAGAATTAAGAATTGAAGTTAACAAAGTAAGCTGAAAGTAATGTGAAACTAGATGATCTAGTTTATAAAATGAATTAAGTTTGTTTTAACAGAGATGCCTTTTGTAATCCCAGTCTACTAGAAGTATCCTCACGACATCTAGATTGCTGAACATTTGTTCCCAGTAGAAAGCCAGGAGAGGATCAACCTTCTGGGTTTGTTTTCTTTCTCAAGATGGTCTCCTTGAATGATAATGGCCTGAGACCATGCTTGCTGATGACTCAGGGCATGGCTTTGTCAGGAGGACAGCATCAGACACACAGGAATCATTGATGAGATGAGCTTACGTAGTGTAGCAGGAGGTTTCATACCAGTATAGTTCCCAGTTAGGACGCAACAATACTTGTCTTTTGAGAGGAATATTTAGATTTTACGTGCATTCACGTGGAAACTGTGTATAAATTCAGAATGCCAAAAAATTATCTCACAAAATGTATAAATATGTGAGTTTATTCAGTTCTGTCAGCTACATACACGAAAGGAGTCTTAAAATAGGGCTCTCCCAGTGTGTGCCTTTTGGGGAGCAGATGGGTTGTGAGATACAGTGAGGCTCAGTGGGGCCCTCATGGAAACACGGAGAGTGTGACCTGATATAGTTTTGTGAAGAACAGTTAATTATTATGCTTCTGCAGTTCTTATTATATACATTAAATTATTTGTTCATATAAATATTAATAATTAGATTTAAGGGTTTCTGTCTGTTTCATATTTTAAGGGTAGCAAAGGGTACTTTTGTTTCATTTAATTCTTTGGTAATTTATTTATTTTCTAAATTGCCCCAGTACAGTAATAAGATATCTGATTGCTGAAGTTATTTTATTTAAAAGTTCATTTTAATACCCTCAAATAAGATTAAAGTAAAAGGCAGATGTATACAGACTTGGTGTTAATCTCAAAGTCTTCACCCCTTGTTCCCAGCAACAGAGGGAGGAAGTTCCATTGCATACTTACGTGAAGTTTAAATTTATCACTATTTCTTAACCTTAGATAATTGGATTAAAGCCTGAAGGAGTGCCAAGGATAGATTGTGTTTCAAAGGTTAGTATTCAAAAAGTAACTCCTGTTAAATCTTTGATGTTTCTTAAAATACTTTAAAAGTCTAATGATTTAGTCATCTTTTTTTTCTTCCCTGTCACATTTTAAAGTCCTTTGTAGTGCCTTAGAATAAAATTCCACCAACCGTAGTCTTTCTCTTCCTTAATGATAATTCAGAAAGACATTTTCCATGTGTATTTGATTTTGCACACATTGCCTTTATTTTCACATATACCGTATTTCATCAATTCTAAGATTCACTTTTTTTCTGCCAGCTCAGTAACACTGAAATTGGGATTACCCTTGTAATTGATGGTGTCTTAATACTGTATCATGACATTTTTCTCTTTCTTAATAGTTAGTTGGCGTGCTAGTCATCAGTGCTATCTGAGATTTAATGAAATATGGTGCATTTTCCTTAAGGTAGAAGCATTATTTATCTCCCCTATCCCTACTTACTTTTTTTTCCAGAATACTGTGCAGTTTTCATCTCATAACTTTCTTTTGTTTTCTCTCCATGCTGCAAATGCCACTAAGACAAATAATGTAAAAGATGGGTAAGAGTTCTGAGGAGACATTAAGTTCTAAATTTATCATTGTGCTAAATATTAACATTTCAACTCTGATTGTATGGCAGAAATATTTTACTTAGAATGTTACATTGAAATCACTTTTAAAGTTGTGAAAAAAAATTCTTTTTACTGTTAATGGACTTCTTATTTGGGCAGAAACTTCTTGCTCAGTGGTCTTCAAACTTGATCACTCATCAGAGTCATGTTGCCTTGTTGGGTTCCGTTCCCATAGTTTCTGACTCAGTAGGTCTGAGATAGGGTCCAAAATTTGCATTTTTTTCTTTTTTTTTCTTTTAGACGGAGTCTCACTCTGTCGCCTGGGCTGGAGTGCAGTGGCACGATCTCACTGCAAGCTCCGCCTCCCGGGTTCACGCGGTTCTCCTGCCTCAGCCTCCTGAGTAGCTGGGACTACAGGCGCTCCCGGCTAATTTTTTTTTTTTTTTTTTGGAGAGACAGGGTTTCATCATGTTAGCCAGGATGGTCTTGATCTCCTGACCTCGTGATCTGCCCGCCTCGGCCTCTCAAAGTGCTGGGATTACAGGCATGAGTCACCGCGCCTGGCCCAAAATTTGCATTTCTCACTAAAGTTTCCAGGTGATGCTGATGCTGCTGGTCTGAGGCCCACATTTTGAGAACTCCCGATTTGGAGTGTCCTTATTAATTTTTTAAGAGCATTTATTCACTATTTAGAGTAGCATAAAAAGCCAGGAAGTTTATGGTTTCTCATCTGGGTTGAAATTATATGTGTGTGACCACTGGCAATTCACTTTACCTCCTTGTGCCACAGACAGCTCAATGGGAAACTTGTACAAAAAGCCAGAGTCAGCTGGGTGCAGTGGCTCGCGCCTGTAATCCTGGCACTTTGGGAGGCTGAGGCAGGCAGATCACGAGGTCAAGAGATCGAGACCATCCTGGCCAACATACTGAAACCTCGTCTCTACTAAAATACAGAAAATTAGCTGGGCATGGTGGCACGCACCTGTAGTCCCAGCTATTCAGGAGACGGAGGCAAAGGAACCGCTTGAACCTGGGAGGTGGAGGTTGCAGTGAGCTGAGATCACACTTCTGCACTCCAGCCTGTTGGCAGAGTGAGACTCCATCACACACACACAAAAAGCCAGAATCTCACTTAAAACCAGATACCACATCTAAGCTGAGCTTTTCTTTCTTTATTTTATTTTATTTTTTTTTTTTTGGAGACGGAGTCTCACTCTGTTGCCCAGGCTGGAGTGCAGTGGCATGATCTCGGCTCACTGCAAGCTCCGCCTCCTGGGTTCACACCATTCTCCTGCCTCAGCCTCCCAAGTAACTGGGACTACAGGCGACCGCCACCACGCCCGGCTAATTTTTTGTATTTTTTAGTAGAGACGGGGTTTCACTATGTTAGCCAGGATGGTCTTGATCTCCTGACCTCGTGATCCGCCCGCCTCAGCCTCCCAAAGTGCTGGGATTACAGGCGTGAGCCACCGCGCCCAGCTGAGCTTTTCTTGATAAATTCTTCTAAAAATCTAGTGGGCAGCATATACTGTCAGCTCTCAAGTCAGAACACTATAGCTACAAGATACATTTAGAAAAAATGTTGGGTAACCCTTTGTGATCCTCAGGGCTTGCTCACAAAGCTTTCTGGTAGAAAGTTCTTGGGGCTTGGGTGCTAGGCTTCAGCTGGGTAGAAGTGCTAATTTCATGACAGTGCGCCTGTATACAGGAGCCTGTGAGCAGGCTGCATAGATAAGCTTGGATGGAGTGCTGGGTCTACAAAGCCAATACCACCTGAAGGGAAAACACATTCAAGCCAGAAGCGCAAAAGCTTTAAATTGTGTAAACCTTTGGTCAGTATAAACAATTCCATATACCTCTCCCTTTTTTTTTTTTTGAGACGGAGTCTCTCTCTGTTGCCCAGGCTGGAGTGCAGTGGTGCGATCTCAGCTCACCTTTGCCTCCCGGGTTCAAGCGATTCTCCTGCCTCAGCCTCCCAAGTAGCTGGGACTACAGGCACGTGCTATCACGCCCGGTTAATTTTTTGTATTTTAGTAGAGATGGGGTTTTACCATGTTGGCCAGGATGGTCTCGATTCCCTGACCTCGTGATTCGTCTTCCTCAGCCTCCCAAAGTACTGGGGTAACAGGCGTGAGCCACTGCACTCGGCCCCCTTAAGGTTTTAAATGCATTTTTCTTCTTGTTTATCTATTACGTATCCTTTGCTTCTAGAATAGTTGGGGGAAATGTTAATGAAAAACCCAGATTTAATGATTCGGATTTCAGTTAGCTTTCCCTTTTGCTTTGGAGAGAGGTGTGTGAAGTACATAAAATAATCAAAGCAGGTGGAGTTTTAATTTTGTTTATTTAGTTGTGGATTTTTTGTTTGTTTTTAGAAAAGCACAAAAGTGGAAGAAATGTTTGTAAAATTTGGCATTTATTCCCTAGGCTAGTCACAAGTAGTAAACCAGTTAGAACCCATAAATTTTAGAAGTGTGGCTCTCCAGAACAGATGGAAGCATTTACTACATATCATAATTGCAATTTTCTATTAGATTTGTCTATGTCAAGCGTTCTTTAAATTCTTTAGTTCTTTTATGTAATACATATGTCTTTTATTTTGTCTTGTATTGATTTTGTTCTGCCTTGATTGTTTTTATACAAGTTAGAGTCCTGAAAATACAAACACTTAACATACCCTTGGAGGTGCTTTTTTTTTTTCTCTCTCTCTCCATAGAGACAGGGTGTCACCATGTTGCCAGGCTGGTCTTAAACTCCTGGCCTCAAGCAATCCACCCACCTCCGCCTTTGAAAATGCTGGAATTACAGGTGTGAACCACCGCAGATGGCCAAGGTGGCCTTTTATATTATCAACTTAAAAGATGATCCTGCAAAAGATGTAATTTTCATATTTATGTCATTTTTTTCTCAGTGTTTTATTTTCTTATGAAAATGAATCATACTAAGAAAATCAAAAAATGGGAAGAAACAAAATGCATTAATTTTTAAACTCCATTTTGTTTCAGTGGAACTTAGTGACCATCAGTAGGTTCTTAGAGTTAGTTGCTCATAGTTTACAATATGATGCTATTGCCGGACGCGGTGGCTTTCACCTGTAATTCCAGCACTTTGGGAGGCCAAGGTAGGCGGATCACCAGAGGTCAGGAATTCGAGACCAGCCTGGCTAACATGGTGAAACCCCATCTCTACTAAAAATAAAAAAATGAGCCTGACGTGGTGGCATGTGCCTGTAATCCCAGCTACTCGGGAGGCTTAGGCAAGAGAATCGCTTGTACCCAGGAGGCAGAGGTTGTAGTGAGCCATGATCGCGCCACTCCACTCCATCCTAGGCAACAGAGCAACTCTGTCTCAAAAAGAAAAAAAAATATGCTATTCGTATACTTAGAAAATTATGACATACATGCTTCACCCTGAGTACCTCATTATTATTCAGATACTCATTTTAATATTTTACAATTTCTAAATGTTTATTTTCACAGAAGGTATAAATTAAAAGATTAAGAAAAATCCTGCCAAGATCACGTCTTAGGCACACACAGAGAGCAGTTGAGCGTCTGCCACACCTGATGGTCTTGAGCCGTGATGGCCTTAACTCTGAGCCCCAGTGCCCTGCTCCGTAATTGATGCTGTCCACTAAGGCTTGTTAGGCCTAAAGGAGGGAAGTGTAAGCTAAGTGTGGTATCTGGTAGGAAACCCACTCTGGGTTGGGTGTGGTGGATCACTTGAGGTAAGGAGTTTGAGACCAGCCTGGCCAACATGACAAAACTCCGTCTCTACTAAAGATACAAAAATCAGCCCTGCATGGTGGCGCACACTTGTAATCCCAGCTATTCAGGAGGCTGAGACAGGAGAATCGCTTGAACCCGGGAGGAGGAGGCTGCAGTGAGCCAAGATCAGGCCATTGCACTCTGGCTTAGGCAACAGAGTGAGACTCTGTCTCAAAAAAAAGAAAAAAGAAAAAAGAAACATACTCCAAGATACTCAGTAAACTGTTTCTCAAAAAAAATCCTTTTTTTCATTTTGCGGAAATGTGTTCTGTGAAGGTCATATATTAAGGTAAAATAGGTTCAACAAAAGCAATTAATGCAGAAAAGCACTGATATCAGAGTGACTAGTTTTTCTCTAATATAAAATGTTATCTTTGATTTTAAGCTTATTTTTTAAGTTAAAGAGTACAAATGTAGGGTGGAGTTTGAGTAGTGATTGAAAATGGCTTTTGCGATTTCTCCTAGCGTTGTTACTTCCTACCCTTTCCACATATTCATCATCTGGATCATTAGAGCTTGTCTGGTGGGTGGGGCGCATCATCACTCTGTCCTTTGTGCTGTCTGGCCGGTGCCTTTCATCTGTCTCTCACCCCACCCCACAGCCATATGCTGCTTCATAATGAAATGAAATGAGCAGAATCTAGAACTCCTTAGAGTGGATTCTTAGTTTTGCTTTATGCTGTTTCATGCATGCTTTCAACCCTGTCTCAAAAAAATTTTTTTATATATATATAAAATTCAAGTATTTAATAATGTTTTATTTTAACTAGTGTTCCGTAAGCCCAGCACTGATTTTAATCATTGTGGTCTGTTTGCTACTTCTCAGTCTGTGTTAAAGTTACACTCATTAGAATTAGGCCCATTTAGAAAGTGTTACATGTGAATTTTCATAAATTGCTTATTTATCATGAATAATACTAGAAATAACTAATAGCATGAATTAATTGGATTACAGGTGATGCTTGATTTGTATGTTGATAAACATGGAATTCTAGTAGACAAGTAATACTTAATGATTTATATATGCTCATAAATTTATTCCTGATACAGTATTTAAATTTGTCGAGGAGAGTTTTGCTTGTAGTACCTTAAATTTTCCTTCATGCTTCCCCTCTGGTTGCAGTTCTGGTTATTAATCACATGAAACTCACACCTGCTGTCTCCCAGGCCTGAGTGCTGCATTCTAGGTTGGCACCTTGTGGTGGCTGTTGCTTTCCAGTCTGGAAGCACAGCATTTTATTCATTTCAGGAAAACATCGGTCCTAAACCTGCTGGTGCATTCCTGCTGTTAGTAGGTAGAAAGGCTGGCATTTGGTATTTGGAGGGCAGATAAGATTTTACAGGAGTACATGAGTTAAAGAAGGGACTCTCATGAAAGAGAGTATAGAGTGTATCTGGAAGTGTAAGTATCAGGATAGTTCATGTGGAAGGGGTTAGTTAGATAATATTTGCAATCAAGATGAGCAAGCTTCTTCTCAGAAATACACTTGTAATGATAATATAGTTGGAGCAGCATTGTAGTTTCTGCAAACTGTTCATGATTGATATTCCTTTAATTATAAACATAGTTTTTACAAATTCTTTTTGTGACCTAAAGAGGATTTCTTTTGTTTTCAACTTCAGAATGAAGATATACCAAATGTAGCAGTTTATCCTCATAATGGAATGATAGACTTAAAATATTTCCCATATTATGGGAAAAAACTGCATGTAAGTATTGAGAAGTTCTTATGTGGTGATTACTCTTTTGGGAAGCTGGAGCATGTGTTGACGTACCACTTGTCTGGGGTAGGTAGACGCCAGCCCTGTTTAATTTGTGCGTCATCTATTCAGGTTTTGTTTTATTTTAATGGTGATGGTAAATGGAGTTCCCACATTTACAATTCAGAACACAGAACCCAAGCAGATACGTTAAAGTTAGATGATTATTTCTAAAATATCATTTTCTTTTTCATTATAGAGGTAGTAGTAGGTGCTTATGTAGAGAAAGTAGAAAAGTACTTAAAAAGAAAATCAAGGCCGGGTGCGGTGGCTTACTCCTGTAATCACAGCACTTTGAGAGGCCAAGGCGGGCGCATTACCTGAGGTCAGGAGTTTGAGACCAGCCTGGCCAACTTGGCGAAACCCCCTCTCTACTAAAAATACAAAAATTAGCTGGGCGTGGTGACATGTGCCTGTAGTCCCAGCTACTCGGGAGGCTGAGGCAGGAGAATCGCTTGAACCCAGGAGGTGGAGGTTGCAGTGAGCCAAGATTGTACCACCACACTCCAGGTTGGGTGACAGAATGGGATTCTGTTTCCCCCACCAAAAAAATAAATGAAAAGAAAATCAAGGCCAGGCGCAGTGGCTCACCTGTAATCCCAGCACTTTGGGAGGCCGAGTCGGGCAGATCACGAGGTCAGGAGATCAAGACCATCCTGGCTAACACGGTGAAACCCCGTCTCTACTAAAAATTACAAAAAATTAGCTGGGCGTGGTGGCAGGCACCTGTAGTCCCAGCTGCTCGAGAGGGTGAGGCAGGAGACTGGCATGAACCTGGGAGTCGGAGGTTACAGTGAGCCGAGATTGTGCCACTGCACTCCAGCCTGGGCAACAGAGCGAGACTCTGTCTCAAAAAAGAAAAAAAATCAAAAGCTCATTGCGGCCGGGTGTGGTGGCTCACGCCTGCAATCGCAGCATTTTGGGAGGCCGAGGCGGGCAGATCACCTGAGGTCAGGAGTTCTAGACCAGCCTGACTAGCATAGTGAAACCCCGTCTCTGCTGAAAATACAAAAATTAGCCGGGCATAGTGGTGGGTGCATGTAATCCCAGCTACTCGGGAGACTGAGGCAGGAGAATCGCTTCAACCTGGGAGGCAGAGATTGCAGTGAGCCAAGACTGCACCATTGCACTCCAGCCTGGGCAACAAAGCAAGACTCTATCTCAAAAAAAAAAAAAATAGGTTAGTGGACTAATGAGTTATCATAGGAGTGGGACTAGCGGCTTTATAAGAAGAGGAAGAGAGACCTGAGCTAGCAGGTTAGCATGCTCAGCCCCCTGGCCACGTGATGCCTTGCACCACCTCAGGACTCTGTTGAAAGTACCCAGCAGCAAAGAAGGTTCTCACCAGATGCAGCTCCTTGATCTTGGCCTTCTCAGCCTCCATTAACTGTAAGAAATAAATTCCTTTCTTTATAAATTACCCAGTTTCAAGTATTGTGTTATAAGCAACAGAAAACAAAGACAGTAGTACAGTTAACAAAGGAAGTTAACATATAGTGCTCTTATGAATCTGTAGACTTTGTTGAAAATCCATCAATTGTTCCAGTAATACTCTTTATAGTGAAAGACAAGTGTTTTCCTGATCCCAGATGTCACACTGTTAACACGTTTAGCAACCTATAATCAGGAATATTTCCTCAGTCTGTTTCATGGCTTTGTACTCTTCAAAAATAAGTACGGGCCTTTTATGGCTTATTTTATGTTCATTAGTTGGAGTTTGGTGGTTTTTCATGATTAAATATAGGTTGTGCATTTTGGCATGAGTGCCTCAAAAGAAATGTTGAGTTCTCAGAGTGTCAGGAGGGACATGGTATCATTTCATTCCGTTAATGGTGATACTGCCTTGATTCCTTGGTTAAGGTGGTATGAGCGAGGTTTCTACAATATACTTTTTTTCCTCTGTCATCAATAAGTATCATGTGGGGAGAAAATTAAAAAGCTCGTTACTGCCTGGCACGGTGGCTCACGCCTGTAATCCCAGCACTTTGGGAGGCTGAGACAGGCGGATCACCTGAGGTGGAGAGTTCGAGACCAGCCTGACCAACATGGTGAAACGCTGTCTCTACTAAAAATACAAAAATTAGCTGACCGTGGTGGCACACTCCTGTAATCCCAGCTACCCAGGAGGCTGAGGCAGGAGAATCACTTGAACCAGGAAGGCAGAGGTTGCAGTGAGCCGAGATTGCACCATTGCACTCCAGCCTGGCAACAGAATGCAATGTCTCAAAAAAAAAAAAAAAAAGGCCAGGTGCAGTGGCTCACGCCTGTAATCCCAGCACTTTGGGAGGCCGAGGTAGGTGGATCATCTGGGGTCAGGAGTTCGAGACCAGCCTGGCCAACTTCAGTAGCAATGGCAAAGCCCTGTCTCTACTAAAAATAAAAAAATTAGCTGGGTATGGTGGTGGGCACCCGTGACTCCAGCTACATGGGAGGCTGAGGCAGGGGAATCGCTTGAACCTGGGAGGTGGAGGTTGCAATGAGCTGAGATGGTGCCACTGCATTCCAACCTGGGCAACATACTCCATTTCAAAAAAGAATATTAAAAAATAATGATAAGGGTCGGGTGTGGCGGCTCATGCCTATATATTCCCAAGCACTTTGGGAGGCCAAGGTGGACAGATCACGAGGTCAGGAGATCGAGACTATCCTGGCCAACATGGTGAAACCCCGTCTATTAAAAATACAAAAGTTAGCTGGGCGTGGTAGCGGGTGCCTGTAATCCCACCTACTTGGGAGGTTGAGGCAGGAGAATCACTTGAACCCGGGAGTCAGAGGTTGCAGTGAGCCGGGATCGTGCCACTGCACTCCAGCCTGGGCAACAGAGCAAGACTCTGCCTCACAAAAAAATTAATAATAATAATGATAATAGGCCGGGTGTGGTGGCTCACACCTGTAATCCTAGCATTCTGGGAGGACAAGGCAAGAGGATCACTTGAGCTCAGGGGCATGAGCTGTCACACCCAGTCAACATTTTTATCAGTAATTACAGGTATGGACTTACAGCTCCAAAAAATTAAAAAGAATGCAGAGAACAGAAAATAATAGAGCTAAATTTTTTTTTTAATTTACAAGCCACGTATGGTGGCTCACACCTGTAATCCCAGCACTTTGGGAGGGTGAGGTGGAAGGGCCATTTGAAGCGAGGAGTTTGAGATTAGCCTGGGCAGGGAGACCCTGTCTCTACAAAAAAATTTAAAAATTAGTGGGCTGTGGCGGCATGTGCCTATAGTCCCAGCTACTTAGGAAACTGAGGTGGGAGGATTGGTTGAGGCTTCAATGAGCCATAATTGCACCACTGCACTGCAGCCTGGGCAACAGTCTCAAAAAGAAAATTTACAGAATAAGCCAATTCCTGGTAGAGAGAAGTATTAAGTTTCCATAGAGTTTGAATTAATATATTTTCCTTTTATTGCCAGGTTGGGTATCTACAGCCATTGGTTGCTGTTCAGGTCAGCTTTGCTCCTAACAACACTGGGAAAGAAGTAACAGTTGAGTGCAAGATTGATGGATCAGCCAACCTAAAAAGTCAGGATGATCGTGACAAGTTTTTGGGACGAGTTATGTTCAAAATCACAGCACGTGCATAGTATGAGTAGGATATCTCCACAGAGTAAATGTTGTGTTGTCTGTCTTCATTTTGTAACAGCTGGACCTTCCATTCTAGAATTATGAGACCACCTTGGAGAAAGGTGTGTGGTACATGACATTGGGTTACATCATAACGTGCTTCCAGATCATAGTGTTCAGTGTCCTCTGAAGTAACTGCCTGTTGCCTCTGCTGCCCTTTGAACCAGTGTACAGTCGCCAGATAGGGACCGGTGAACACCTGATTCCAAACATGTAGGATGGGGGTCTTGTCCTCTTTTTATGTGGTTTAATTGCCAAGTGTCTAAAGCTTAATATGCCGTGCTATGTAAATATTTTATGGATATAACAACTGTCATATTTTGATGTCAACAGAGTTTTAGGGATAAAATGGTACCCGGCCAACATCAAGTGACTTTATAGCTGCAAGAAATGTGGTATGTGGAGAAGTTCTGTATGTGAGGAAGGAAAAAAAGAAAATAAAAGTGTGTTTGAAAAATATTATCTTGGGTTCTTTGTAAAATTTATTTTTTACATGCTGAATTAGCCTCGATCTTTTTGATTAAGAGCACAAACTTTTTTTTGTAAAACATGTAAAAAAAAAAACTGGGATTAATTTTTAGTGTTGGAACTGCCTCTTATTTTAGGCTGTAGATAAAATAGCATTTTTAGGTTAGCCAGTGTGACTATGCACCTAATTTTTTATGAGATTAAATTCATAAGACTTAATTTGTACAATAGTTTGTGAAATATCTTGTTACTGCTTTTATTTAGCAGACTGTGGACTGTAATAAAGTATATAAATTGTGAAATATAAAAACTTGGAACTTATTCAAAGCTTCAAAGCAAACAACAGTTTTGTGTAAGCATTCTTTCCCCTCCAGTATTAGGTGTATTCTTGGTAGGATTATTTGTGATAATTTGGGCTACTTGGCTGAGAAAGTTGTGCTTCCCATATGATCTGTGTTGCTTCTTGTTTTTTCTTAAGGCTGTTGTTTATTGTTACTTTTCTCCTTTTTTAAAAAAAAAAAAAGGCAGCCGGGCGCAGTGGCTCACGCCTGTAGTCCCAGCACTTTGGGAGGCCGAGGCGGGCGGATCACAAGGTCAAGAGATCGAGACCATCCTGGCCAACATGGTGGAATCCCGTCTCTACTAAAAATATAAAAATTAGCTGGGCGTAGTGGTGCGTGCCTGTAGTCCCAGTTACTCGGGAGGCTGAGGCAGAAGAATCGCTTGAACCCAAGAGGCGGAGGTTGCAGTGAGTCGAGATCACACCACTGCACTCCAGCCTGGTGACAGAGCGAGACTCTGTCTGCAAAAAAAAAAAAAAACGGCAAAGCAGATATTCTTGAGGTTTTCTTTGTGGTGGTGCAAGCCAGAAGGGGTGGGACCCAACCCAGCTGGCTCAAGAATGGCCGTTTGGAGTAAACGTGAGGGCTCTGGGTGGCCTTGCCTGGCCAGATGGGCCTTGGTGGCCTGGCGGCAGCCTCTGCCCTTTAGTAGTGGGCACTCAGCCCCACGTCAGAGCTCTGCTTGTTCCTCTGTCACTAAAATCATAGTGATAAGAGATTTTCACTGAAGGAAATTATTGGAGTAATTACAGCAAACCTTTTCTGGGTTTTGATTTTCTTCTTTATGCTATCTCTTAAGAGTGTAAAACAAGGATAAAAGAATGCTACGATGTGAGAGAGGTGACATGACTTTAGTTGGGCCAGTGTGACCTCATCCTCAACAGCTGTAAACTTTGGTGCCTGTGAAATTCATATTAAGTATTCTATTAAATTGTATTTTTGAGTCTTTTGAAGTAAATATGGATGGAATTTCTGTTTTAACGAGCTTAGATAAAAGACTCATTCTCAATACACAAGAAGAATTGAGATGGCATCCAACATAGGGTGGGTGTTGGAGACAAATAAAAATGGCACACACATGTAAGTCACTAAAGCATCTTGTATGCCTCCCTGGTTCAGAAGTTTGGACGTGGATCAGCACCTGACTGCCCAGTGATCTTAGCTGATCTCCCCAACTTCTCCTGGCTCTGCTTGCTTCATCTATCGAAATTAAGGCAGTTTAACAACAATTTAGCAGACCTGCTATATACCGGACTGGATCAGCCAGACTTTGAGGATACAGAGATGAAAAGACATGGTTTCTCAAAGATCTTAAACTAGGAGGGAACAGGCTCTGAGACACAGCACGTGGCATGATGATGGTGATGGCGCTGACATGCAAGAGGCCATGAGGTGGGGTAAGACTAGATTATTCCAAAGGTCCCACCCTTCCCTAAAGTTTATTTTTGTGAAAGATCTCAAGAGATAGGTGGTGCTTGATGGAGGAGGAAGAGTGGCTGGGAGTTGGGCCTGTATGGGCCAGGTAAGGACTGGACTCGGAACGAAGGATGCCTGGACACAGCTGGAGTCCGCCTTTCTGCTGCTGACTTCAGGTTTTCCTCAGCATTTCAGGATGTGCTTACAGATCACCTGGGTATCTCATTAAAATGCAGATTCCAGTTCACTAGGAGGGACTCTATAGATGTAGCAACTCCAAGGTAATACCTACCACTGCTCATTCACAGACCACAGTTTGGAAGGGACCAAAGACAACCAGCTTTGCATCCTTGGCCATTGAGCCTAGCACCAATTTGATTTAATAGATGGAGAAGATTGAGCCATCATTTGACTTTAGCTGATATTTGGAAGTGTGTGCACTCCTGCTAGCTGGCCACCTGTCTGGGTAAGAGAACCCTGAGAATACCCAAGGGCTATGCCATTGGCCCTTGGGAGAACTGGAGTGGTGTTGCTTCTGGTCTTGCTGCCCTGCAGGTTACATTCCCAGGTTGAGCTGAGGGAGTGTGGGGTGAAATGAGATGTGTCCCCATGTTTTTCCCCATTAGCGTTTATGTTCCTTTTTTCTGGGTGGCTGAGAACAGCTGGGGGTGGTGTGGAAAGATAGAGTTTCCTGAGGAATGATGCGCGTCCTCAGATGAGAGCTCTCGGGCAGGAGGGAACTGGGATGTCCTGAGCGGCCGTATGGCAGTGTGGACGGTGGGCGATGGCTAGAGGGGACGAAACAGCCAGAGCTGGGGAGGAGGAACCCAGTGGGGTGTGGCTGGCGGAGATGGCCAAAACTTCAGCTGGAGCACTTCAGAGCACCCTTCAGAGGCGATTCATCCCGAACTGGACCTGTTGCTGATGAAGTCAATGTGGTAGGCAGAATTGCAGCCCCCATGACCTTCACGTTCTGGGGCCATGCCCATGGTTATGCTCTATCACGTGGCAAGAGGGGCTTTGCAGATGAAATTAAGGTAACTGGTGGGTTGACCTTAAAATGGGGAGATTATCCTGGATTATCCGACGGCCCAGTGTGATCATAGGAGCTGTAAGCAGAAGTGAGACCTGAAGCCTCTGGGTTTGGACACATGCTTGCTGTTTTCAATGTGGCTGTGTGGGAAGCCAAAGGAAGTGCATTCTGCCAATGGCCAGTGAGCTTGGAAGCCAGATCTTCCCCAGAGCCTTAAGAGCCCAGCCCTGAGGCCCTGCATAGAGGACCCAGCTGGGCTACATTGTGCCCACACCGCTGACCTACAGAAATGGGAGGTTATGAATATTGTTTTAAGCCACCAATTTCGTGATAATTTGTTATGGAGGCAGATAGAATGCTGATATGGTCATCTTCTCAGTGATGATTACTACTCCAACCCAGTGCTTCTCAAACTGCTCCATCAAGGGCTCCTGTTTAAAATGCAGATTCTGATTGGGCAGTGTCCAGGGTGGGGCCCAAGATTCTGCTTCCTAACAGGCTTTCAGGTGCTGCTGTTGCTTCAAGGGCTACATCAGAGCACGAGGCCCTTGTGTGTATGATTGTGGTTGGTGTAATGCCTGGAATTCAGAGCCCGCGTAAGGAGGGAGGAAGAGGGATCTGAGAGAAGAAAGGCCTAGGATAGAATTTGTTCAGCTATGAAATAACACAGAGGCTGCGGAGAGGTGCCCTGTGTTGGGCCCCTGGCTTTCAGACACTAAGCTTTGTCAGTGTGGTCTCAGAGCCCGGGTTGGATGGGACATTTTCATTTCCTTTGCTATTTTCTGTGGCCCCGTGGGAGGACAGGGGCCTGCAACCATGAGTCCGGCTTCCTGAGGATGGCATGGTTTGGGCCTATTAATGGGATCCTTGTCAGCAGTCTCTTGCTCCTAACTGCATAGGGTGAGGTTCTGGGACCACTGGCTTGGAGATGAAGGGAACTCACCTCATCTGTGCAAAGTTGCTGTCATGTCATTTAGTGAGATACTTCATTTAAAAAATTAATTTAGGGCTGGGTGTGGTAGGGCACACCTATAGTCCCAGCTACTTGGGAGGCTGAAGCAGGAGGATTGCTTGAACTCCTGGGAGATCACAGTGAGACCCCATGTCTTTAAAGAAATATTGAGGCCGGGTGCAGTGGCTCACACCTATAATCCCAACACTTTGAAAGGCCAAGGCGAGTGGATCACTTGAGGTCAGGAGTTCAAGACCAGCCTGGCCAACATGGCAAAATCTCATCTCTATTGAAAATACAAAAAACAAACAAAAAAACTAGCCTGGCGTGGGGGCGTGCATCTGTGGTCCCAGCTACTCGGGAGGCTGAGGCAGGAGAATTGCTTGAACCCTGGAGGCGGAAGTTGCAGTGAGCCGAGATCACACCACTGCACTCCAGCCTGGACGACAGAATGAGACTGCCTCAAAACAAAAAACAAATATATATATATATATATATTCTACCAAAATTCACTTTAAAATGTGTATTGAGGCTGGGCGCTGTGGCTCATGCCTGTAATCCCAGCACTTTGGGAGGCCAAGGTGGGCGGATCACCTGAGGTCAAGGAGTTCAAGACCAGCCTGACCAACATGATGAAACCCCATCTCTACTAAAAATACAAAAAAGTTATCTGGGCGTGGTGGCAGGCACCTGTAGTCCCAGCTACTTGGGAGGCTGAGACAGGAGAATCACTTGAACCTAGGAGGCGGAGGTTGCAGTGAGTGGAGATCACGCCCTTGCACTCCAGCCTGGGCGACACAGTGAGACTCCTTTTAAAAAAAAAAAATGTGTATTGAGCACCACTGTGTGCTAGGCACTGTGCAAGGAGCCTGGGTTACACTGGGGATCAAAACATAATCCCTGCCTTCATGGAACTTACAGATTAGCAACTACCACGAGGCCCAGGCTGCTTCTGCCTGGTACTGTGGGTGGTGGCTGTCCTCTTGGTTCCTAAGGGATAGAGTCAGTTTGGCATGCTTCAGTCTCCAGCTGGGCCAGGCCGGCCCTCAGCCAGCACTCTGCACTCTCCACACCATGAAGCCTCTTAGAAGACATGCAGGAGCTGTGTTTCCATGACTTTATATCCAGAGCCATCCAGTGGGAGGGCAAGCCCCTTACCTACACACACAGTCTTCAGGGCACTTTACTCTTTAAAAATACCCAAAGGCCCAGGCGCGGTGGCTCATGCCTGTAATCCTAGCACTTTGGGAGGCTGAGGCAGGTGGGTCACAAGGTCAGGAGTTTGAAACCAGCCTGGCCAACATGGTAAAACCCCGTCTCTACTAAAAATACAAAAATAAGCTGGGTCACAAGGTCAGGAGTTTGAAACCAGCCTGGCCAACATGGTAAAACCCCGTCTCTACTAAAAATACAAAAATTAGCTGGGTGTGGTGGCAGGCGCCTGTAATCTCACCTACTTGGGAGGCTGAGGCAGGAGAATCATTTGAACCTGGGGAGGCAGAGATTGCAGTGAGCCAAGATTGCACTACTGCACTCCAGCCTGGGCGACAGGGTGAGACTCCATCTCAAAAAAAATAAATAAAAATGAAAATACCCAGGGCCAGGCGCGGTGGCTCACACCTGTAATCCCAGCACTTTGGGAGGCCCAGGTGGGCAGATCAGGAGGTCAGGAGATCAAGACCATCCTGGCTAACAAGGTGAAACCCCATTTCTACTAAAAATACAAAAAATTAGCCGGGCGTGGTTGCGGGCGCCTGTAGTCCCAGCTACTCGGGAGTCTGAGGCAGGAGAATGGTGTGAACCCGGGAAGTGAGCCGAGATCGCACCACTGTACTCCACCCTGGGCAACAGTGAGACTCCATCTCAAAAGAAAAGAAAATTTAAAAAAAAGAATATTGTGATGTGTATAAGTGTGTTGCGAGAAACAAAGATATGGCCAGGTGGGATGGCTCACACCTATAATCCCAGCACTTTGGGAGGCCGAGACGGGTGGATCACCTGAGGTCAGAAGTTTGAGACCAGCCTGGCCAAAATGGCGAAACCCTGTCTCTATTAAAAATACAAAAATGAGCTGGGCATGGTGGCACATGCCTGTAATCCCAGTTACTCGGAAGGCTGAGACAGGAGAATCACTTGAACCTAGGAAGTGGAGGTTACAGTGAGCCGAGATCGTGCCACTGCACTCCAGCCTGGGCAGGCGTGGTGGCTCATACCTGTAATCCTAACACTTTTGGAGGCCGAGGAGGGAGCATCACTTGAGGCCAAGAGTTTGAGACCAGCCTGGGCAACATAGTGAGCCCACATCTCTACAAGAAATTTTACAAATTAGCTATTAGCTGGGCATGGTGGTGCACACCTGCAGTTCCAGCTACTCAAGAGGCTGAGGCAGGGGGATCCCTTGAGCCCAGGAGGTCAAAGCTGTGGTGAGCTATGATTGTGCCACTGTACTCCAGCCTGGGCAACAGAGGGAGACCCTGTCTCTGAATGAATGAATGAATGAATAAATAAATAAATAAATAAATAAATAAATAAATTTGGGGGAACCCATGTTTTGCGCTGTGTCCAGCCACAGAGCCCTCATTAGCCCAGACACATCCGCTGAGCTCCTACCAGCACCTTCATCAGGAGCCCCAGCCAGCTTGGAGACTTCCTCAGGGCTTGTGACACTTCCCTGGGGAGAAGAGAAACGCATCTTGCTCAAAGATGAGTTAATTCACTCACAGGCTAACAGTCAAAAAGAGTTTTATCCCCAAAGAAGTAGCAATAAAATAAGCCAATCCAAGGGGGGAAAGAAACGGACTCTTGGGGAGAGGGAGGAGTATAGAACCTTAACAGCTCCAGCCCATGGATTCTAGAGACCGAATTCTTCAAATTTCATCCCAAAAGAGGTGCACCGCTGGCCTATGAATACACCTGTGGGTGCAGAGAATAAGAGGGAAATACTCTGTGCACCGTACAGGAGGCCTTTTTTTTTTTTTTTTTCGACGGAGTCTTGCTCTGTCGCCCAGGCTAGGGTACAGCGATCTCAGCTCACTGCAACCTCCACCTCCTGGGTTCAAGCGATTCTCCTGCCTCAGCCTCCCGAGTAACTGGGATTACAGGTGTCCGCCACCGAACCCAGCTAATTTTTGTATTTTTAGTAGATATGGGGTTTCACCATCTTGGCCAGACTGGTCTTGAACTCCTGATCTCGTGATCCACACGCCTCGGCCTCTCAAAAGTGCTAGGATTACGGGGTGAACCGCCGCGCCTGGCCTCCACTTACCTTTTAAACCAGGGCTCTTGGCCGGGTGCAGTGGCTCACGTCTGTGATCCCAGCCACTTTGGGAGGCTGAGGCGGGCGGATCACGAGGTCAGGAGATCGAGACCATCCTGGCTAACACAGTGAAACCCTGTCTCTACTAAAAGTACAAAAAATTAGCCAGGCATGGTGTTGGGCGCCTGTAGTCCCAGCTACTCAGGAGGCTGAGGCAGGAGAATCACTTGAACCCAGGAGGTGGAGGTTGCAGTGAGCTGCAGTTGCTGCGCCACTGCACTCCAGCCAGGGTGACAGAGCAAGATCAGTTTCAACAACAACAACAAAGTAAAAGAAAACACCAGGGCTCTCAAACGCTGCTATTGAACACAAGAATGGGGATGGGGGAAATGCTTGTCAGCCCCTCAGGACCCATTACCTGAGGGATGACCTGAAACCTAGTGTGGGGCCCTCTGGCATATGAGGGCTTTCTTCGCCCTGGACATACTGGCTGGCAGGGAAAGCCCTTGGGCTGGAACTCCAAAGTTGAGGTACCTGCTCTGTGCGACTGATTCGATCTCTGTGTGACCTTGGGACAGTCCCCCTCTCTACTGCACGAGCTTCAGGGAAGACATTACAGACACATTCACACAGAAAGCGGCTGGAACCATTAAGCACTTCTGGATCTAGTTCTTAGTCATCTGTTTTTTACTATATATTCCAGATTTCTGGGACCAAAGAGGTTAAAAACTCATTCCCTGCCATGCCCAGTGGCTTCTCTGGGCAAGTGTTCTCTTAAAAGCTGCCCACACTCTATGGAAAAATCCAGTGGCTGCTGGTTAGAACGCGCTTGTTAATGGCAGCAGGCAGCCAGCTGGCTGGTGCCTGCCCGGGTGGGGTGGCAGAGGAAGCAGCTGTTTTGGTCTTTGAACCACAGCTTGGGACTTATGGAAGATACGTAGCTCGCATATCTCTATGGTCTTTTTCTGGCTTATAGAAAACAGTTCACCTTGCTGGTGGGGAGAGAAAGGGTGCAGCGTGCGGGGACCTGGGCTGGTGGGAAAAGCAGTCGGGTTATTGTTCGTGTGCTACAAAGGATGAGGAATTCAGTCCCCAGGATCCACGGGAGGAGCTGGCTGAGACCCTGGGGCCCGGCCTTCTTCCCAAGAGTCCATTTTCCCCTTGGATTAACTTACTTTATTGTTTCTACCGTCCCATGACTTCTGAGGTAAGGCAAGACCACACTTTGCGACTTTGAACTCTTCATCTTGTTCTCTCTTGACAGAGGCTCGTAAGAGGCCAATTTTTCAAACTTGCCTGGGTCATCTGCACTAAAAGTATGAGCACTGTTCGGTTATTTGAAATTAACCAAAAGGTCAATATACTTTGAAAAAGTTTGTTCTTCACTCATTCACTCATTCACTCATTCATTCATTCAACACTGACAACTTACATATCAGGTGCAAGGCCCTGAATTTTACACAGATGAAAGTCCATAAGAAACAAGATCCTGATCATGTTATTTTCCAGAGAATTTTTATTTTATCTTTTTGAGATGGAGTTTTGCTCTTGTTGCCCAGGCTGGAGTGCACTCTGCAACCTCCCCATCCCGGGTTCAAGCAATTCTCCTGCTTTAGTAGCTGGGATTACAGGTGCCGCCACCACGCCCGGTTTTTTTTTTGTTTGTTTGTTTTTTTTTTTTTTTTTTTTTTGGTATTTTCAGTAGAGACAGGGTTTTACCATGTTGGCCAGGCTAGTCTCAATCTCCTGACTTCAGGTGATCTGCCTACCTCGGCCTCCCAAAGTGCTGGATTACAGGCATGGGCCACCGCACCTGGCTGAATTTCTTTATTTTTTAAAGTTGGACAACACCTCCTTCTATACCATGGAATGAGTGTTCCGTGTTTTCAGATAATTTCTCATCTCAGAGATTTTTCACTTGTTTCTGTCACACTGAAAGTTAAGCTGGAGGAGAATTCCTGAGGCGGGTGGATGGCGGCTTATTATGCCTGCAGCTGCAAGCAGTGATGACCTTTTCTCCCTCCTCTTCCAATCAAGAGTTCTGGCCATAAAGGCTAGAGCCATTCACAAAACCCAATACATAAGGTATGGGGGGAGGTACACACATACACACACACACACACACACACACACACACAGCCTCATAGGAGGGAGCAAGACAGGGTGTGCCAAGTACACCCCTACTTTCACCTACTGACGGTGTTGTCTCGCTTCATTTAAACATTTATGTAACTAGGTGCGGTGGTTCATACCTGTAATCCCTATCATTGGGAGGCTAAGGCAGACCAATCACTTGAGCCCAGGAGTTGCCTGAGCAACATGGCAAAACCCCGTCTATACCAAAAATACAAGACAATTAGTCAGGTGTGGTGGCGCATGTCTGTGGTCCCAGATACTTGGGAAGCTAAGGCAGGAGGGTCACTTGAGCTCAAGGAGGTGGAGGTTGCAGTGAGCTGAGATCGCACCACTGAACTCCAGCCTGGGCCACAGAGCAAGACTCTGTCTCAACAACAACAACAACAACAACAAAACACACAAAAAACAAACAAAAAACACAACAAAAAATAATAATTCTTGAAACAAAAGATAAAATTAAGGCCAGGTGCCATGGCTCATGCCTGTAATCCCAGCACTTTGGGAGGCCGAGGCAGGCAGATCATGAGGTCAGGAGTTTGAGACCAGCCTGACCAACATGGTGAAACCCCCTCTCTACTAAAAATACAAAAATTAGCCGGGCGTGGTGGCGCGTGCCTGTAATCCCAGCTACTCAGGAGGCTGAGGCGGGATAATCACTTGAACCCGGGAGGCGGAGGTTGTAGTGAGCCAAGATCGCACCACTGCACTCCAGCCTGGGTGACGGAGTGAGACTTCATCTCAAAACCTAACAAAAAACAGCAACAACAACAACAAATTAGGCCAGGCAAGGTGACTCATGTCTGTAATCCCAGCACTTTGGGAGGTCGAGCTGGGTGGATCACGAGGTCAGGAGTTCAAGACCAGCTTGGCCAAGATGGCGAAACCCCGTCTCTACTAAAAATACAAAAATTAGCCGATGCATGGTGGCAGGCGCCTGTGACCCCAGCTACTTGGGAGGCTGAGGCAGAGAATTGCTTGAACCCGGGAGGTGGAGGTTGCAGTGAGCCGAGATCGCGCCACTGCACTCCAGCCTGGGTGACGGAGTGAGACTCTGTCTTAAAAAAAAAAATTAAAGAAAATCTGTGGTTAACAGACTGTCAACTGCAGAGTGTGTTCTAACACTGTTTATTAAACATGACAAAGTCCTATAGAAAAATTAGAATTTTGCTATGCTATGGGATTATGCATGGGAAGTACTTTATAGGATCTGGAATATATGATTTATATCATATGTAAAGAGATGTCAATTAAAATTGCTCAAATGACAGCTCATCTAAGTTCAGATGAGGAGACTTGCTTGTCAGTCCATTGGTTGATACCCACTAGTACTTTCTTTCTTTATTTTATTTTATTATTATTTTTTCTTGAGATGGAGTCTCGCTCTGTCACCCAGGCTGGGGTGCAGTGGCGTGATCTCGGCTCACTGCAAGCTCCGCCTCCCAGGTTCAGGCCATTCTCCTGCCTTAGCCTCCCTAGTAGCTGGGACTACAGGCACCTGCAACCACACCCGGCTAATTTTTTGTATTTTTAGTAGAGATGGGGTTTCACCGTGTGAGCCAGGATGGTCTCGATCTCCTGACCTCGTGATCCGCCCACCTCGGCCTCCCAAAGTGCTGGGATTACAGGCATGAGCCACCGCGCCCGGCCTCTTTCTTTTCTTTTGTTTTTTTTGTTTGTTTGTTTTGCTCTTGTAGCCCAGGTGGGAGTGCAATGGCGTGATCTTGGCTCACTGCAACCTCCACCTCCCAGGTTCAAGGGATTCTCCTGCCTCAGCCTCCCGAGTAGCTGGGATTACAGGCTCGTGCCACCACGCCCAGCTAATTTTGTATTTTTAGTAGAGATGGGGGTTTTACCATGTTGGTCAGGCTGGTCTCGAATTACTGACCTCAGGTGATCCACCCGCCTCGGCCTCCCAAAGTGCTGGGATAAGATGTGAGCCACTGTGCCCGGCTCACTGCAACCTCCGACTCCCTGGTTCAAGCGATTCTCCTGCCTCAGCCTCCTGAGTAGCTGGGATTACAGGCACATGTCACCACGCCCAGCTAATTTTTGTATTTTTTGTAGAGACGAGGTTTCACCACGTTGGCCAGGATAGTCTCGATCTCCTGACCTTGTGATCCACCTGCCTCGGCCTCCCAAAGCGTTGGGATGACAGGCGTGAGCCACCGCGCCCGGTGTGCCCGTTTTACCAACTGCTGCAGCTGCTGCTGGTTTTCTCATCCCCTCGGCTGAACCACCAGCCCCTCCCTCAGCACCTGGAAGGAGAAATCTGGCGTCTTGCTGGCGGGCTACTGCCCTGCAGCACCTCCATGGCTCCCTGGCTGATAACATAGGGGTGTTGTAAACTTACATTTCTGTGGTTTTCTGCTCATGTTGTTTCTCCCCAGACTTTTCTCCCATCTGCTTCTGTGTTATCTTTTGTTACGATGACAGGGAGTGGTCCCTGCCTGCCCTGGCAGGCACCTGCCTCCCTGGCCAAGCCCCAGCCCAGGAAGTTGCTCATGCTGGGCCCTCCAGGTTCTGAGAAAACTTTCAGGGATTGGGGTAGGGAAGAAAATAGGTGAAAACCCTCTCTCCTCTGCAAGCTTATTTCTTTGGCCTGGCCTGTCTTTAACCTGCACAGTTTATGTGTAGACAAGTCTCCCGGTGCGGGCCCAGCAGGCAGGTGACAGCCGCCCTTGCGGGAGTCATCCTTAACCAAGCAGTTTCAGAAATGTTTCTTGAGAAACTGTTTCCGGAAGTCCCGGAGCCTGTGTTGCCCATTGACAAGCCTTGTCGGTCTCAGAAGACAGACTCCGGGGGTCTACATCCAGAGACCCGGCTGAGGACTGAAGCCCGGGGTTTCCAAGCGGCTGCCTTCTCCGTCCTGCAGCAGGGTGCGAGTCAACCGCCCTGGCTAAGGGAGCAAGGAACCCCCGCCATGCTGTGTCCCCTCCCCCCATTCCCCGAATGCCCGTCTGTTCAAAGAGGGTGAGAGGAGGGGGGAATACCAACTGCTCCGAGGAAAATGCAGTTCATCATATGCATCTTTGCACGCTTTTTTTTTTTTTTTTTTTTGAGACGGAGTTTCACTGTTGTTGCCCAGGCTGGAGTGCAAGGGCGGGATCTCAGCTCACTGCAATCTCTGCCTCCTGGGTTCAAGCGGTTCTCCTGCCTCAGCCTCCCGAGTAGCTGGGATTACAGGTGCCCGCCACCACGCCCTGCTAATTTTTGTATTTTTAGTAGAGATGGGGTTCATCACATTGGTCAGGCGGGTCTCAAACTCCCGACCTCAGGTGATCTGCCCCCGTCGGCATCCCGAAGTGCTGGGATTACAGGCCTGAGCCACTGCACCCGGCCTGCACAACCTTTAATCCGACTTTCAGGAGGTCTCTAGTTTTTGTTCTTAAAAATCATTTCCAAAAGCATTTATTGAAATAAAAGTATGTCATTCTTGTGTCCTTCCACTCCTTTTTTTTCTTTTTTTCTTTTTTTTTTTTTTTTTGAGATGGAGTCTCCCTCTTTTGCCCATGTGGGAGTGCAGTGGCACGAAATCGGCTCATTGCAGCCTCCACCTCCCAGGTTCAAGCTATTCTCTTGCCTCAGCCTCCCAAGTAGCTGGGATTACAGGTGCATCCCAGCCCCTTCTTCCACTCTTAGTCATGACTTATAAACTGAATTTTGGTAATACTTGAGGAAAGTGTTATTTAGCTGATCGTAAGATGGGCCAGAGTCTTTCATGCAGAAGAGCCACCACTGTTCTATTGTCAAAATGGCCTTGTCGCTACTCCAGTGACCTGTCACAAAAAGCAGACATGGCCAGGCACGGTGGCTCACTCCTGTAATCCCAGTACTTTGGGAGGCCGAGGTGGGCAGATCACTTGAGGTCAGGAGCTCGAGACCAGCCTGACTACCATGGCAAAAGAGTCTCTACTAAAAATACAAAAATTAGCCAGGTGTGTTGGCACATGCCTGTAGTCCTAGCTACTTGGGAGGCTGAGGCAGGAGAATTGCTTGAACCTGGGAGGCGGAGGCTGCAGTGAGCCAGGCACGGTGGCTTATGCCTGTAATCCCAGCACTTTGGGAGGCCGAGGAAGGCGGATCACGAGGTCAAGAGATCGAGACCATCCAGGCCAACATGGTGGAACCCCGTCTGTACTAAAAATACAAAAATTAGCTGGGTGTGGTGGTGCATGCCTGTAGTCTCAGCTACTCAGGAGGCTGAGGCAGGAGAATCTCTTGAACCTGGGAGGCGGGGGTTGCAGTGAGCTGGGATCTTGCCACTGCACTCCAGCCTGGCGACAGAGCCAGACTCCGTCTCAAAAAAAAAAAAAAAAAAAAAAAAAAAGCAGACAAAACCTAGATGTTTTAAAATTTTTAAAATAAATCCTGTAGATGTTTTAAAGTTTTAAAAATACATCATGCCCATAATTCCAGCACTCTGGGAGGCTGAAGCGGGAGGATCTCTGGAGGCCAGCATGGGCAACATAGTGAGACCCTGTCTCTACACAAAATAAAAAAACAAGCCAGGTGTGGTGGTGCACACCACGGCTACTGTGGAGACTGAGGTGGGAGGACCACTTGAGCCCAGGAATTCGAAGTTACAGTGAGCTGTGATGGTGTCACTGCATTCCAGCCTGTGACAGAGCAAGACCTTGTCTCTGCAAGGAAAAAAATCATCCTGTAAAATTACTTTTTGTTGTACTCAGACTGAGGAAAACCTTTGCTGGAGGTTTGAAAGCAAATCTATGATGTATTAGCAGAACCAGAAAGTCCTTCCTGTGGAGATGGGACCTTTTCGGTATTGTCATTTTTGGATTTTAGTGCACAAACTTCTCATGATTGAGTTTCGGCTTTTGAGAGCCATGACCAAGTGGTAGGTAGGGCATGAAAGAAGAAAACAAATCTCCTGACCTTAGCATAATGTGTCACAGTACTTTAGGCCCCTTAGCCAAGGCGGGAGATAAGAAGGCAATAAGGAAATGGTTGGATGAATCACTGTGCCCCAGTGGCAAAAATGTCCTGAAGCAATTTGGATGAAAGTGAGAAAGTGGATATGACAAATGCTGCTCTACACTAACCGGATTGGTTGTGCCCCCACCACCCACACCCTCCCCAACTACAGGACTTCCTTCACCACTGTGCATTTTCCACTGAGATGCTCTCCTGAAAGCAAGTTTCAGCAAGAGGCTGGAAAGGCCTCTCAGAGAGAAGGCTGAGCTGGCAGTGATCAGGGAGCCCCCGGGCATTTGGCAGCCGTCCACAGTAAGACCGGCAGATGGAGCCTTCATCTGGCAAGAAACTGGGGAAGCTGGCGGTGTCGTCAGGTGCAAGCTTCAGTGAGAAGTGCCAGCACTCTGAGAAGATGCACAGAAATACAGAAGCAGCTCCCGTAGGAGAAGGAATGGAGGCCGCACGCGGTAGCTCACGCCTGTAATCCCAGCACTTTGAGAGGCTGAGGTGGGTGGATTACTTAAGGTCAGGAGTTTGAGACCAGCCTGACCAACATGGTGAAAACCCGTCTCTACTAAAAATACAAAATATTATCCAGGCGTGGTGGTATGTGACTGTAGTCCGAGCTACTCGAGAGGCTGAGGCAAGAGAATCACTTGAACTCAGGAGGTGGAGGTTGCAGTGAGCCAAGATGGTGCCATTGCACCTCCTGCCTGGGCAATAGAGCAAGACTCTGTCTCAAAAAAAAAGGAATGGAGAAAACATAGCCATAGCTCTGGGAGTAGGAACAGAAGCAAGCAAGCTGACTGCCAGTCGGGTTCTTTCTTCTGGAAAAGGCTCTGGGTTGAAGCTGTCTTCTCTCTGAGGCTCAAGAAGCTGGGCATGGAATTAACTCCGTCAACCAAAAATACAGTTCTAAGTCCCACCCCCCAACCATCTGAATGGACTTTCTCCTTGGCCAGGGCGCTCTTAAAATGTAACCTCAGAGACCGGTTCCGGCCAGGAACGGGAAGTGCCTCATTATACCCGCTGGCATTAACATCAACACAGACCTTACTGATAAGAATCATTTACCATCTATTCTCTGAAGCCTGCGACCTTTTCTCTCCATAATCCCTTATCTTAACCCAGACATTTCCTTTCTATTGATTCCAGGTTTTTAGATAAACTCAACCAATTGTCAACAAGAAAATTTGTAAATCTACCTATAAGCCGGAAGCGCCCCCCACCTTCGAGTTGTCCCACCTTTCTGGACCGAACCAACGTATTTTTTAAACATACTTGATTGAAGTCTCATGTCTCCCTAAAATGTATAAAACCAAGCTGCACCCTGACCACCTTGCACACATGTTCTTGGACCTCCTGAGGGCTGTGTCAGGGGCCATGGTCACTCATATTTGGCTCGGAATAAATCTCTTTAAATATTTTTGAAAATAGTTTGTCTCTTCGTAGACAATTCTGTGGGCTTGCAGGTATCGCCCCTGGTCAGCGGTGTATTCAGTCGCTGTGCCATCCCCCATGTGGCTACAAGAACAAAAGCACCTTCTTAAGCCCAAGAGATACAGTGGTTACTCCCATGAGTCCTTGGACACCTTCACCAAACGGCACTAGTAAGTGGCTCCTCTAGGCCGGGAGGAACGGAGAAGGCACAATACCAGCTTGGCTCACTACTCCAGGAGACCCCTGGGGTAAGGGGCTTGAGCACAGGCTCACCACTTCCCCACCACCGCCACCCTTATTTGGTCTGTGAAACTCCAGGGGGAGTCTTTATGGGAAGATGCATTCCTTCCAATATGTCATCGAGTGCTTACTTAGCCATCTCCTTTTCAAGACCTGGGTCTACTTGCTGGCCCCTGAACTGCTCCACACCCTTCTGTGCCTTCTGATTGTCCACGTGCTCAACTTGTTGGAACATAGGAGATAAGCTATCTAGGGTTCCGGCCTCTCCCTGAGACAGGTAGAGACTGCGTGATCAGGTGCTGAGGGGCTGCTATGTTCCGGAGGTCAGGTGACATTCCACCTGAGGCCTGGGGACATGGCATTCTATATTGACTGCTGTCGCTGTTCTCGCTGATGCTGGTTTGGTGTAAGAGATGATAAGAAAGCATCTTCCCTACGAATTGCAGGGAAGCAATTCTGGGCCTAGCCTCCCAAAGTGCTAAGATTACAGGGGTAAGCCACGGCACCTGGCCACCCTTCTTCTTTTTTTTTTTTTTCAGACAGAGTCTTGCTCTGTCACCCAGGCTGGAGTGCAGTGGCACTATCTCGGCTAGCTGCAAGCTCCGCCTCCTGGGTTCATGCCATTCTCCTGCCTCAGCCTCCCGAGTAGCTGGGACCACAGGAGCCCGCCACCATGCCCGGCTAATTTTTTTTTTTTTTTTTTGAGACGGAGTCTCGCTCTGTCACCCAGGCTGGAGTGCAGTGGGGCAATCTCCACCTCCCAGGTTCACACCATTCTCCTGCCTCAGCCTCCCAAGTAGCTGGGACTACAGGCGCCCGTCACCACACCTGGCTAATTTTTTTGTATTTTTAGTAGAGACGGGGTTTCACCGTGTTAGCCAGGATGGTCTTGATCTCCTGACCTCGTGATCCGCCCGCCTCGGCCTCCCAAAGTGCTGGGATTACAGGCGTGAGCCACTGCGCCTGGCCTATTTTTTGTATTTTTAGTGGAAACAGGGTTTCACCATGTTAGCCAGGATGGTCTCGATCTCCTGACCTTGTGATCCGCCCACCTCGGCCTCCCAGTGTTGGGATTACAGGTGTGAGCCACCGCGCCCGGCCCTGGCCACCCTTCTGAGGGCAATTCATGAAGAGGAACTCAGATGTTGAAAGAGGGTCTCAGTCCTTACTCTCTGGCAGAGCCCCAGAGTACCCACTACCCTCACCCGAACAGCCCACCATTATTTTATTGTTCATTTTTCTTTTTTTTTGAGATGGAGTTTCGCTCTTGTTGCCCAGGCTGGAGTGCGATGGCGCGATCTTGGCTCACTGTAGCCTCTGCCTCCTGAGTTCAAGCAATTCTCCTGCCTCAGCCTCCCGAGTAGCTGGGATTACAGGCGACCGCCACCACACCTGGCTAATTTTTTGTATTTTTAGTAGAGACTGGGTTTCACCATGTTGGCCAAGCTGGGCTCGAACTCCGGGCCTCAAGTGATCCGACCACCTCAGCCTCCCAAAGTGCTGGGATTATAGGTATGAGCCATTGCACCCGGCCTATTGTTCTTTTTTATTTTAATCCCAGCAGTTTGGGAGGCTGAGGTGGGAGGATCACTTGATGCTAGGAGTTGGAGACCATCCTGGTCAACATGGTGAAACACCATCTCTATTAAAAATACAAAAATAGGCCGGGCGCGGTGCTGCACGCTTGTAATCCCAGCACTTTGGGAGGCCGAGGCGGGTGGATCACGAGGTCAGGAGATCGAGACCACGGTGAAACCCCGTCTCTACTAAAAATAAAAAAAAATTAGCCGGGCGTGGTGGCGGGCGCCTGTAGTCCCAGCTACTCGGAGAGGCTGAGGCAGGAGAATGGCGTGAACCCGGGAGGCGGAGCTTGCAGTGAGCCGAGACTGCGCCACTGCACTCCAGCCTGGGTGACAGAGCGAGACTCCGTCTCAAAAAAAAAAAAAAAAAATACAAAAATAAGCCGGGTGTGGTGGCACGTGCCTGTAATCCCAGGTACTCCAGAGGCTGAGGCAGGAGAATCCCTTGAATCTGGGAGGTGGGGGTTGCAGTGAGCCAAGATTGCACCACTGCACTCTAGCCTGGGCAACAGAGACTCCATCTCACAAACAAAAACAAAAAAAAGGCTTTTTTTTTTTTTTTTGAGATGGAGTCTCACTCTGTTGCCCAGGCTGGACTGCAGTGGTGTGATCTCAGCTCACTGCAACTTCCGCCTCCCAGGTTCAAGCGATTCTCCTGCGCCAAGTTGCTGGGATTACAGGCGCATGCCACCACACCCAGCTCATTTTTGTAGTTTTAGTGGTGACGGGATCTCACCATGTTGGCCAGGCTAGTCTTGAACTCCTGACCTCAAATGATACGACCACCTTGGCCTCCCAAAGTGCTGGGGTTATAGGCGTGAGCCACTGCGCATGGCCTAACACCTCCTTTTTTAACTAAAAATATCCTGACCCACTAGTAATGAGACTAACATTATTTTAAAGTGTTTATTTTTTTCTATAATACATTTCATTCAAATCATAAAAGTCTGATACATTTTTTTCTCAAGAACAACTTACACTCATTTGAGATGCTTTTTCTTTCCTTTAATCTTATAGGATGGACAAAGATACACTTTAATGGACAAAAAACACCAGAGTTCATTACAAATACAGCTTCCCAGGCCCCACCTCCAGCACTTCTGACTGAGCGTCTGGGACGCATCCTAGGATCGCAAAACTGTAAAATTCCCCCAGTCAACTCCACGGCAGGCAGGCCTGGAACCACCCTTAGTGGAACACTGCTTAGGACTTGTCTGTTATCTACCAGAAGCAATTTCAGAAAATCAGGAGTAATTACGTATACAGAAATAGCTCTTCTATAAAATTTCCATATAAAAATAATGGCATTTATTTACAAAGTCTGAGATACTACAAAATAATATATCATATTAGGTTGTGTACTTCAATCTAATAAAGGAAAGTCTACATTGGGCAAGTCAGATGTGGTGGTTGCATTTTCCTCTTATCTCTCTTGTTTAAATTGCTTAAAGCATGTGGCACCACGATGTATCCTTCATGCAGAAAAAAGGAGAACTATATTTTCTGGAAATAAAACCCAATAGCACATAGTCAGAGTAAAGCATTTTCAGATGAAAAGGTGAACAACCTAGTGGTTTGGGCTCATGGCCCTTTACCCACCTTTTTTTTTTGAGATGGAATTTCGCTCTTGTTGCCCAGGCTGGAGTGCAAATGGCACGATCTCAGCTCATTGCAACTTTTGCCTCCTGGGTTCAAGAGATTCTCCTGCCTCAGCCTCCCGAGTAGCTGGGATTACAGGCATGCGCCACCACACCCGGCTAATTTTATATTTTTAGTAGAGACAGGGTTTCTCCATGTTGGTCAGGCTGGTTTCGAACTCCCGACCTCAGGTGATCCGCCCGCCTCGGCCTCCCAAAGTGCTGGGATCACAGGCGTGAGCCACTGTGCCTGGCATACCCACCTCTTTTGTCCAAAACTCAAGAGTGATGGTGGTGAACCAAGTGCGTGAAGGAACTCAGTACTGAAACGTGATCCCCGGAGTGCAGCCACCTGGGCAGCCAGTGCATATGGTTAGTGGGTGGTTCCATTTTTCAGGACACTGAGAGGTTGAACCTGCCATGGAACTACTGGGAAAACTAGAACTGCAACAAGCCCAGAGGAGCTATTCAGGAGAAAAGTAGCCCCATTGTCAGTGACGTTTTAGTATGAAAATCCTGGCCCCAGTGTGAACAAGCACAATCGCCAGGCCATGTGACATGAAGCTCGGCCATGGTGAAGTATGGTAAGTGACAAATGGCATGCATTGAAGCACGACAAGGGATGAGTTTTTAAATCCAAACGTGATCTGGGGAATTTTCCGTTATGATTCGACAGACATGGGCAGCACCAGCTGGTGTGGTGTGGAAGGACCAGTTGGTCACTGAACTTCTTGGGCCCCTGCCAATGGCCAGCATGGGGAGCCCTTGTCTGTGGAGGTCTCAGCCCGGGGTTTTCTGACTTGAGAGAGGCCTAAACCTGACACCACAGCCTCATGCTGGGGCTCGGGAAAGGAGTCCCACTTCTACCCCTCAGCTGTTTGGCACTTGGTGACACAGGACTGATGCTAATCCAAAACCCATCTGGGAGGACTGTGGTGACAGCGTGGCCCTCACGGAGGGAAGAAGCTCTGGGTTTTGGTGCAGGCTCTGCCACAGACAGGCTGAGGGATGGGAGGCAAGTCAAGCTCTTGCTTGTTTCCCATCTCTAAATGAGCAGGGTGGGAGCGATGTTATCCCCGATCCTGAGACCTGCGGCGAAGGGGCGAGGCCTGACCCTGAGCATCAGCTACGTTGGCCTCCAATGCAGCTATAAGCAGTGAAGACCAAAGTCTAACCTGCTGAAACAGCAAGGGGCAAGACAGCATTGACTTCAACAGGCCTTTTTTGTAAAGCAAAAGGTAAGATGACAAGATCCGGTCTTGTCTGAGAACAGCTGCACAGAATACACATTATAAATGAGCACTTTCTCCTATCTCAGCACCCTGGTGAATGGGTGTCAGAGAAGTTTCTGGACCTGTCAGGGACTCCCAGGGCTTAGCCAGAGGGTCAAAGTGTTGTGCCCACTCACTTTTTCTTCTTTAGCATACTGTGGAGTGAGACATGTGGGAAAATCGGATCCCAGAGATTACCTAAGCATCACTTCTCAGAGACGTTTTGGTTAAGGGACTACTTCCTGAGAAACGTTATAATTTATGTGGGTATTGAGCTTGAATTTTTTTTAATCATAAAATCTTAGGCTGGGCGTGGTGGCTCAAGCCTGTAATCCCAGCACTTTGGGAGGCCGAGGCAGGCAGATCACATGGTTAGAAGTTCAAGACCAGTGTGGTCAACATGGTGAAACCCTGTCTCTACTAAAAATACAAAAATTAGCCAGGCGTGGTGGCACATGTCTGTAATCCCAACTACTTGGGAGGCTGAGGCAGAAGAATCGCTTGAACCCGGGAGGCAGAGGTTGCAGTGGCTGAGATCATGCCACTGCACTCCAGCCTGGGCAACAGAGCAAGACTCCATCTCGAGGGGAAAAAAAATATTATGCAAACATCAGGTTTTTCTCTTCTTAGTAACCATGTTTGGCTTGAGTGGAAATTTAATCAAACACTGTTATCAACTGGGAATTTGAGGGCAGGGAGGCACATTGCTGAGGGTCATTCAAATGGCATGGTGCAGGCTCCTGATACATAGTGTGGGTCTTTGGGAAATGCATATTAGTTTTCATCAGTGCTTGGGGACCATTGCTTTGGGTGCATGAATATGGGAACCCATTTGGGAAAACGGTTCTTAGAAGTCCAGTCATCAGCTTCACCAAAGCCAGCCCATATGCAGAATACAGATGATCTCTTTGATGTAGCCAACAACTTAGAAACACGTAAAATAGTTCTCAATTTCTAATCATTTTTCTTTCTTTCTTTTTTCTTTTTTTGAGACAGAGTCCTGCTCTGTCACCTGGGCTGGAGTGCAGTGGCGGGATCTTGGCTCACTGCAACCTCCGCCTCCTGGGTTCAAGTGATTCTCCTGCCTCAGCCTCCCGAGTAGCTGGGACTACAGGCATGTGCCACCACGCCCGGCTAATTTTTGTATTTTCTAATGATTTTTCTACTGCATAGATTCAGTTGGAAAGTAGTGAATCTTTGTGACAATCTTCTCTTGGTTTACAGAAATTGCTGGTAGCTAACTTTGCTTTGAAGTCTTAAAAGTTCCCAAACAGACTCCAAAATGAAGGCTTGAAACTGGAACAGTGGGGCCTCTGGAACTTAGGAGAGATTCCAAGTGCATGTTATGGGACAGAGTGGCTTGTTAAGAAAGTATAGAGACATCTGTCTTTCCACCATCTGACTCAGTAAAACTGTCTCTTTCCCAGAGGGGCCTTTCCCAGCCACCCCCAGCCAAAGTAGCCTTTCCCAAACGGTCCCGCTACGCTGCTGCTTTCTCCACAGCACTCATCAATCAATCTGCACGTGTTCCATCTGTGATCAAGTTTCCCCAATAGGAGGAGAACCCAACATCGGCAGGGCTCTCGCTGCTCCGCCCCAATGCCTGCTCACAGTAGGTACTCAAATGCTTACTGAATGAAGGATGAAATCTTAAGATTCACTGTCCAACCCCCACCCCTTACTTACCACTAAGGCAGCACAGTTTTAAGGTCTATTTCAGACTTGTTGGGCAGGGACAGCCCATTTTGTTAGGGGAGGGAGCTTGATAGATATTAAAGGGCCCTTGAAAGGAAATAATTTTTAAAAAGCTAAATAGAGCCGGGTGCGGTGGCTCACACCTGTAATCCCAGCACTTCGGGAGGCTGAGGTGGGCAGATCACCTGAGGTCAGGAGTTCGACACCAGCCTGGGCAACACGGTGAAACCCTGACTCTACTAAAAATACAAAAAATTAGTCGGGTGTGGCGGCATGCGCCTATAATCCCAGCTACTTGGGAGGCTGAGGCAGGAGAATCGCTTGAACCCGGGAGGCAGAGGTTGCAGTGAGCCGGGATTGCGCCACTACACTCCAGCCTGGCGACAGAGCAAGACTCCGTCTCAAAAAAAAAAAAAAGCTAAATAGGCTCCCCACCGTGCCCCCCTCTCTCAGTGTGGTTATGGCAGGAATAGCTGAGGTAGTTCTCATTCTCTGCTAATCCACACTCCCTCCAACATACACACTGTGTGCTGGAGGGAGCCTAAGTCACATTTATACTTGGAGCAACTCTGCTGTCTCTATGACCCAAGTAGCCAAAAAGAGTTGTGGTTTAGCAAACAGTCAAGTTATAGATGTCTTGCAGGGCTAAACTGAACCACTCCTCTGTGAAATATTTCCATTTGAGGCCGGGTGCGGTGGCTCACGCCTGTAATCCCAGCACTTTGGGAGGCCGAGAGGGGTGGATCATAAGGTCAGGAGATCGAGACCATCCTGGCTAACACGGTGAAACCCCGTCTCTACTAAAAATACAAAAAAAATTAGCCAGGCATGGTCCCAGCTGAGGCAGGAGAATGGCGTGAACCCGGGAGGCGGAGCTTGCAGTGAGCCGAGATCACCACTGCACTCCAGCCTGGGCAACAGAGCGAGACTCAGTCTCAAAAAAAAAAAAAAAAAAAAAAAAAATTTCCATTTGAATTCTGATAGGAGCTACCTTGTTTTCAAGGACTGACTCTGGCATTATTTTTCAAATATGGCAGAGTACTGTTAACAACTGTAAAATTTGCTAATGGAAGGAGTTATCCTCTTTATCCTGCTAAAATGGTAGAAACCACATAGCTTTTTCTTCCCAGCACTTCTTTAAAGAATTAAATTGAAGGACGCCAAACTTGTGGCCATTGTCTGTAGTTTCTCGGGCGGTGGGTGTCGCTGAGGGGTGGAGGACCGCCATGTTGGTCGCTCCTTTCCCGCCCTCCTCCAAGGCCCACCTTGATCATAAGGCACAAGGTATACAAACACCACAACTGCTCTCACCACAGGAAATAAGCACGTGGAGGACACAGACTGACAGCGGGGAAGAGGAAGGCAGCCTAGTAGGCACCTGGGGCCCGTAAGCGCTGCTGTGTGCCTAGGCAGCACCGCCCTACCCACTGAGGGCCAGGCACGCAGGTCCTAGTGCCACTGTGCGTGTGCTAAGTAGAGCCAGCACTTCCTCCATGAATGACGCCACACGCCTGAAAGGGGGACAGCCACACCCTCAAGGGGAAAAGGCCTCTTGAACTCCCCACAATCAGTGTGTGCCAGCAGCCCTGGGAGGAGTGATCTGTGTGTGGCAAGTAACCCAGCGTGCCACTATAACAAAGAAGCCTGGGCATTGTGACCACAACTTCCATTTTTTTTTTTTTTTTTTTTGAGACAGGGTCTTGCTCTGTCACCCAGGCTGGAGTGCAGTGGTGTGATCTTGGCTCTACAACCTCCGCCTCCTGCGCTCAAGCAATCCTCCCACCTCAGCCTCTTGAGTAGCCAGGACTACAGGCATGCCCCACCACACCCAGCTAATTTTTGTATTTTTGTAGAGACAGGGTTTTGTCATGTTGCCCAGGCTGGTCTTGAACTCCTGAGCTCAAGCAATGTGCCCGCCTCGGCCTCCCAAAGTGCTACGATTACAGGCGAGAGGCACTGCACCCAGCCCATGGTTTCCTAACACTGCCTCACTTTGATCTTGTGTGAAATTGTGACTCAGTGCTGAGCTTTAGACCCAGATAAATGTTGAGGGGGAATACAGAAGAGAATTGACCTTTCTGAACAGCTCAACCTAGTTTCTAAAGGCAAGATTTTACTCCAGCGACATGTACTGGTGACCATGATGTCACTCTGTGAGCTGGCCTCACCAGTAACCCAAACACAACGCTGAGGAAGGAGACCATTTCCCACCAACAGCACACACCTATGGCTGGGGTGGCCAATGATGGGGCACCAATAAGGATAAGAGTCTTTGGCGGCTTTCTTTTTTTGAGCCCATATTTTATCAATTTAAAGCATGAGAGCAGCAGAGATGGAGAGTAGAGAAAAAAACAGGTTTCCCAAGAACTCTGGCAAGAATGTTGCTACTTGGTGAAGGAATGGTTATCATTAGTGCACCTGTCTTAAATCCTGAAATGCATCTTGGGACCTGCAGTTCAATATTTTGAAGACTACAAAGGTAGCAGTGGCTGTTGGCCTCTCCAGGTCCCTGCTGGGTCCCAGAGATGAGAAAGGGTGGAGTTAGTAAAAGAGGAGGCTGCCCCTTAAAGGACAGTTTGGTTTGGAGGGAAATCCCAATCCGTGCAGCTGAAAGATTCCCTGCAGGCCCCTGGGGACCTGCTGTCACCTCCCCAGTGTTCCTGACTGGTCTGAGAGGTGTGCTCCAGAACCCACGATAAGACCGAGTTCTCTAGAAACTGCCTCTATCTCTGAGTCTGTACTATGGCTTATTTCTGACAGAATGAAACTTTTGTATCAAAGGAGCTTCAGCTAAAGTTGAATGTTTTTCTTTCTCAGTTTTTATGGCCTTATTAAACATGTTTAGCTAGCCAAAGCTTCCTCCTCCTCACCATGCTCAGTGTTAGCATGGTGGTGAGGCTATAAAGAGGCACCACAGGAAGGAGCCTGCACTTCCCCCATGGGATTTAAAAAAGAACCAATTTGGGCCATGCTTGGTGCATCTAGCATAATCTTGGGACAAATCCACATGATTCAGGTCAAAGTTTTGGAGTTAATTCTCCCATTATTATTTGCTCCTTTCCAAAGCCTTAATGTGAAATTCAGTCAGGGTCTGGCCATGGTGGCAGGTGTCCCTACACTCTTTCATTCAGAGAAGGAGCAGCTGTGAATACACCACTGCAGTATTTCTAATGACATCTTGAGCCATAAACAACATAACTGCACTACCATATATCCAGGCAGTAGGAGTGTTCAACGTTTTCTAGTGTTTCTGTGAAACACTAAATATTGGATTAGTTTGAAATGCAATTGACCCCAGGAGTAGGCTCAATAAGGTCATTCTGATTAATGAAAATGTGAAAAAAGGTGACATGTACAAGGAAACACTGCTGTTCATATTCTTGAAATAGACTTTTCTTTAAGACAAAAGTAATGACATTTGGTTCATTTTCACAAATTGCACACTGGGTGAGATCATACAATTACTGCAGGGAACTGTAGGCAAGCAATTTGGTCATAGGAATTTGTTTCTTTGTCTTGTTTTAAATGAAAAAGCTATATGAAATGCATAGCTTTGATTAACCTAAAGATACAGTTTCCTTCTTTGTAAAACTCCAGATTTAGGATGCTGGCAAAGGCAGTGCTGGCAAAGTATTTAATGCACATGGAAATGCTATTCTATTTTGGCTTCCAGAAGTAGCCCTAGTAAATTCTATGCACCAATGCATTGGCTAATAATAATTTCAGTTTTACTATAAATTATCTAAATGTCACTTAAGTACTTAAGAAGTAGCGCTCGCTCCTTTCTAGAAGCTGTCTAAGGCAGCTGATGCGTAAAGCACCTCATCTAGACCTCCAACTAGTTCAGCAGTTCAATCTGTGCCCCTCAGCCACAGGACTGCCCTCAGTATCCCTCACTACACAGCTCCCCTCTCCTGGGGACTTTTCATGTTCATTTCTGCCTTGTCAAAGGCAGTCCAGGCAAGGAAGAGAAACGTCAGAAACACGATCGTCAAGGACTGCTCCGTGTAGCAATCTCAATTCTAAGAATAATTACATGGGTGTGAGGAACACAAAAATCCCACCTCACAGAAGATAAATGAGTTGCACTCACACTGCCAACTCTTCAGGGATTATCCCCACTATCTCCTCAGAAAGCATGCTTTCTTTGTTATATCATCTACTGCTCTGTTGGCCAGACTTTCATTCACACTATGTTAACTTTCATCTCAATCATCTCAGCCTTCATGTGATTTGCTTATTGTGTTTCTCTAGTTTTCACTGAACACACAGTGCAAACAAAGGCAAAGACTGAAGCAATCATTTCAAAAACAAGAGCTCACACTACAAACACACATGAGCATCACATATTGAAACGTAGGCTTTCTCTTGTCTTTATTCTGGGGAGGAGGAATCCTCCTCATCATCTTCCTCATCTTCATCATTGAACGAACAGGGGGTCTCGCCTCGGGACTCGGAGCAGTGAGAGGCCGCACTGCTGGACTGGTGACTGTTTGGGGCCAGGAACTGCCCAGTTGCTAAGGCCACTTCTGCATCCAAGCATAACCCTTGGTTTACACTAGCAAACAATTAAAAACACACAGGCTCATTAATGTGGTATAAACAGTTTTGTAAAACATAGGAATAAAAACAGGAAGGAGGTGCCATTGGTGAGATCTGCCACAAACCTGCTCAGCAGGACCTGTGCTGGCAGTAACATGACCCCGGCTCACCCCTACACAGACAGTCAGGGCTCTGGGGTTTGCCTTTCTAACCCTGAAAAAAATACGTACCTTGACTGGGGTAAGGTGGCACCAGTGGTCAGGTCTAAATTTGAAACTGATTGGGTAGAGTTCAGAAGTAGTCCCTGATTTAACCAAGAAGGTCCTGTGGAGATATCTAAAGGAAAAAATGAGAACAAAAAATGTCGGTCCTGCAAGTTCTGTGGCTGCTGTTGTTACAGTCTGAGGAAAGCACAGAAAAGCAAGAGCTAAGCTTATTCTTCATGACAGCTAGACAATTCTCTTGCTGTGACAAGAACCCAGGTTTCTTCATCTTCTTGGAAGAAAAAAAAATTTCTAGAACATAAGAGCAGGAAAAAAAAAATACGGGAAGGCAGCTTACGGAGAGAAGGTATTCAAATGAAAACACTCAAAGGCACTTTCTTACTCTTTTTCTTAGATAAGCCCTCCAGAGCACAGCCCATGGGATACATCCCAGTGTACCACCCTCAATGCCTTCTGCCCTCAGCACAAAAGACCTGGACTGTGGTGTTGAGAGCCAAAGCCAGAAGTGGGAAAAGAGAAAATCAAATCAGAAATACATGAGGTAAGAAGGCCACCCTGCTTAGAGGGCAGACAGACATGTTTTGGCCAAAACCCCCGCCGCAATGTCTTTTCAGGTGCCTGCTGCTGGTGAACTCAATGCTGCTACTCATCAAATATCTATTCTTTTTCCTGACAAGATTTTTCCTGGTGTCTGTTGCTTTCTAATTCAAACTAGCTCTTATTTTATTTTTTTTATTATTATTATACTTTAAGTTTTAGGGTACATGTGCACAATGTGCAGGTTAGTTACATATGTATACATGTGCCATGCTGGTGTGCTGCACCGATTAACTCGTCATTTAGCATTAGGTATATCTCCTAATGCTATCCCTCCCCCCTCCCCCCACCCCACAACTAGCTCTTATTTTAAAAAGGTCACATGCAGTCATGTTTTTAATGAGGCAGACACAGACGTTACTGTTTTAGTCTACAGAAAATAGTTTGGGCTGAGCACGGTGGCTCACGCCTATAATCCCAGCATTTTGGGAGGCCAAGGAGGGCGGATCACCTGAAGTTGGGAGTTCTGTCCAACATGGAGAAACCCCATCTCTATTAAAAATACAAAATTAGCTGGGCGTTGTGGTGCATGCCTGTAATCCTAGCTACTCGGGAGGCTGAGGCAGGAGAATCACTTGAACCCGGGAGGCGGAGGTTGCAGTGAGCTGAGATTGCACCACTGCACTCCAGCCTGGGCAACAAGAGCGAAACTCCATCTCAAAAAATAAAAGAAAAAAAGAAAAGAAAATATTTTGGATATCTCCTTGCCATCTTCTTTTCTATACATATACCACATTTATCCTATGACAACACTGATCAATTCTTATTGTAATTTTACTGGTTTAATACTTTTTATCTTCCCATCTACAGTGTTAGCTCAAAGAAGGCAGTAACTGGAACATGTAAGATCTAAATGTGGCGGGGCGCGGTGGCTCATGCCTGTAATCCCAGCACTTTGGGAGGCCAAGGCGGGCAGATTGAGCTCAGGAGTTCGAGACCAGCCTGGCAAATATAGCAAAGCCCCATCTCTATTAAAAATACAAAAATTAGCCAGGCATGGTGATACATGCCTGTAATCCCAGCTACTAGAGAGACTGAGGCAGGAGAATCACTTGAACCCAGGAGGCGGAGGTTGCAGTGAGCTGAGATCGTGCCACTGCACTCCAGCCTGAGTGACTGTCTCAAAAAAAACAAAAAAAAACAAAAAAACAAAAAAGTTACTGAATGAATGAGTATAGTCTCTGTCAGCTGCCACTTTACAAAATAAGTGGTAGATACATTAAAAGTAATTCCTAAAAAGAAATTCTATAAGCCCAAACACATACTCAGAAAATGTAATCTGCCAAAATGAGCTATGATTTAATTGAATCAAAATCTTTTTGCAATTACTATACAAAAAAATGAAACTATATGATTTAGATTGGAAACTCTGGTATCCAAACAAGAGGCCATTCCCACGTAGGAAAAAAGTAAACTAAATGACTATGCTAATTTTAGAACCGTCTTATGAACCTTTTTCTTTGAGACAGCTGGGAAAAAAAAGAGACTTCAAGTCTAAGAAGAATAGCAGACTTTAAATACATTAAATAACGACAAGTCTGTACAAGAAAATAAAATTAAAGCCAGAATCTTGTGCTGAATATTAATTAGTATATAGAACTATAGAAACCTTCTGTCAGAACACAGCTATTTACTTGTTTGTGAGCATAACACATTACATTCTCTTTTTACAATGAATTGGAAAAGCCTACATTTCTTTCCTATTATCACAGGATCCACACAATGGTTCTCACACTCCCACCCAGGCCATTCTGCCCCTTTACACACGAGAGGCACATGTTTCTTCCTTTGAACTAACCAGAAAGTCTGTATCCCAGTCTGCAAATGAGGTCACGAAGAGATCAAAACCACAGAGCCTGCCTAATCGCCCTGAGCCTTTTCACTGGGAGTAAGCTAAAATAAAGTTCTGGTGATTTATTGAGTAAGCCCTTTATTCAGATTCTGCTGGCCTTCCAATGACACAGCAGGACCCAGGCTGGAGAGCGTGGAGAGAGGAAAGCTGGGTGGGGAGACGGAACAGGTGGGCTGAGGGGCAAGGAGAGGCGGGGGGCCCTTGCAGGGGATGAATGGTGCCAACCGAAGAACTAAAACAGAAACCAAATCTCAGCCAACAAACTCTTCTGTTGTGAGCAAAGGACCAAATCATAGAATAAAACAAAATTAAAGCTACCTTTTTGCTTACATTGGATTTAATGTATCTTAGACCTAGTATTAAAATGCCTTTAAAAAGCGATGTGAAATTCTAGATGGTTATACTTACAAATAAAATAAACAAAAGAAAGCAAAGGCAAAAACACTGCTTATATATTCATTTCTTTTTTTAAAAGACAGAGTCTCGCTCTGTTGCCCAGGCTGGAGTGCAGTGGTGCAATCTCCGTTCACTGCAACCTCTGCCTCCCAGGTTCAAGTGATTTTCCTGCCCCAGCCTCTCAAATAACTGGAATTACAGGCATGTGTCACCATGCCTGGCTAATTTTTGTATTTTTAGTAGAGATGGGGTTTTGCCATGTTGGTCAGCCTGGTCTTGAACTCCTAACCTCAAGTGATATGCCTGCCTCAGCCTCCCAAAGTGCTGGGATCACAGGCGTAAGCCACCGCACCCAACCTATATAGTCAAATTGTATCTACAAAATATGTAATATTTTCAGGAATTAGGAAAATCAGGAAGATTTCTAAATTAGTGAAAAAAATCTTAATTATAGGACATGTAAAACATAGTGCTTCTGTTTTCAAGTATACTCAGTATAACTTTACAACTCTATAAAAAGACAAGTAACTCTACTTAAAAATGAGCAAAGGATGGACTGTGGGAGGCCGAAGCGGGTGGATCACCTGAGGTCAGGAGTTCGAGACCAGCCTGGCCAACGTGGTGAAACCCTGTCTCTACTAAAAATACAAAAATTAGCTGGGCGTGGTGGTGGGCGCCTGTAATTCCAGCTACTTGGGAGGCTGAGACAGGAGAATCGCCTGAACCCGGGAGGTGGAGCTTGCAGTGAGCTGAGACTGCACCATTGCACTCCAGCCTGGGTAACAGAGAGAGACTCCATCTCAAAAAAAAAGTCAATGTGAATAGACATATTTCTGAGGAAGACATACAAATAGTCAATAAACACATGAAAAGATGCTCAACATCAGAAGTCATTATGGAAATGCAAATCAAAATCACAGTGGGAGCCAAGGCAGGTGGATCGCTTGAGCTCAGAACTTTGAGACTAGCCTGGACAACATGGCAAAACCCCATCTCTACCAAACATATCAAAAAAAAAAAAAAGATTTAACCGGGCATGGTGGCACACATCTGTGGTCCCAGCTACTCAGGAGGCTGAGGTGGGTGGATCGTTTGAGCCCATGAGTTCGAGGCTGCAGTGAGCAGAGATTGCGCCACTGCACTCCAGCCTGGAGAGCAAGACTCTCTCCCCTCCACCACCACCCTGCCCCACCCCCCCCACAAAAATCACAGCGAGATATCACTTCACTTCTGTGAGGATGGCTATAATTCAAAAGATGTATAGTGACAAGTGTAGAAAAGGATATGGAGGGCAGGCACGGTGGCTCACATGTATAATCCCAACACTTTGGGAGGCTGAGGCAGGTGAATTCAGGCCAAGAGTTCCAGATCAGCCTGGCCAACATGGTGAAATCCTGTCTCTACTAAAAATACCAAAACTAACCGGGCATAGCGGCAAGGTGCCTGTAATCCCAGCTACTCAGGAGGCTGAGGCAGGAGAATCACTTGAACCTGGGAGGTGGAGGTTGCAGTGAGCCAAATTACGTCACCGCACTCCAGCTTGGGCGACAGAGTGAGACTCCGTCTCTAAATAAGTAAGTAAGGATGTGGAGAAATTGGAACACTTATCCACTGGTTGGACTGTAAATGGTACAGGAGCTTTGGAAAACAGTTTGGTATTTCCTTAAAATGTTAAACACAGAGTTACCATATGACCCAGCAATTTCACTCGTAGGTATATGTTTTTAGAGATAAAAACATATGTTTACACATAAACTTTTATAAGAATGTTAACAGCAGCATCATTCGAGATAGCCAAAAAGTGGAAACAGTCCAAATATCTACCAACTGATGAATGGATAAACAAAATGTGGTCCATCCATACAATGGAATAGTATTTGGCAATAAAGAGGAATGAAATACTGATGGTGCTACAACATGAACGAACCTTGAAACACTACACTAAGTGAAAGAAGCTATCCACAAAATGCCCCATGCTGTAGGGTTCCATTCACATAAAGCGTCTTTCTAGAATAGGCAAATCCATAGTGACACAAAGTAGATTAGTGGTTGCCAGGGGCTGAGGGAGAATGGGGGAATAGAGACTGTTAATGGGTTTGGGTTTCTTTTTGGGTTTTTAAATTAAAATATTCTGGAATCAGATAGTGGTGATGATTAGCAACCTTGTGAATATACCAAAACATCACTGAACTGACATTTTTAAATGGTGTATTTTATGGCATGTGAATTCAATCTCAATTTAGAAAAGCTACAATGGTATCATTTCAGACCCACCTGATTAGGAAAATAGAACACTTCTACTCTGCTGGGGAACGTGTAATTTGGTAAAATCAAATTGAAAATTTTTGGTATCATCTAGTAAAGCTGAAGATGTACCCAACTCTGACCTAACAAGTTCAATCTGTACGTTTGCATGTGGTCACTGGGATACATGTATAGGAATGTTCAAAGCAGCACTGTATTTTAACATCAAGCAATCGGAAACAAACAGTTTATTTTCAGTAAAATAAACAGATAAGCTGTGATGTATTCATATAATGGAATTTTACACAGGAGTAAGAATGTATGAATTATATCTATATTAAATCACATGGATGACTCTAAAGAACATAATATCGAGTGAAAAAAAATCAAATCACCAAAGAGTATATTACTATGACTTCACTTATATAGAGGCCAGAAGTAGGCAAAACTAAATAATACATTATTTCCAGTTTACCATTTTGGTTTATCTCTAAAGAAATGCAAGTGAATGACAATGAAATGTAAGAGAATGGTTATATTTGAGGGGTGGGAAAGGGCACAGAGCCTGGGGCAGGGGCATGCAGTGGACTGGAACAGTAATGTGCTTTCCTCAGCTGGGTGCTGGATTCATGGGGGTCTACTGTACTGTGACCCTTCAGAGTCTACAGACGTAAACAACCTTTGTATCTACTCAGTATTTAATAAGAACAATTTAAGACTGGGGAAAGAGGAAGAAGGAACAGTAAATATGGTCAACTTGAGAAGTTTTACTGTAAAGAGGAGCAGCGTACACAAATGTGAATCCAGGTTTACCCCGTTCTGCCCTTTTTTCCCCTGACATTTAAACTTTCAGTCCACTCCTCCTCTCTGAATTCAATTAATCAAATGTTTTTATGTATGGGCAGATAATAGATATACTAAATTTTCCATTAGAGGGAAGTAGGATGTACCTACTTTTTTTTTTTTTTTTTTTTTTTTGAGACAGAGTTTCACTCTTCTTGCCCAGGCTAGAGTGCAATGGCGATCTCAGCTCATTGCAACCTCCACCTCCCAGGTTCAAGTGATTCTCCTGCCTCAGCCTCCTGAGTAGCTGGGATTACAGATATGTGCCATCACGCCCGGCTAATTTTTTGTATTTTTTTAGTAGAGACAGGGTTTCACCATGTTGGCCAGGCTGGTCTCGAACTCCCGACCTCAGGTGATCCACCCGTCTTGGCTTCCCAAAGTGCTGGGATTACAGGTGTGAGCTGCAGCGCCCGGCCAGGATGTACCTACTTTCTTTTGTAAATTGCCCAAAGTTTCCCTTGAAGTATCCACAGGGCACTAAGAGAAGATTTTTTAAAACTCCCTCATTGAGCTTTTACTAGCTTACTCTAACTAGGCTCTAAGCTAGGTACTGGGAATTACAAGATCTCTCTGAAGAGCCAAATTCAGTGCTGAGTGAGCCAATTTAGATGTAATAGTATATAATGTGTGGTGTATAGATGTAAGTTCATAATGTTATGAAACAAACTATTTAATCTAATTTTTGAAAAAATGGTCCTAAAGTGTTAAAGGTTTCAGTTTGTCGACACAAGCACAGATGTTCTAAAATTTTGCAATTTTCTATAAGAAAGGTTTTAACAAGTTTGGATTCAACATTTAATCAGGGACAACACATGAAAGCATCAGTTAACATACCTGTGATATAACCTTCTAAAGCCTTTGGCACCAGGGATTTCGCAAGTTTCAGATCCTCCAGAGAGCATTTGCCTGACTCCAGGCCAAACGACATTCCCATCCGCTTTAGTACTTCTATGTCATCATGGATCTCAAAGGTGTTGTCAAAATTGAAAAGATACTCAAACCTGCATCAGGAAACAAAGTAAAGGGTTTTTGGTGGTGCTGGAGAGGTCTGAATAGTTTTGTATTCTATAGTTTAAGTAACAGAATGGGGGCCTAAATCCAGCTATAGTGCTAGAAATTGCTACCATTTAGAGAGCCATGAGTCATTCTGCTCTGTCAGGGGAATGACATCTCAAATAAAACACTTTCCCAATTAAAACAACATTCCTCTGACAGATGATAGAAACCCACAAACTTTAGCCCTAACTCTGTTACAAACAGAGGATAGAAATTTTATTCTAAATCCAGTACTTCTCAAAGTTGCCTACAGCTTTGCCACAAAAGAAAAGCCTTTCTACTTTAATATTACGATATCCCTATTCCGAGTTGGCCTGTTAGCTTTGAGGAAAAAAACATTTTGAATGCTTACTTCATTTTCATGAGTCAAATGTTAGCTACAGCCTACTTCAGATAAGCAATAAATAGAAGACTTTCAACAAGTGAAAACAACCCCAAATCCTGTCCTGAGAGGCTAAGGAGTAAAATGTTTTAAGAAAAAATGTCACATGTAATACAAGCACGTTTCCAAATATGTTTGGAAAGTACCCAAATTGGATTCCCAGCTTCCCAGCAGCCCAACACACGTTAATCAAGAGGCAAAAGAAGGAAGACACAGTCCTTCCGACTCCTAGGCTAGGCCTGGAGCACCTTCATCATGGGCCTCAGCCCTGCAGGGACAGGGTTTGGGGACAATGGTAGGTTTCACCTGGTCATGAAATTCTATTAAAATCATGTGAGGGTAAAACTTTATACCCTATCTAAGATAATTTGAATAACAGATTATCTTAGAAGCAAAAATTATAATTTGAAGCAAAATACCAATTTAAGTAATCTAAAGTATATGAATTTGATTAAAGTACAATAACAACTTAAAAAAAAAAATCTGAAGTGGGTGCCTGCCACAGGGATGATTTCAGGCATCTGTTAAAAGCAGATCGTTTTGTAAATGTAATCCTCATTGTGGAAAGCCTCTTGGCTAATTATGGGGAAAGACTGCATCACCAAAGTAACTGAAAGGGTTTTTGGACCTACGTCGGATAACAAGCTTGTACAAGCTACTCAGAGCCTCCTTCCCTCCACTCAAAGGAAGGCCAAGGAAAGGGCATGAGTCAGGGACCACCCAAGAGATGGAAGCCTCACCAGATTCCAGCCTGGGGGAACAGTGTCCACAATACCCTAGGCCAATGATTCCCAGATTTTCCCATCATTCTTTTTAGACTTAAGAGACTAACCTAAGATAGTTTTATAATTCTCCATACAAAACAAGAGACTAATTTGAGAGAGTAACTAGAATGCTAAGTTTTGTGTTTTTTATCTGAAAAGATGCTAACCATTTTCCAGAATTCTCAGTTTTTTGTTGTTTTTTTTTTTTTTTTTTTTTTTTGAGACAGAGTCTTGCTCTGTCGCCCAGGCTGGAGTGCAGTGGCACGATCTCGGCTCAATGCAAACTTCACCTCCTGGGTTCAAGTGATTCTCCTGCCTCAGCCTCCTGAGTAGCTGGGAGTACAGGCGCGTGCCACCATGCCTGGCTAATTTTTGTATTTTTAGTAGAAATGGGGGTTTTACCATGTTGGTCAGGTTGGTCTCGAACTCCTGACCTTATGATCCACCCACCTTGGCCTCCCAAAGTGCTGGGATTACAGGTGTGAGCCACCGTGCCCGGCCTGAATTCTCAGTTTTCTGAGACTATGTTAATGGTCCTCTTTGACATATATTTATAAAGAATTTGCAAGTGTGTGGAAAATAATTCAGATATCTACCACTTACTGACCACTGGGCTGGGTTGTATATTAATTTACCCATAACTTTTTGAAACTGGCAAGGTAAATACTATAATTCTTATTTTTGTGGAGAAAGGAACATGATCTCAGAGAGGTTAAGAAACTTAGAAGATTAAAAAATGGATCAGCTTTAGTTGGCCAAGGAAGTGTGCACCTGCAGTCCTGGCTACTAGGAAGGCTGAGGCAGGGGGACCGCTTGAGCCCAGGAGTTTGAGGCTGCAGTGAGCTATAATCGTGCCTGTAAATAGCCACTGCACTCCAACCTGGGCAACAGTGAGAACAGTGAGAATCCACTCTTTTTTTGGGGGGGACGGAGTTTTGCTCTTGCTGCCCAGGCTGGAGTGCAATGGTACAATCTTGGGTCACTGCAACCTCTGCCTCCTGGGTTCAAGTGATTCTCCTGCCTCAGCCTCCCGAGTAGCTGGGATTACAGGTGTGCATCATCACGCTAATTTTTGTATTTTTAGTAGCCACAGGGTTTCACCATGTTGGTCAGGCTGGTCTCAAACTCTTGACCACAGGTGATCTGCCTGCCTTGGCCTCCCAAAGTGCTGGGATTACAGGCATGAGCCAACACGCCCGGCCAAGAATCCACTCTTAAAAAAAAATTTATTGGTTCTGGTTTACTTCATAACCTCTACTATTTCTTTTTGTGTCTATAGTCTCAATTATCAAATAGTTTTGAAATTCCTGCTGTTTTTTTCTTTTTTCTTTTTTCGAGACAGAGTCTTGCTCTGTCGTCCAGGCTGGAGTGTAGTGGCACAATCTCGGTTCACTGCAACCCCTGCCTCCCAGGTTCAAGCGTTTCTCCTGCCTTGGCCTCCCTAGTAGCTGGGACTACAGGCGTGCGCCACCAAGCCTGGCTAATTTTTGTATTTTTAGTAGAGACAGGGTTTCACTATGTTGGCCAGGCTGGTCTCGAACTCCTGATCTCAGGTGATCCACTAGCCTCCGGCCTCCCAGAGTGCTGGGATTACAGGTGTGAACCACCACGCCTGGCTAACTCTTCTTTTGTGTGTGTGCCTTCTTAGTGGAGTGGCCCGGAATCTCTGGACACAACAGAGACCGGCAGGGGGCGCAAGAGCGCCAGGAAGAAGAGTGGGAAAACAAGTAGCAGTGAAGCCCAAGGGCAATGTCAGGGCCCTAGGAGACAGGAAGTTCTGGTATCCCTGGGACAGTTCTGGGGTATGCCTGTGGTACTGACGCAATTATTATAGAGTCTTCTTTTGCATTAATAAATCCCTATTTGAACAATAAACTATAGGCTGACCTTTTGTAACAGCAGCTAACATTTAAAAAACACTTACCTCAAGTCATTATAGACATTAACTCATTTAATCCTCACAAGGCTGGGAAGTCATAGGGGACCCAGTATCATTCCTATTTGTTCTTGAGAAAACAGAGCTTTGCAGCAGCGAAGTGGGGGAGCCATAAGCGGTACATGGATCCGTCTCACTCTGCACCCTATATATACTCTTAACTCTTTTATGGTACTGGTCACAGCCTGAAGACCACTGAGAGAAACTTTTTCATGAATGGTAAAATACATCACAAATTAATTCTATATTTTGAAAAGTGCTACTTCTTATTTGCCATAATGAATATTATCATTGATCTTAGTTAAAATGTAAAAACACAATTTAAAGGAAGCAAAGAATGTGCCAGGCATTTTCATGTCTATTCATACATTCATTAATAAACAGAAGCATGCATAACTATGATATAGCAAAACAAAGAAATAATTGGTTTAATGCCACATGTTGACCTAAAATATTTCCGTAATAAACTATGACGGTGAATCACCAATGAATCTACCTTGTCCCAGACCCACAGTGCTGGGCTAACTTATCACAGTTACTTGCTCAGAGTTACCACATACATGCAGCACGTCATAGGTTGGGCCCAGACACTGCCACACACATATAATACAGACAGCACAGTGCCTGGCACAAGACAGGGGACCACAGAGGGTGAGGGTTGGAGCGCACACTAGTGGAAGATTGCACCCATGGTTCAGGAGGTGTTTCATGTGCCCCAAGGAAGCCAGCCTTTGAGGGGTGCAACTAATAAAGTGCATCCTTCTTGAGTTTGCAAATGATATGAAAATGTTAACAGAAGGCCAGCCCTGCACCCATCCCTAGTTCTCCACTCACTTGTCACTGGAGATGCTGCAATCTATGACTGTTTTTCTGCTTGTATTGATGATTATGAATGGCAGCTGAATGGTAGAGTTCAGAGCCGGCGGGCCCTGGTTTTGCTGCTCATTTTGTCGATTTCTCTGTACCAGGTTTTTGAAAGCGATTTGCTGTAATGATCAATAAAAACAATATGGTCAATTGTGCATAAGTGAGTTGGAATTTAAAAGAATTAAGATAATACCTTTAAATATAGTTTAAAATTAGAGTTTAAAGAGACATCCCGCCTGCACTAATGAATTAATTTAAAAAATTAAACATTTAAGAAAGAATGATCCAACTCAATAAATACATTTTTCCATCATCCATAGAAACAGGACCTCACAATCTGGGAAAGAACCAGTAGGCACCTGGAACTCTTCAGCAAATGACACAGCAAGGGTGATACCATTTATCTAACATAGACTCCTGACAGTTTGGGGTCAAATATGCCCCCAAACTTTAGGATGTGTAGCCCAGGGATATGCAAACATTTTAAAGGCACAAAATTGTTTCTTCAAATAAAATCTCGAGGGAGGCTGGGCACAGTGGCTCACGCCTGTAATCCCAACACTTTGGGAGGCCAAAGCAGGTTGATTGCTTGAGTCCAGGAGTTTAAGGCCAACCTGGGCAACATGGCAAAACCCTATCTCTACAAAAAATACAAAAACTAGCTGGGCATGGTGGTATGTGCCTATAGTCCCAGCTACCCAGGAGGCTGAGGTGGGAGGATTGTTTGAATCCAGGAGGCAGAATTTGCTGTGAGCAGAGATCATACCACTCCATTCCAGCCTGGGTGACAGAATGAGACCCTGTCTCAAAACAAAACAAAAAAAAACTCATGTAAAACAGATGGAAGTGGTGCTGTTGAGGCTGGCTGCAGTGAGGCCAGGTCCTAAGCTCTGCCATCTCTGCCCTCAAGCACAGCCACATGGTTTCTAAGGCACCTCCACAGAACTTCTCAGCAGCCTCTGGGCACAGTTTGGAATCCAGCCCCAGCCTTCCCCAACCAGACATTTCCAGATGAGGTAACTGAGGCTCAGCACTAATTATAAGATACATCAAGGCCTAAATTTTTTTACTGGATCTTGCCGCTACTTTTAGTTATAACCATTACTCAAAAGCCAAAGAAAGTGATCTCCCTTTTAGACGGAGGCTGCAGTAAGCCGAGATTGCACCACTGCACTCCAGCCTGGGCAACAAGAGCAAAACTCTGTCTGAGAAAAACCAACCAACAAACAAACAAGTGATCTCCCTTTTTTTAATAAGGTAAATGTACGATAGAATTTCACAGCTAGAAAGACTGTATGCAGTTCAAGTTTTTCATCTGCTCAAGAAACAGATAACGTTTTAAAAGTTCCTCAAGTCAGAGCCATTCATTCCCCTTCATTAGCTTGTTATAATCTTGTCACCCAGTAGTGATAAATTTATTTTTTACATTTTAGCAATCTTATGATCAGTATTGTTTATTTCAGGTTCTGGACCTTAACTAAAGTTTCAGTAAGATTACTATTATTGGCCAGGCATGGTAGCTCACACCTGTAATCTCAGCACTTTGGGAGGCCGAAGTGGGAAGTTCTCTTGAGCCTAGGAGTTGGAGGATGCAGTGAGCTATGACTGTGCCACTACATTCCAACCTGGGCAACAGAGCCCTTTCTCAAGAAGAAAAAGAAAAGAAAAAAAGGAAAGAAAAGAAGGGAAGAGAAGGGAGGGGAAGGGGAAGGGGGAGGGGAAGGGGAAGGGGAAGGGGAAGGAAAGGGGAAGGAAAGGAAAGGAAAGGAAAGGAAAGGAAAAAAGAAAAGAAAAGAAAAGATTACTATTATCTTAAAATGGCTGAGTGCTATCTCCCCAAAAGGGGAAGATTTACTCTTTGAAAAGCACAAAAAATAATGAACACCAATTTATTGTAGACCTAAGTGTGTCCAAAAATCACTATCAATAACTAGCACTATCAATATCATTACCAAACATTATTGAGGTTACATTTCATTATTTTCTGTTGCTAAAAAACGAATTCATTGCTTAATTCCTTTAATAATGAGGAAAAATTATGATTAAACTGTGGAACTGAGAAAAAGAATTACATGCTTAAATACTCCTGCATAGCTTCTCTTCCCTTTTACTAGAATACACATCTCAAGAGCTGTTCCTACACTTTGCCTAACTTGGTGTCTGTCCCTAGTGCCACAAGAGGACCCTGGTATATGGGGGAATATAAGCAGTGATAACTAATGGCCCTTATGTATTTGTGATTCACTATTTAATGCTGTGTACATTTAATAGTATCAATGGTTTTTCAAGTGAAGAGAGCAGTAAAAACATAATGTTTTTATTATTATTATTTATTATTATTTTTTTGAGACGGAGTCTCACTCTGTTGCCCAGGCTGGAGTACAGTGGCACGATCTCAGCTCACTGCAACCTCCGCCTCCCAGGTTCAAATGATTTTCCTGCTTCAGCCTCCCGAGTAGCCGGGACTACAGGCACCCGCCACCATGCCTGGCTAATTTTTGCATTTTTAGTAGAGGCGGGGTTTTACCATATTGGCCAGGCTGGTCTCGAACTCCTGACCTTGTGATCTGCCCACCTCGGCCTCCCAAAGTGCTGGGATTACAGACATGAGCCACTGCACCTGGTCATAATAATGTTTTTTTTAACACTGTCACAAATTTCATATACCATATAATGTTATTTTGGATAGTAAAAGGAAAAATAATTCACTTATTTTGAACTGACTTATTTGTTGCCCTTTGATTGATTTCCTTTGGCCTTTTGTTCTTTTTCAAACTCATTAACATCTATTCCAGAGGCTGAACAGCTTTAAGTGTGTTCATTCATTTTCCTATGCGTTTATTATGGAAAAGGTTTAAGGGCTGGAAAGGGCAATTATAGAGATAAAAGTAGGATATTGGGATTATCTACAGGTTTGCTTTACTCACTCCATTCTTCTACATTACCAAAAATAAAAGAGAGGTGGTAGCAAGGAGGTAATAGTTACCTGTGTCATGTGACATGAGTGAGTTGTGACATGAGCTTATAAAAAAAAATCAAGTGAGCTTAGCCACAGCAAATGGATTACTTATTAAAAAAAAAAAAAAAAAAAAGACAGAGTCTTGCTCTGTTGCCCAGGCTGGAGTGCAGTGGTGCAATCTCGGCTCACTGCAACCTCCGCCTCCCGGGTTCAAGTGAATCTCTTGCCTCAGCCTCCTGAGTACCTGAGATTTCAGGTGTGCACCACCATGCCTGGCTAATTTTTTTATTTTTAGTAGAGACGGGGTTTCACCATGTTTGTCAGGCTGGTCTCAAACTCCTGACCTCGTGATCTGCCCACCTCGGCCTCCCCAAGTGCTGGGATGACAGGAGTAAGCCACTGTGCCTGGCTGCTTAATTTACTTTCTATGACAACTTAATTTATTTGATGAAAGGAAAAAAACTGAAATGCTAGGAGGAAATAAGTTTTTTGTTTTTTTTTTTTTTGAGACAGAGTTTCGCTCTTGTTGCCCAGGCTAGGGTGCAGTGGGGCGATCTCAGCTCACTGCAACCTCTGCCTCCCAGGTTCAAGAGATTATCCTGCCTTAGCCTCCCAAGTAGCTGAGATTACAGGCATGCGCCACCATGCCTGGCTAATTTTTTGTATTTTTAGTAGAGACGGGGTTTCTCCATGTTGGTCAGGCTGGTCTCGAACTCCTGAACTCAGGTGATCTGCCCGTCTCCGCCTCCCAAAGTGCTGGGATTACATGCGTGAGCCACCACATCCGGCCTTTGGAAATAAGTTTTAAGTTTACCAGAAGACCACAAGTTGATTTCAGTTATACTTTGGGTTTCACTTTAATGTTTAGAGAGACCTGTTTCTATGAATGTTGACAGCCATGTTGCCCCTGGGTGGAACTCTTCTACAAATATTTGGTTTGAGAGACAGTAGAGGAAAAGAAGTTCAAGACTTTAAAAAATAAAAAAACAATGTTCATGGTACAGAGGTAAGCAGGGAAAAAATATGGTTTCATTCTTTGCATCAGGCATCTAGAGACAGGAAAGTCCTACACACATGAGGGTGATCTTGCCCAGCACCATTCTTTCTGATAGGCAGATGACTGTTGGCATGCTGATAAACAGGTTTTTAAAAATAACGTGCCAAAAAAATTAAGCTCCAAAATGTTCCATGGTTTTGAAGAAATTCCAGGAGGGCCCCAGCACAGGGTTTGGGGCATGAGCTCTTAGGGGATACTGCAGATAACTGTGCAGGGACAGGGACAACAGAGAGGCTGCCGGGGGGAAGAAGATGGCAGCACAGGAGTTCAAGGAGGAGTGTTTGGTAGAATTCTACAGGCAGGAGCATAGGAATAAACTGTCAGTTTCAGCTTTTTTTTTTTTTAAAGCTGCACAATATTCTCTTCAAACAAAACATTATTATTTATATATTATATATTATATATAATTATATATAATATATAACAATATATATAATATATAATATATATAACTATATATAACATATAATATATATAATATATAACTATATATAACATATATCTCATATATAACATATATCTCATATATATAACATATATATCATATATATAACATATATATCTCATATATAGATATATATAACATATATATCTCATATATAGATATATATATAACATATATATATCTCATATATAGATATATATAACATATATATCTCATATATATAGATATATATAACATATATATATCTCATATATATAGATATATATAACATATATATCTCATATATAGATATATATAACATATATATCTCATATATAGATATATATAACACATATATATCTCATATATAGATATATATAACACATATATATCTCATATATAGATATATATAACACATATATATCTCATATATAGATATATATAACACATATATATCTCATATATAGATATATATAACATATATATCTCATATATAGATATATATAACACATATATATCTCATATATAGATATATATAACACATATATATCTCATATATATAGATATATATAACATATATATCTCATATATATAGATATATATAACACATATATATCTCATATATATAGATATATATAACACATATATATCTCATATATATAGATATATATAACACATATATATCTCATATATATAGATATATATAACATATATCTCATATATATAGATATATATATAACATATATCTCATATATAGATATATATATAACATATATATCTCATATATATGAGATATATATATATAACATATATATATATCTCATATATATGAGATATATATATAACATATATATCCCATATATATGAGATATATATATAACATATATATATATCTCATATATATGAGATATATATATATAACATATATATATATCTCATATATATGAGATATATATATATATAACATATATATATCTCATATATATGAGATATATATATATATAACCGGCCTAAATTTTGGTATTTCTATAAATCTTACTGAAACAGACCCAGTGTGGTGGCTCATGCCTGTAACCCCAGCACTTTGGGAGGCTGAGGCGGGTGGATCACAAAGTCAGGAGTTCAAGACCAGCCTGGCCAAGATGGTGAAACCCCGTCTCTACTAAAAATACGAAAAAACTAGCCAGGCATGGTGGCGGGTACTTGTAATCCCAGCTACTTGGGAGGCTGAGGCAGAGAATGGCTTGAACCCGGGAGGCAGAGGTTACAGTGAGCCAAGATCGCACCACTGCACTCCAGCCTGGCGAAAGAGTGAGACTCAGTCTCAAAAAACAACAACAACAAAAATCTTACTGAACTATTTCATGCCATTCTGTCATTTACTGATAAAATTAAGTATTACAGGCAGATTTGATTACTGTACTTGAAGCACCTAAAATTTAACTAGCTTCACTAGTGGATATTCCAAATTCGGGCTAAAATAAACAAACACAAAAAGACCCCTGACAGTTTATGTTTAGAGAGGCCTGAGTGTCAACAGTGAACTGCTGCCTGGCGTAAGTCACACACAGGGCAGGGAAGCTACTGTGGAGCTGAGATGATGGCAACAGATGGGACCATCTTAAGGCAGAGCACGTGGATGGCAACAAGCTAGGAGGTGAGAGAGGCTGCCCTGGCGTGGGCTCACCACACACCACTCAGAGGCACCACAATTAGAAAACACACTGACTCCAAAAGGCAGCAAGTGGAGAAACAGGGAAGGTAATGAAAACATCTCGGTATCTTTACCTGTAGGAGAAGTTCTTGCAGCTGGGCCCGCTTCTGCTTTATCCGTTCTATCCGCCTCTGCTTCTCTATCTTTAAAACATTGGTTACAAAATAATATGAACATAGGTAGACTATAAAATATCGTTCACTTTCCAGGTCCCTATTCTGAGATAACAATTTTCCCTAGAGAAACTGAACCCATTTTAACAATATGAATAAAGACAAATCATATCTTTGTAGGGGGCAGGGGCTGGAGTGAACAAGTAGACACAACATCAGATCTGTGGCAACTGTCATTAAAAATGAAATCATACACTTAATGAATACTTGTTAGCAGTACTTGTTGCAATTATTATTCAAGTTCTAATCAAAGTAATAGTACCACTTAGTTTATACTCACTCTATCTGCCAACACAAAAGTAAGCATTTTACACACATTATCTTAATTCACCTTCACAAAAACCTTATGAGTTAAGTCCTGTTGTTATCCACTTTGCATCGAAGGGAACGGAGGCATAGAGGGCTTAAGTAACTACCCAAGGTCACGCAGCTAGTGAATGGCAAGAGCCAAGATTTGAACCTAAATCCTCTGGTTACAGGGACTCTATTATTAATTACTTTGTTATATTACTCCTCTAAGAATAAGGCAAGATCTTATTTACAATTCCAGCTTAGCTGACTCTCCAATGAGGACAGCTGATAATACAGATATCTCACACATCATGGTAGGCTGGGTGTGGTGGCTCACGCCTGTAATCCCAACACTTTGGGAGGCCGAGGGGGGAGAATCACTTGAGATCAGGAGTTTGAGACCAGTCTGGCCAACATGGCGAAACCCTATCTCTACAAAAAATACAAAAGCCAGGTGTGGTGGCGCGCATCTGTAGTCCCAGCTAATTGGGAGGCTGAGACACGAGAATTGCTTGAACTTGGGAGGCAGAGATTGCAGTGAGCCAAGATCATGCCACTGCACTCCAGCCTGGACAACAAAGCAAGACCCTGTCTCAAAAAGAAAAAAAAAAAAAGAAACATGCTTATTGGACAAATTTTCCAGCTTCAAACTACTGCTTTTTTTCTCAATCTGATAACTACTCAGAGAAAACAGACATTAGGGTCTGAACTTCCTTGCAGTTGAGTTCCTCACTGTCTCCTTGGGCAAAAGCCAATGACATTTATTAAGAAAAGTTATGGCCAGGCGCGGTGGCTCAGCCTGTAATCCCAGCACTTTGGGAGGCCGAGGTGGGCGGATCACAAGGTCAGGAGTTCGAGACCAGCCTGGCCAAGAGACCAGCCTGGCCAATAAGGTGAAACCTCGTCTCTACTAAAAAAAAAAAAAAAAAAAAAAAAATTAGCCAGGCGTGTTGGCAGGCGCCTGTAATCCCAGCTACTCGGGAGGCTGAGGCAGGAGAATTGCTCGAACCCGGGAGGCGGAGGTTGCAGTGAGCCGAAGATTGCGCCACTGAACTCCAGCCTGGGTGACAGAGCAAGTCTCCAACTCAACAAAAAAAAAAAGAAAATTTATAGGAGCCCATTGGTTTGGACTGAGCTCCTGCACTAAGCTCAACAGACCAAACAAAAATGGAGTCACTCATGCTGAAATGCCACCAGGCCAAAACTGAGTTGTTTATCTGACCTAGGAAATCAGGAGAGAAAGAGAATAGCAAACTACCCAAACAGGCCAGTTGCAGCTGGCATAAGAGAGTCTTCTCTATTTTACCCTTACAAGGAAAGTGACATTGATATGTCCAGTCTGCTTTTTGTTCTGTTTCTGCCTCTATCCGCCTTTGCTGCTTCTCTATCTTTAAAACACTGAAGAATGTTCAACCTCTTCTGCTCAGCTTATAGGAATACTCATTCTACTTACTAGTGAGGTGTTGCCAGATTCTAGAATCACAAATAAAAGGCAATTAAGATCTTTAAACTAAATTTGTTACAATTTTGTCTTTCAATCATCAAATAAGACATTTTTCTTGTCTGCTCCAGCAGATTATCTCTTACTTGCTCCACATCCAGTCTAGTCTATACTAGCAGTTTCCATTCATGGTTCCTCTATCCACCACGTTTTACTTTTAAATTACTTAAGATTCACTGTAAAATCTGTGTGGCGTTCTGCATTTGAAAAGATGTTGTAGGAGCATCCCTTTATCAGAAGCTCTGACAAGCCAGGCCCCTTACCTGTCCCTCATCCAACCAGGTCAAGCTGCACTGATTGTACCTCTAAAACACCTCTCCAATCTCATGGCCGCTGCCGTAACTCAGACCATCTCTAATCCGCCTCCCCCATTCCATTTCCTTCCCTACCTGTTAATTTTATTTCCAACCCACTGGCAGAGTGATCCTTTAAAAAACATCCTATCAACCCTTCTCTTTGTAATTTATCAACTGCTTCCCTTTGTTTACAGGATCAGGTCTCCACTGCTTAACACTTAGATATCTATCCTCCTTTCTCCATGCCTGTTCCCTAGCCACACCCAGCTCCAGGCAAGCTTTCTCATGCCTGTCTCAGCCCATGTGGCACCTCTGCCTTGAAGGCCCTCCCCACCCTTATCCACTTGGCAGACTACTCCCACCTCATGCCTGAGCTCTGGGATTATCTCCTTGGTAAAGCCCTCCCTCAGCCCTCTTTGCAGAGAATCTGTACATTTCTTTCTTAGGAGTAATCACATTTTCGGTAACTCTTTTACATTTCTCTTCTCCCCGGTGAGAATGACAGTACCTTGGGGTCAGAGATTTGCCTTGTATAACCTGTGATTAAGCACAAGGTAGATGTGAATAGGGTTTTTTTGCTTAATGAGTCTTTGGTATCAGCTCAATATTACTGGTCATGAAAATGATGCTCAAATTCCACTCTATGAGAAGGAAGAAAAACAAGAAAAGGAGGATATTTCCACTGTAGCATATGAAAAATATTATATAGCTTCTGATGAATATCTGGTTTCTCTCTCCATCCATAAGTATAATAATACCAAATAACTGAATTGCTGGGGAGAAAAGACTGAGAAAAACAGGAAACCAATCTTAATTATCTCCCAAAGCTATGTGTATATATATATATATATATATATATATATATTTTTTTTTTTTAAAGATGGAGTCTTGCTCTTGTCGCCTAGGCTGGAGTGCAATGGCACCATCTCGGTTCACTGTAACCTCTGCCTCCCAGGTTCAAGCGATTCTCCTGCCTCAGCTTTCCAAGTAGCTGGGATTACAGGCGTCTGCCACTGGCTAATTTTTGTATTTTTAGTAGAGACGGGGTTTTACCATTTTGACACCCACCTCGGCCTCCCAAAGTGCTGGGATTACAGGCGTGAGCCACCGCCCCTGGCCCAGAAGCCATATTTAACCTCAGTTTACTCCATTTATGGCCATGATAGTAAAATTATGTCAAGTCAATTTAGAAACAGTATGTCAGGGAACATGCTCATTTAGGAAGAGTTTTCTATAATGCTTAAAGTTAACAGAACTTAAAATGCTTCTGCATACATCATTCCAAAATTCTATCCATTCTGGTAAAGACACAAATGAAACACTATTCATTCTGTTGCTACTATTTCAAAGTAAAAGTCTGACTTCCACAGCTATATTCAGAATATTGTGTAACCAATAAAGGAAATAAACAGCCGGCTTGATCCTTTTTTTTTTTTTTTTTTGGATACATACAGCAAGCATCTCATCAAATAAGATACCATTTCACCAAAAGTTTATTAGTAGAGTGCTCAGAATTAACTTAGGATGAAATAAAAATCTTCTCTAAGAAACAGTAAAATCAAATTGTTATTCAACTTTTATATCCCTCAGTTTCATCATTTGCAAATTAAACTGCAGACTATACCTATAAGGCGCCTTCCAATTCTAAAATTCTACAGTCTGTTAAAAAATGACATGGTATACATGAAAAATTGGAAATATTTTATATTAGAATTACATTTTTAAATTAAAATGCCTGTGATGTAAAATAATGCAAACAGCTATTCATAAACAGATTTTCTCACTTACCTCCAGATTCTGACATTCCTGAGCAGAATTGGTAGGCAGGCCAATCCACTTGATTTCTTTTTTTTCCTTTGAAATTATGTTCATTGCCATTAGCACATTTAAAGCATCATAAACTCTTCGCCTAATGTTCTTCTGATCATAAGCCTGCTAAAAAATATTTTCACTGAGTGATAAATCTTAAGGGTTAAGATACAGTCACATGATATGAATATATCAAATTAATATTACAACTTCAAAGTGCTGGAAGGATTCTATTTTTTTATTTAGCCAACTGACAAAAACATCCAAAAGAATTCTATATTCCGAGAAAATATCCTTCAAAATTAAAGATGAAATAAAAATACTTTCAAACAATATAAAACAAAATAATCTTAAAAATAAAGATCATGTTACCTGCAGATCTACACTGAAATATACTAAAGGGATTTCTTCAGGTAGAAGAAATATCATCTAAGATGGGAGCTTAGGTATGTAGGATAGAATGAAGACCAACCCAAAAAAGTAAATATGTGGGTAAATCTCAATTTTCACTGTATAAAACAATAATAATGCCTTATGGAGTCTAGAATACAGAACTTAATATACATGACAACAAATAGTATACATATTAACAGAAAAAGGTATTGGAGGTAAAGTGTTCTAAGCCCTTGCATTATCTGGGAGGATTTTAGACTTAAAAAAATCAAGGACATTTATTCAAGTTCTGGGTAAAACTGTGCTTCTCAAAATGTGTTCCTTGACCACTGCTGATCTGCAAACTGTCTCCAATCTACAATGGGACTAGGAACTTGTACCAAAATATAATCCTCTATATGACAAGGGACACTGTTCAGTTCAGCTGACCATTTTTCTTCTTCTTCTTTTTTTTTTTTTTTTTTTTTTTTGAGACAGTGTCTCGCTCTCTCGCCCACACTGGAGTGCAGTGGCGCAATCTCAGCTCACTGCAACCTCCACCTCCCGGGTTCAAGCGATTCTTCTGCCTCAGCCTCCCAAGTAGCTGGCACTATAGATGCACATCACCACGCCCAGCTAATTTTTCTATTTTTAGTAGAGACGGGGTTTCACCATATTGGCCAGGCTGATCTTGAACTCCTGACCTCATGATCTGCCTGCCTCGACCTCCCAAAGTGCTAGGATTACAGGTGTGAGCCACCATGCCCGGCCTTTTTCTTCTATTTTTTGATAGTAAGACTTAATCAAGGAAACCATGTTGGTTTACATTGTGGAACAAGGTCCTCAGGAAATGCAACGATAATAAAGGATGGTGGAGAACACTGAATCCACCTAAATATAAAACTAGATCTAAATAAGTGGGGGATTTAAGTTATAGAACTGAATGTAAATACTAGAAATCTTGACAATGGGCCAGGAGTGGTGGCTCATGCCTGTAATCCCACCACTTTGAGAGGCCAAGGTGGGCGGATCACCTGAGGTCAGGAGTTCAAGACCAGCCTGGCCAACATGGCAAAACCCCATCTCTACTAAAAAATACAAAACTTAACTGGGCGTGGTGGCGCATGACTGTAATGCCAGCTACTCAGGAGGATGAGGCAGGAAAATCGCTTGAATCCGGGAGATGGAGGTTGCAGTGAGCCAAGATTGAGCCACTGCACTCCAGTCTGGGTGACAGAGCTAGACTCTGTCTCAAAAAAAAAAAAAAAAAGAAATCTTGACCCTGTAGAAACAATGATACTGTAACAACAAGTACTGGGAGGAGGCAATGTGATAGGTATGCCAATTTCCTCTTTTTGATATTGGAAGGGATATGGATGTTGTTCAAAGCAGATTAAATAATAATAAAGGGTTCAGCACAATCTATTTATTTAAAGTAATAAAAACAACTATTTTTCCGAGACAGAGTCTTGCTCTGTTGCCCAGGCTGGAGTGCAGTGGTGAGATCTCAGCTCACTGCAACCTCCACCTTCTGGGTTCCAGTGATTCTCCAGCCTCAGCCTCCCGAGTAGTTGGGATTACAGGCGCCCACCACCACACCCAGCTAATTTTTGTATTTTTAGTACAGACAGGGTTTCATCATGTTGGCCAGGCTGGTCTCCAACTCCTGACAGTGTGATCCGTCCACCTCGGCCTCCCAAAGTGCTGGGATTATAGGCGTGAGCCACTGCACCCGGCCTATAGTAGTAGTATTATTCTTTTTAACAAATATACTAATATATCTAATCTGAGTCCCATGGTAGAAGAGAAAAATGGAAGACAGAAAAAAACATATGTTTTTCTTCATAACCAATAGATACTGTCTACAGGTGGTAACTCAAGGAACTTAAGTTATAAAGGTAACCAACTGAAGAACTGAGACTACAAGCATTCTAAATTATCAGAAAAATAACAAAGCAGTGAATAAAGAGAAAAAAACTCAACCTTTGTTTATATCCTGGGAAGGTGGTGGTGATAGGGTATTAGTAAAAATGTATTTTAGATATTGAAAAGTGCTAAGAAGAAATGCTTCATTGTGGTGACAGGTGAGTGAAGATCACAAGGCAGGGAGAGAGAAGCCATATGAATACCTAGCAAAGACTGCTCTAGGCAAAGCAGTGTAATGGCCTGATCAGGGACAAAACATGTAGCTGGAGCATAGTGACATGTGGCTGGAGGGTAGTAAATGAGACAGTGCATAGCAGAAGACGAGATTAGTGAGGTAATGGTGGGCAAGCTCACAAAGGGGCTTGCAGATCATTGTGAGAACCATGGCTTTCACTCAGAAACAGAATGCTATAGACTTTTTTTTTCAAGTGCCTAGAGAACATGAAAAGAAAAAGAAAATCACATATAATGGCTCCCAAGGAAAATCTCAATGTAATCCAAAAAAAAAAGGGAAATAGTTCAAATCATATTCTCTGGACAAATTAAGTAATAAAAGTAAAACTTTAAAGCAACAAACAAAACTTGGAACTATAAGAACTCTTTCTAAGGCAATCCTTAGGTCAAAGAACAAATTAAAACCAAAATTAAAGAACATCTAAAGAATAATATATCAGAATCAATAGGATAGGGCTAAATCAGTGCTCTAGAGAAACAGTCATAGCCATATATATATATATATATTTTTTTTTTTTTTTTTTTTTTCCCCCCAAAGAGACGAAGTCTTGCTTTGCCGCCCAGGCTGGAATGCAGTGGCATGATTGAATTCCTGGGCTCAAGCAATCCTCCTCAGCCTCTGGAGTAGCTGGGACTACAGGTTTGTGCCACTGCACCTCGCTAATTTAAAAAAAAAAACTTTTTGTAGAGGTCAGGCATGGTGGCTCATGCCTGTAATCCCAGCACTTTGGGAGGCTGAGGCTGGAGGATCACTTGAGTCAAGGAGTTCAAAATCAGCCTGGGCAACATAGTGAGACCTCATATCAAAAAAAAAAAAAAAAGATAAAGAAATAAATTTTTTTTCTGTAGAGGCAGAGCCTTGCCATTTTTGGTCCCAGCTACTCAGGATGCTGAGGCACAAGCATCACTTGAACCTGGGAAGTAGAGGTTTCATTGAGCCGAAACTGCACCACTGTATTCCATTTATTTGAGACTCTGCCAGACAACTGAATTTTTTATAAACATATTTATGTATTCCTTTTCCAATTAAAAATAAAATTTTCTTGTTGACTTAGACATTGAAGAAACAATAAGATTCAGAAACAATAAAAAATTATTGGATAGGCGACCAATTTTTTTTTTCTTTTTGAGACGGAGTCTCACTCTGTCGCCCAGGCTGGAGTACAGTGGTGCGATCTTGGCTTACTGCAACCTCCGCCTCCCAGGTTCAAGCAATTCTCCTGCCTCAGCCTCCTGAGTAGCTGGGATTACAGGCACATGCCACCATGCCTGGCTAATTTTTTGTATTTTTAGTAGAGACAGGGTTTCACAGTGTTAGCCAGGATGGTCTCGATCTCCTGACCTCATGATCCACCCACCTCAGACTCCCAAAGTGCTGGGATTACAGGCGTGAGCCACCGCGCCTGGCCAAATATTTTTTAAATGTTAAAAAAAAACAAAAAAAAACAAAAAAAACAACTAAGGCTGGGTACAGTGGCTCACGCCTGTAATCCCAGCACTTTGGAAGGCCAAGGCAGGTGGATCACCTGAGGTCAGGAGTTTGAGACCAGCCTGGCCAACATGGTGAAACACTGTCTCTACTAAAAATACAAAAATTGGCTGGGAATGGTGGTGTGCGCCTGTAATCCCAGCTACGCGGGAGGCTGAGTCACAAGAATAGCTTGAACCTGGGAGGCAGAGGTTGCAGTGAGCCGAGATCGCGCCACTGAACTCCAGCCTGGGCGACAGAGTGAGGTTCCGCCTAAAAAACAAAAAAAAAGGAATTCCCTCCAAAATAAAACTCAACAACAACAAAAAATCCCCCAAAATAAAGGATAAAACCCTCAAGTATAGTCGTGATTCCTCAAATCTATAACAAAGATAACACAAAGAAGTAGCATCATCCATCAAAATCAATGTCAGGTTCATGATTTACATACCGAATCAGCAGCCAAATGGTTATTTGAATTGGTGAACTCTGACACCAGCTCATCAGCGACTTCATTGTACGATGTTGTACCTTTTCGTTGAACTTTCTCACACACTTTCATTGAAAAGTGTCTCAAGCCTTTCCCATTTTTATCTCCTTTTTTGCTTCGTTTACTAGAAGGGAAAAAAGTTTTTTTTACTCCATTATACATATTAGAGACTTTCTTTACAAATCTCTGTAAGATAATGCAAGAAGACAGTAATTTAAGTTTTACTTCAAGTGTCAAAAATTTAAATTGAATAGAGATGAGAAAATGTTTATTTAAACTTACTTTTTGCCTTAAAGGTCTAATAAAGTATAAAGTTAGAGTGTTTTTCTATGCACAGCATTTATTTATTCAACAAATATTTATTGACCAGTTACTATTCTATGCCGGATACTGTTATTGACACTGAGAATAAGTCAGTGAAAAAACACAAAAACTCTGCCCTTGTACAGCTAACAGACTTATCTTTTCCTACTCTATGTAGATTATAGTTTTTTACTGAAATTAAAACTATAGTCATTTGCCACATAAGGACATTTCAGTCAATGATGGGCCGCATATACAACAGTAGTCCAATAAGATTACAATGGAGCTGAAAAATTCTCATTGCCTAGTGATGTAACCATCGTAATGGTTAATGTGAGTAATAATGCATTACTCACATGTTTGTGGTGATGCTGGCAAACAAACCTACTGCTCTGCCAGTCCTATAAAAGTCTAGCACATGCAATTATGGACAGTACATAATACTTGATAATGATAATAAATGACTATGTTACTGGTTTCTGTATTTACTAAACTATACTTTTCATCATTACTTTAGAGCGTACTTCTTCAAATTATAAATTAAAGTTAACTGTAAAAAGCCTCAGGCAATCCTTCAGGAGGTATCCAGAAGAACGCATTGTTATCACAGGAAATGACAGCTCCATGTGTGTTACTGCCCCTGAAGACCTTCCAGTAGGACAAAATGTGGAGGTGGAGGACAGTGATATTGATGATCTTGACCCCCCTGTAGGCCTAGGATAGTGTGTCTCAGTTTCCTTTTTTGGAGAGAGAGTTTCGCTCTATCCCCTAGGCTGGAGTGCAGTGGTGTGATCTCAGCTCACTGCAACCTCCGCCTCCCAGGTTCAAGCGATTCTCCTGCCTCAGCCTCCCGAGTAGCTGGGATTACAGGTGTGCACCACCACACCTGGCTAATTTTTGTACTTTTAGTAGAGACGGGGTTTCATCATGTTGGCCAGGCTGTTCCAGAACTCCTGACCTCAGGTGATCTGCCTGCCTCGGCCTCCCAAAGTGCTGGGATTACAGGCGTGAGCCACTGCGCCTGGCCCTCTGTCTCAGTTTTCTGTTTTTGGGTTTTTTTTTTTGGATTCAGGGTCTCACTCTGTTGCCCGGGCTAGAGTGCAGTGGTGCCGTCATGGCTCACTGCAGCCTAAACCTCCTGTGCTCAAGTGATCCTTCCACCTCAGCCTTCCAAGTAGTTAGAATTACAGGTGCATGTCACCATGCCTCGCTAATTTCTTTTTTGTAGAGACAGGGTCTCATTATGTTGCCCAGGCTGCTCTTGAACTCCTGACCTCAAGTGATCCCTCCCATCTCAGCTTCCCAAAGTGTTGGGTTATAAGTGTGAGCCACCCTGCCCAGCCACGTCTCAGTGTTCAACAAAAAAGTTTCAAAAGTAAAAAAAAAAAAAAAAAATTAGAAATTAAAAAACAAACAGAAAAAAGCTTATGGAATAAGGATATAAAGAAAATATTTTTGTACAGCTGTACAATGTGTAATGATTAATCAGGGTAATTGGGGTATCCGTCATCTCAAGCCTTTATTGTTTCTTTGTATTAGGAACATTCCAATTCCATTCCTCTAGTTACTTAAAATATACAATCAATTGTTGTTAACTACAGCAACCTATTGTACTACCAAATACTAGATATTATTCATTGTATCTAAGTGTATTTTTGGACCCATTAATATGTTTGTGTTTTTTTTGTTTGTTTGTTTTGAGAAAGAGTCTCACTCTATCCCCTAGGCTGGAGTGCAGTGGTATGATCTCAGCTCACTGAGAAACCCGGGTTCAAGTGATTCTCCTGCTTCAGCCTCCCGAGTAGCTGGCATTACAGGCGCCTACCCCCATGACTGGCTAATTTTTGTAGTTTTAGTAGAGATGGGGTTTCACCATGTTGGTCAGGCTGGTCTCGAACTCCTGACCTCAAGTGATCCATCCGCCTTGGCCTCCCAAAGTGCTGGGATTACAGATGTGAACCACTGCTCCTGGCCAATATTGTTTGTGTTTTAAGTCAAGTGTTACTACACGAGTAAAACAGTTTGAGAACATTAAAAAGTTTATAAAGTAAAAAATTTATAGTAAGCTAAGGTTAACTTATTATTGAAGAAGAAAAAAATCTTTTTAAAATAAATTACTGTAGCCTAAGTATACAGTGATTATAAAGTCTAAAGTAGTGTGCAGTAAATTCCTAGGCCTTCACATTCACTCACCACTCACTGACTCACCCAGAGCAACTTCCAGTCCTGCAAGCTCCATTCATGAAAAGTGCACTATAAAGGTGTATCATTAAAAAAAATCTTTTACAAGGTATTTTTACTCTACTTTTTTCTATGTTTAGGTATGTTTAAATACACAAATACTTATCACTGTGTTACAATGACCTATAGTATTCAAACCAGTAACATGCTGTGCAGGTTTATAGCCTCGGGGCAATAGGCTATACCAAGTACCTAAGTGTGTAGCAGGCTATACCACCCTGGGTTTGGGTAAGTACATTGATGATGTTCACACAACGATGAAATCGCCTAATGAAGCCTTTCTCAGAACATAGCCCCTCATTAAGTGATGTGGGACTGTGAATATATTTACTGATAAATAATTTACATGTTCTATGTTATGTACATAGAAAGAGATACTAAACATGCAGTTTTAAAAGGAATATGAGAAAAGGATATCTACTCTCCTTTCCCTACATTCCCAAAGAGTTGTGTATGCATCCCTTGTGATAGTATAGGACAGCATACTTATCTTACCTCACAGACTACTTATTTGAAATAATGTGAAATCACTAAAATATATTGAATGGTATTAAGTAGTGGAGTAGAATGGTGACATTTTCAGTTAGGCAGACATTCTCACTGCAAAGCAGATTTTGGAATCAGAATTAGTAACAGTAGAAGTGAAATTTATGAGGCAAAAGCAGAGACACAAAGACCAACTGAGAGGGTATTGCAATAGTCCAGGTAAGAGAATATGAATCCCCAAACTGGAGCTGTGGTAGGGCAGGAGATAAAAAGATGGATTTACAAAATTTTAAAAGACAAAAAATCAATAAAATTGTCTGAAGTGGAGGGTAAGGAAGAGAGGAATAGTAGAATGACCTCTAGAAAGAAGGGTCATTTACTGAGATCGAAGAGATGAATTAAATTTATGAGTTGCATTTTAAACCTCCTAATCAGCACTGTCCAATACCCCTAGGCATAACTCACATGTGGCTATTGAATACTTGAAATGTGGGAAGTGTGAATTGAGATATGTCGTAAGTTTAACACACTGGATTTTAAATACTTAATATAAGGAATGAATGTAAAATACCTCACTAGTGATTTTTATATTTAATTACACACTGAAATACAATATTTTGGATATATTGGACTAAATTAAAAATATTAAAATTAACTTCAGATATTTATTTTCTTTTAAAATTTCTATTGGGCAGAAATAATGTTGTGTATGGGATTATATAGCCAGGAAAAGAACTGGTTAATGGCTTAAAGTAAATAAATTTCTCAACTTAGTGGTTATATGCTTTTTTCTTCTTCTTTTTTTTTAAAAGACTACTCAAGTAGTCTTTACCCCCTACTCAAGTAGGGGGTAAAGTGTAGAACAAGGAGTTTGATCTGTGTTCAACTGATTGTGAACCATCAATTGAGATAACTCACTACCTTCAGGCCAGCCAGTTACATACTTTTGAAAAGCCAAGAGTGAAGCAGGGTTGTTTTTCATCCAATTCTTGGTCTTTTTGTTAAAGGCAGCAATAAGATAGGGTGGTTTCGGGCAATCACTTAGCTAATTGGCTCTCTATAGTCATACCTGGATAATATTTGTAGTCATACCTGGATAATATTTAAAGGAAGAAACTAAACATAGTCCTTAAGTAGGAACAACTACAATTTTAACAACTATTATAAAACAGTGATGGCTATACTCTTGAAATGTAGATACAAGCCTACATGTAAGAGTTTTATAAAATCAGTTCAGTGCATAAATTGATAATAAACTTGAAGAAAACTTGGTTAAATATCAACATTAGTAAACTATCAGATACATATTTTGAGCAGTTTACTCGATTTAACTCTGATCCACAGTCCTTCATCTGAAAAATGCAGAATACACATCTCACAAGTTGTGAGGATGAAATGCATATAACATATGGTACACTACAAGTGATCTTATCCCCTTCATGAGCTGCTAGAATTTTCATAAGCAATATAAAACCAAAGGGCACTATTCAACAATGGCTGGATCAAGAAATTAAGCTTATTATTTGGAAGGTTAATAGAATATCATGCCAAAACTCAATTAACATCAACATTAAAATTCAACAAAGGAGGTTAAAAGAGTCAACACCTGCCATACACAGATGAGAGATTTGGTCCTGCAACCAATCCAGTAAGCCACTTTGAAAGTTAAGCAAAAAATGTCTCTAGTTAAAGAACACTAAAAGGCAAAAGGCTATATAAAGAATTACAACAAAAAACGAAACAACTCAATTCAAAAATGGGCAAAGGGCCAGGTGCAGTGGCTCGTGCCTGTAATCCCAGCACTTTGGGAGGCCAAGGCAAGTGGATCACTTGAGGTCAGGAGTTAGAGACCAGCCTGGCCAACATGGTGAAACTCCATCTCCACAAAAAAATACAAAAATTAGCTGGACGTGGTGGTACACATCTGTAATCCTAGCTACTTGGGAGGCTGAGGCATGAGAATCACTTGAACCTGGGAGGCAAAGGTTGCAGTTCACGCCATCACACGCCAGCCTGGGAGTGAGAATGTCTCAAGAAAAAAAAAAAAAAAGGGCAAAAGACTTAATAGTCATTTATCCAAAGAAGATATACAAATAGCCAAAAAGTACATGAAAAGATGCTCAACGTCACTCATCATTAGAGAAATATAAATCAAAACCATAATGAGATGCCACTACATACCCATTAGAATGGCTATTAAAAAAACAAAAACTGAAAACGAGAAAGTGTTGGAGAGGATGTAGAGAAACTGCACCCATTATGCACTGCTGGTGGAAATATAAAATGATACAGCCACTGTGGAAAACAATATGGCAATTTCTCAAAAAAAGTAAACATAGAATTACCATATGATCCAGTAATTTCACTTTTGGGTATACACCCAGATGAATCTGAAAGCAGGAACAACAGATATTTGTACACCCATGCTCATAGCACCATTATTCACAATAGGTAAAATGTGGAAGCAACCCAACTGCCCACCAATGAATGGATAAACAGATAAAATGTGGTATATACATATAATGAAATACATTCATCCTTAAAAAGGAATAAAATTCTGATACATACTACACTACAGATGAACTGTGAAGACATAAGTGACATAAGCCAGACATAAAAAGATAAATATTGGGTTGGGTGTGGTGGCTCACACCTGTAATCCCAGCACTTTGGGAGGCCGAGGTAGGCGGATCATGAGGTCAAGAGATCAAGACCATCCTGGCCAACGTGGTGAAACCCCGTTTACTAAAAATACAAAAATTAGCTGGTGTGGTGGCGCGTGCCTGTAGTCTCAGCTACTTGGGAGGCTGAGGCAGAAGAACTGCTTGAACCCAGGAGGCAGAGGTTTTAGTGAGCCGAGATCACGCCACCGTACACGCCTGGCGACAGAGCGAAACTCCGTCTCAAAAAAAAAATAAAAAGATATTGTATGATTCCACTTATATGAAATCAAATTATAGTCAAAATCATAGAAAGTAGAACAGAGGGATTGTGGGGGAGTGGTAAATGTAGTGTTGTTGCTTCATGGGGACAGAGTTTCAATATGGGATGATGAAAAAGTTCTCAAGATGGATAGTGGTGATAGTTGCCCAACAATTTATTATTTCTCCATGGTTCTTTTGGTTTTGAACTGACTTATGTTTTGTTGTCTTTGATGCTTAAGTTTTGATGATTTCATGGCTTTATTAGCCAGTGTATTTCTGCAAATAAGATGCTGTAGTTTATGTATTATGTATTTCATCATCAATTATGGCTACAAAACCAAATTCAATATGAGAGGGGGTCATGTTTCTGAGCAAAACTAATACAAACTCTATTGTATTCATTTTACTGTTCTTCTTCTTTTTTTTTACATTGCTCCTTGTGGAGCAGGACTACCCCATAGGCAACGTGCCCAGAGTAGCCTGTTCTTCATTCTTTAAGTTACTTCCATTGTCACATCTGGTTAACTACTACTGCTGCCACCTTCAGAATAGGTATGCCTTTTCTTGAAAAAAATAGTTCAGGATGCTTATCTCACCATTAGAAAATGAGGATTAAAATAAAAGTTTACTTTTCTAATTTAGCTGATAATTTTAAATAATAAACCCAGGCTTGTTTGAAAAATTAAAATAACTGTAAAAATGTTATAAAAATAAATGTCAAAAATCCCTATTTTGGCCAAGCACAGTGGCTCAAGTCTATAATCCTAGCACTTTAGGAGGCCGAGGCAGGCAGATCGCCTGAGCCCAGCATTTCAAGACCAGGCTGGGCAACATAGTGAGACCTCATCTCTACAAAAAATGTAAAAATTAGTCAGGTGTGGTGATATATGCCAGCTACTCAGGAGGCTGAGGCAGGAGGATTGCTTGTGCCTAGGAGGTCAAGGCTGTAGTGAGCCATGACTGCGCCACTGCACTCCAGCCTGGGAGACAGAGCAAGACGCTGTCTCAAAAAAAAAAAAAAAAAAAAAAAACACCTATTTTTTCTTCATAGATTTTCTATATGCTTCTGGGTTACATTTGACAAATTAACCTTAATAAAAATTAACTCAAAGCAAAGACCTAAATGTAAGAGCTAAACCTATCAAACTCTTAGAAGAAAACGTAGGTGTTAAGTCTTTGTGACCTTGGATTAGGCAAAGATGTTTTAGATATATGACACAAAAGCATAAGTAACACAAGAAAAAAATAAGTTAATTAAACATCAAAATTAAAAACATTTGTGCCTCAAAAGACACCATTAAGAATGAAAGGTCAATTCACAGATTGGAGAAAAACTCTGCAAATCATGTATTTAATAAGGGATTTCCATCTAGAATATACAAGGAATGCAAATCAAAATGCTTTGAGTTAATTTTTATTAATGAGGTACCATTTCACAAGAAGTGTTAGCAAAAACGTGGAGAAACTGGAATACTCATACATTGTTTATGGGAATGTAAAACGGTACAGCCACTTTGGAAAACAGTCTAGCCATACTCAAAAGGGCTAAACAAAGAGTAACTGTATGACCCAGCAATTCCACTCCTTAGTCTGAGCTTAGTCTATAAAAGATGGCTAGGAATACACCACAGGAGCCCACAACATGAGGAAGAAAGCTTTCCTTTTCTTCTTATGTAGTCCTGTCCCATCGTCTAGTGACTTACAGCCTACAAGTTGAGAGTTACCTGGCTACAGTGTTTAACTTCTTCCTGAGTTTTTAAATGCAAATTTTCATTGACGTACATAACACATAAAGAAAAGTACGCAAACCAACTGTGTTAAGTGTCTCCTTCTAGTTACAGTTCCACCCAAACCCAACACCTCAAGAATATCTGTTACCATGACTTCTATTATAGTTTTCCCTATTTTGAACTTTAAATTAAAATCATATAGTATGTACCCTTTTGTATCTGACAACACTATTTGAGAGATTCATTCACACTTTTCATGTGACTGTATTTCATTCATTTCATTGTATGAATACATTGCAATTCATTCATCCATTCTGCAGATGGGCATTTGGTTTGTTTCTAGTTGAAGGCTAATAGTGTTTCTATAAACTTTCTTGTACATGTTTTTGGTGAATGTGTGCACAAATTTCTGTTGAGCATACACAAGGAACAGAATTGATGAGTTACGGGTATGTGTACATTCAACTTCAGCAGACACTGCTAACTCCCAAAATGACTGTACCAGTTTTTCCTGCCACCAGCAGTGTATGAGCATTCTAGATGCTTCATATCCTTGCCAAACTTAGCACTGTCTATCCTTTTCATTGTAGCCATTCTGATGGATGTAAAGTGGTATTGCACTGTGGTTTTCATTTGCATTTTTCTAATGATTAATGCTGATAAGCACTTTTTCATGTTTACTGGCCCGTTTGTATTTTTTGCTAGAATAAAAAAATTCTGTTCATTTTTATATGCCCTTATATCCAGCAACCTTGCTAAATTCATTTTTCTCATAAATTGTCTGTAGATTCTTTTGTTTTTTCTTGGTATACAATCACATCATCTGCAAATAGTGCCATTTTATTTCTTCATTTACAATTCTTTTATTAAGGCTTTCCATTTTGTTTCTTGGCTTACTGCACTAGCAAGAATTTCCACTACAATACTGAATAGAGGTGGTGATTAACTAGGGATTCTCCTTGTTTCTTATGCCAAGTTGAAAGCTTTTTATTCACTACTAAATGTAATGTTTGCTGTCAGATTTGTGTGTGTGTGTGTGTGTGTGTGTGTGTGTGTTTTAGCCAGAGTCTCACTCTGTCACCCAGGCTGCAGTACAGTGGTGTGATCTCTGCTCACTGCAGCCTCTGCCTCCAGGTTCAGGCAATTCTCCTGCCTCAGCCTCCTGAGTAGCTGGGACTACAGGTGCATCCTGCCACGCCCAGCTAATGTTTTGTATTTTTAGTAGAGACTGGGTTTCACCATGTTGCCCAGGCTGGTGTCGAACTCCTGAGCTCAGGCGATCCACCCAACTTAGCCTCCCAAAGTGTTGGGATTACAGGCATGAGCCACTGCGCCTGGCGTGTGTGTGTGTGTGTGTGTGTATGCGTGCGTGCATGTGTGTGTGTTTTAAAGACATTCTTCTCGGCCGGGTGCGGTGGTTCATGCCTGTAATCCCAGCACTTTGGGAGGCCGAGGTGGGTGGATCACTTGAGGTCAGGAGTTCAAGACCAGCCTGGCCAACATGGTGAAATCCAGTCTCTACTAAAAATAGAAAAAAAAAAAAAAAATTAGCCGGGCATGATGGCAGGTGCCTGTAATCCCAGCTACTCCGAAGGCTGAGGCAGGAGAATCGCTTAAACTCAGGAGGCAGTGGTTGCAGTGGGCTGAGATTGTGCCACTGCACTCCAGCCTGGACGACAGAGCAAGACCCTGCCTCAAAAAAAAAAGAAAAGAAAAAGAAAATGACATTCTTCTCATTCTGTCACCCAGGCTGGAGTGCAGGGGCCTGATCTTGGCTCATTGCAGCCTTGACCTCCTATACTCAGCGATCCTCCTGCCTCAGCTTCCCAAATAGCTGGGACTACAGGAGTATACCACCATGCCTGGCTAAGTTTTGTATTTTTTCTAGAGATGGTGTTTTGCCATGTTGCTCAGGCTAGTCTCGAATTCTTGGGCGCAAGAGAATCGCCTGGGTTGGCCTCCCAAAGTGCTGGGATGCCAGGCGTGAGCCACCGTGCCTGGCCTGCTGTTGGTTTTTGCCAATTGTCTTTAACATACTAAGTTCCCTTCTATTACTAGTTTGCCACTTACCATAATGAGTAGAGTTTAATCAAGTCATGTGCTTTTTTCTGTACCAACTGATCATAACATTTTTCTCCTTTATTTTGTACAAAATCCTAGATTCTCAGCCTCCTGCCCACAAACAGCAAACTACCCCATATCTAAAAGCTACTGTGGAAGTCCCTCAACTTTCTGAGGTTCTTCCTGATCTAGTTTTAGCCCCTCTAGTTCTCCTGCCTCAGTAGATTTCTGGTATCTTCAAATAACACAATCCCAGCTATTCTCTGCAGCAACACTAGACTGCTGCCAAGTTATTTCATTAAAATAAAAATTCTGTTTTCATGTTTTAATATCTTGAAGAACTGTTTTTAGCAATCTTTTCTTTTCTTTTTTTTTTTTTTTTTTGAGATGGAGTCTCACTCTGTCGTCAGGCTGGAGTGCAGTGGTGCAATCTCAGCTCACTGCAACCTCTGCCTCCCAGGTTCAAGCGATTCTCCTGCCTCAGCCTCCCGAGTAGTTACAGGCACGCGCCACCATGCCCAGCTATATTTTGTATTCTTAGTAGAGACAGGGTTTCACCATGTGGGCCAGGATGGTCTCGAACTGATCCGCCTGCCTCAGCCTCCCAAAGTGCTGGGATTACAGGCCTGAGCCAACACGCCCGGCTGGCAATCATGTTTTAAACTTCATAGAATGTTTTTCTTCTTTGCTTCTTTTCCATAGGATCTTCTTTTTCTTTCATGAATATTATCTCTTCTCAGGAACCTTCAGACCTCTCAAAGGGTGATAATTACAACTTTATTTTATTGTTCTTTTTTATCTTACATCCTCTTGGGTCATAACTTTTGTTTATTCATCTTGTTCCTTTTCTTTCATCATAGTTTTCCAAAAATGTCCTGTTCTTTCATGTTCACGAATGTTGGATTCAAGTTTTCAATATATAGAGTTTACATGAGCTTCTTGTATGCACGCTTGTTTTCCTAAGAAGGTTCCCCCACTTGTGGAGGGCTAACCACAACTTCTCTGGATGTGAGTGGGCCATGCTGGCAACAAGCTTAACTTCAGGTTGTATTTGCTGCTAAGCAGACAAGCAGGCAGCCAGTCTGGTCTCTCTCTCTTCCCACAAATACAAATGCCAGTATGAGGAAAACCTGTTCTGGGGCATACTAAAATTCTTAAACCAGCTGAAGCAGGCAGTTGTTTCCCTGGGATCAGTTCTCCAAGTTTCAGCCCTAGGGGAGAAATGTTTTTGGGGCAACTGCTCTGTGTATGGAGGTGGGATAAGAGGTACAAGGGGATTTGAAGGGTTGGGATGGTTCAGCTGGCCCAGCTGCTAAAAGTCTTTATTCAATCGCCCTCCTTACTTCCTCCAACAATTCATTCTTGCTTTCTACGCAGGTCAACTTTAAGCCTGGAGCCTCTCTGTGACAATGTAGGGTACAATGGCTACCATTTCTGATGCTGACTTCTTCCACGCAATATGCGATGTAGATTTCTCTACTTTCACTTTTCATTATAATAACACTAGCTTTCATTTTCTAGTTGGAAAATCTATACCCCTATCATTTTTTACAGCACTTTTACAGATTTACTTTAATAATAATAATAATAATTATTATTATTATTATTGAGACAGAGTCTCCCTCGGTCACCGGGGCTGGAGTGCAGTGGCACGAACTTGGCTCACTGCAACCTCTGCCTCCTGGGTTCAAGCAATTCTTGCGCCTCAGCCTCCCGAATAGCTGGGATTACAGGCATGTGCCACCACGCTTGACTAATTTTTGTATTTTCAGTAGAGACAGGGTTTCACCAGGTTGGCCAGGCTGGTCTTGAACTCCTGACCTCAAGTGATATGGCCACCCTGGCCTCCCAAAGTACTGGGATTACAGGCGTGAGCCACCATGCCCAGCCCCTTTAATTATTTTTTATACTAAAATTTCAATAAGATCTTAGCAGTGAGCATGAGGGAGGTAGGGAGTAAACATGAGACGGAGTCCCGCTGTGTTGACCAGGCTGGAGTCTCACCCTGTTGCCCAAAATGGAGTGCAGTGGTGTGATCTTGGCTCACTGCAGCCTCTGCCTCCCGGGTTCAAGCGATTCTCTTGCCTCAGCCTCCTGAGTAGCTGGGATTACAGGCACCCACCACCATGCCCAACTAATTTTTGTATTTTTAGTAGAGACAAGTTTCACCATAAAAAACCTCAGCCTCTCAAAGTGCTGAGATTACAGGTGTGAGCCACCGTGCCCAGTCTGTGGTTTTATTTTCTTATTTAGGTTTTAGCTTCTTAATTTAGTTCCTTTGATAAAGAATGCTTCCTCCTGGTTTCTTTGTTTGGTTTATGAACTTATAGAGTGTTTACATCCTGTGGCCAAATTTTGACGTTATTTGGAAAGAGAGGGTCTTGGTGTTTGAAAGAGCTCAGGTTCTAAAAAAATGTATAAACCTTATATATTTAAGATTTAAATAGAGAGCTTCCAATTTAAGATGGACTGGGCTGGGCACGGTGGCTCATGCCTGTAATCCCAATTCTTTGGGAGGCTGAGGCGGGCAGATTGCAAGGTCAGGAGATCAAAACCATCCTGGGCTAACACGGTGAAACCCCGTCTCTACTGAAAATACAAAAAATTAGCCGGGCATGGTGGCACACGCCTGTAATCCCAGCTACTTGGGAGGCTGAAGCAGGAGAATCACTTGAGCCCAGGAAGCGTAAGTTGCAGCGAGCCGAGATCACACCACTGCACTCCAGCCTGGGCAACAGGGTGAGACTCCATCTCAAAAAACAAACAAACAAACAAACCCCACTAATATACTATGGTTTGAAAAGCATGTTACATTTTATTGATTATTTCCTTTGAAGTTTCAAAAGAATTACACCCAAATAATAAAAAAGTATTTTTCTTTCTTTCCAGGCACGTAACTAGAATCTACAAACCATCTTTTGACATTTTCCCAATAAATTTTTTTATGGTTTACAAAAGTAATATACAACTTAAATGTATAGTATTGTATCTCAAGTATAAATTGCAATAAATGTATTTCATTTTAATAAGGAGTTATATAAAATATATAGTAAAAGTTTCACTTCTTGTTAAAAAGAGAGTCAACCAGAACATTTAAATCAACAAAATATTTCAGTCTTGTTTATAAAATTAACCCTTGACCTAATTAGCAAAAAAGTAAAAAATAAAAAAAAGGCCAGGTGTGGTGGCTCATGCCTATAATCTCAGCACTTTGGGAGGCCAAGGTGGGTGGATCACTTGAGGTGAGGAGTTAAAGACCAGCCTGGCCACATGGTGAAACCCCATCTCTACTACAAATACAAAAATTAGCGGGCACACGCCTGTAGTCCCAGCTACTTGGGAGGCTGAGGCAGGAGAATCACTTGAGCCTGGGAGGCAGAGGATGCAGTGAGCCAAGATTGCGCTACTGCACTCCAGCCTGGGCAACAGAGTGACACCCTGTCTTAAAAACAAAAGAGGCTGGGCGTGGTGGATCATGCCTGTAATCCCAGCAATTTGGGAGGCCAAGGCAGGAGGATCACTTGAGGTCAGCAGTTTGAGACTAGCCTGGCCAACATGGTGAAACCCTGTTTCTACACAAAGACAAAAACCTGCTGGGCATGGTGGTGCATGTCTGTAATCCCAGCTACTCTGGAGGCTAAGACAGGAGAATCGCTTGAACCCAGAAGGTGGAGGTTGCAGTGAGCTGAGATCAAGCCATTGCACTCCAGCTTGGGAGACAGAGGAAGACTCCATCTCAAAAAAAAAAAAAAAGAAAGAAAAGAAAGAAAGAAAGAAGGAAGGAAGGAAGGAAAGAAAGAAAGAAGAAAAAAAAAGCATAAAGAAAAAAATGAAACACCACTGTGCTAAATCTTATTTAGAACAAGGAATAAAGAAAAATACATGTAGCAATCTTCGTGGTTTGACAGACGGGTGGTGGGGATACATTACAGAAAAGTTATATTCAAAACTTTTTAAAAAATGATAAAAAAAAAATGCTAGGAAAAAAAGCCACTGAACCAAATGTAGAAAGAGAAAGTTGAACCAATGGCTACACTATAAATTTAACCTAACACTTTTATGTGTTCTCACTTATAGATCTTTAGAATTCTTACTTACAAAGGAGAATAAAGAGAATCTTGGTTTTTGTACTGTTTGCAGTGCAGAGGTGCCACCAATCATAACTGACAAATAGTTCCATTTTAAGGCCTTAAACATTGCTAAATACCTCTGCAAGAACTTGTTCTGTTGCCCTTTCGAAGGATAAACACCAGTAAAGACCAGTTTGAGTTGGAAAGAGGACTTTCTGTTAGAGAGTAAAGAACATTTCATTTCTATGATACAGCAGCTCCTCAGAAGTGATTGTATCTGTTGAAAACGATTAGCACCAAGAAGCAAACAACAAAAGCCACCAAGGAACTGAAACAGCACTAGTGTCAGGGCAAGAAAACACACATCCTTTATACATATTCCCATGGTTCTCACTCAGAACCTAGTCACTTTCATTTTAGACTGAATTCTAACATATTTGGCCATCTAATTTCTCAGGGCACAGCAAATCAGAGATAGCAAATTAGAAAATGTAGGAGTTTCTGACATGGCAGGCATTTATTTTTTACTTAACAGACTACAAGTGATTCTGATGCACAGCCAGAATGGAGAAGCCACTGTCCTAATATTCTAAGATAACATGAACTTTCCTTATGCCCAACATATTGCTTAAGAAAGAAGCAAGTTTGTTATGATTTATAAATGTTTTAAGAAAAACTTAGCCGGGTGTGGTGGCTCATGCCTGTAATCCCAGCACTTTGGGAGGCTGAGGCAGGAGAATTGCTTGAACCCGGGAGGCAGAGGTTGCAGTGAGCCAAGATAACGCCACTGCACTCCAGCCTGGGTGACAGAGCAAGACTTCATCTCAAAAAAAAGAAAAAAGAAAAAATTGTTAAACTTTGGGCATGTTAGGGTAATGTGGAGTATTCACTTTGATAGAACTCTTCATTTACCAGATGGAAAGAGAGGAGAGACTAAAGGACATACTACCAATAGTCAATCTGCTCACAGGGTAATTTCTACTGAAACCATACAGATACTATGAGTGAACTGGGGCACTCAATGCAGAATGAAATAATGGCAAGAACTGAAAGAAGTTAAAGTTACATGAAGAAAAACATCGCATTAAACCAGAGCAGTGGCAATGCCAACAGCCTCTCTATATAGCCAAATCTTCCAAACAAAATAGTTAGACTTATACTCACCTTTCTGAAAAATCAGAGTCTATAAATTTTCTAGCCCGTTTTCTATCACTAAAAAGGAAAAAAGATAGCATAAAAACAATACATACTTAAATACAATTTAATTTCATTAATACTTTATTATAACTTGTCTAAAATTATACACTGAATATATTCAAAGACTAAAACTAGCAAATACAAAAGATAGGTACATAAAATAAATCTTAATTTTATCATGTGAACAAGGTATCACAACTTAATAATCATAAGTTGAAAAGAGCTCAATGACTAGCTAGAGAGGAAAACACTGCAGACTTGCAAACAAGATAGAGAAAAATTTTCTTCACTCTGCGAAATACTGACTATAAAAACACCAGACAATCCTGCCACCTCCAATATAAAGCACAAATGGGGCTGAAAACATCCAGACCCTGGTCATTTCCAAAGTGGGCCAGCACTGCTGGCACAGGCTTGGCTTTCACGTTATAATCTTTCAAGGCTATAGAGAAATCCAGGGTAACCTTTGATCTACATAAGAATGTTCATAAGGATTGAATAACACCCATAGGATTCCAGGTAATTCTGTCATTTCAGCTCATTTGATAATGGAAAAGTATGCATATACAAAACTCTTCTGTCTTTAATGTATTTGTGTTTGTACATGTGTGTAGGCATGTATTTATGTATATTAATATGTATGCATATTAAAGCACTTTGCCAGGATTATTAATTCACTTAATATCCTTGAAGCAAGGAGATTCTTACTTAACTAAGACTTACCATCTGCTTGCTCAAACTCACATATGACAGAATCACCAATGCAGTATTCCACCATGTAAATAACTTCTAAAGTAACAAAACGTCTAAGGTAACAAAATGAGGTTTTGAGTAATTTATCTTACTTATTTTTCTTTTATGGAAGTATGAGGTACTAAAATGATAAAGAGTGGAGAAAGGTATAAGTATTTTACATGCAAAGATGAAACATATAGAAGTTTGTACTAAAAGTGACAAATTAGTAACAGAAGGGATATTGATTCAATTGTTCAGCGTTTAAAAAGAAGAGGAAATTTAATAAAAAATTTATCTGGCCTCTTTTCCTACCCTTTTCTGGTCTTTATGGAAGTAATTCATAGGGGAAATTCTGAGTATAGCCAACACTTAATATTTAACTCCTTTTCTGTGTGAGTTAAAAATATATAAAAATATAGTTTTTATATCTCCAAAGCAGTTAAATATTATAATAATAAAAGTAGTCCTATTCCAGAGTTTAAAAAGTCACAGGGTTTAGTTATGAGTTATTGCACTGTTTTTTTCTGTTTAAAAATAGTTATTCCAGAGATTATTTATATCTAAGATATAAAGTGAAATAAAATAGGTGATTTTAAAGGAAAAACATTTGTTTTTAAGAACTAAACTAAAACAAGAACAGAAGACAAGATAGTAAGAAAAAAATGTCTAAACTTTTTTTAAGGTTTTAAAAATAGTAACTTGCAACACTCTTACCCAGGGACCCAGCCAGTAGCTTCTGCTATGTGTGTCTGAGTAACCATTGCTGGTGCAGGGGTATATGGACTCCCAATCAGAACACTTCCTGAACTGGTTAGTCTCTGTGGTGTGCTTATAATCTGTAAAGTTAGGAACAAAGAATATAATATTCTTAATTATTAAGAAAAGCCTACAGGCAGAAAATAACATTGATTGCTAACCTACATATGAGGAAACCTTGCTGCCTAAAAGGCACTTAATGTCAGTCATCTAAAAATATAAGCAATGCCTTTGATTTACTTATATCCTAGGATCTTAAAGCACAAGTATCCTGAATACTGACATGAGGTCACAATGCAGGTTTCAGCAAATAAATGGCAATTTGGAAGGATTAAGTAGAGAACTGATAATGCTTTAAAAATCAGAAAAATGAAAAGCTTTCTTTGAAACTGAGGAAATGAATTGCAGTACAGCTTGATTTACTAGAACCAGGGCAACAGCAAATCACACTTCCACAGTCCATCATACAGTATACACAAAGATACTATCCAGCTTGGATTATTATATAGATGCAATTTTATCCTTTTTTAAAAGAGTATTGGACCAGGAGCGGTGGCTCGTGCCTGTAAACCCAGCATTTGGGAGGCCGAGGTGGGAGGATCACCTGAGGTCACGAGTTCAAGACCAGCCTGGCCAACATGGTGAAAACCTATCTCTATTAAAAATATAAAATTAGCCAGGTATGGTGCTGTGCGCCTGTAATCCCAGCTACATGGGAGGCTGAGGCAGGAGAATCGCTTGAACCTGGAAGGTGGAAGTTGCAGTGAGTTGAGATCACGCCACTGCACTCCAGCCTGGGCAAAAAGAGCAAAACTCCATTTCAAAAAAAAAAAAAAAAAAAAAAAAGAGTATTCATGTTATTAAATACTCTTTGAAGATAGTTTAAAGACCATAAAACATTCTACCATGTGGATTTATTATTCTCTATTAGATATATATGCATTTTTAATTATTCACTATTATAAAGAATGCTGTGATAAACATTTTTGTACAAAGACCTTGCCCTTAATTTCTATTTCCTAAGGCTAGACTCCAGAAAGGGGATTAATGGAACCCCTAAAGACTTTTTTAGAAAGGTACCTTATATGTGTTACCAGGTCTTAAAATTTTCACTGGTTACAAAACAAAACATGTTTTTCCCAAAGACATTTATAATAATTAATACAAAAAAACTAGCAGCCTAGTAATAGCTTTAGAAGTATTTTCATGTAAAAAAAGGGGAAGAGGCATGCTCCGGTGAATGGGGATATTAATGAAACATGATTGGCCCCTATGTGGATAATTGTTGAAGCAACTGCTGGGTATATAGTTCTATTTTTGTAAAGTTTTGAAAGTGTTCATGATAGTAAGTTTTAAGTCCCAACTGAGAATGAAAAATATCTACAGGGACTACAAGTAATTGTTAATAAGTCCTCAAACAAGAGAAATAGTTCTATTTCTACTGCCTTATGCAAGACAAAATGCTAATTAATTTTTATCTCCCTGACCAAATGAAACATGTTTCTGCAGCCAGGGTGAATCATTAAGTTCATTGCTAACTTGCTCCATACATAACTGAAGGGAAGGATTAATAAGCATTTCAAGCTCTTTATTTGCATTTGAAGGAAAGAGTCAAACAATAACCTCTGAAGCATAAAAATAGTTCAGACCTAGTTATTAAAGTCTAGTCAACATTTATTCATTTACCAAGTATTTAAGACCTTAGTTAGAGTCTGTTTATGTTTGACTATGTTAGCTTGGGGCTAGGAAGATGTTAGCACCTAGAAATGTTTATGAAATAGTTTCAATCCGTTCATTCCATAGTTTAAAAAAATAAAAACAAAAGTTAATAATACTGACAGATGTCTGGAGAGTTCTGATTATGTACAATACACCAAGGGTATTAAATAAGGCACTCAGAAGTTTGCCTCATGAGAAAACATAAAAACAGACAATGTGTCTGTACCTCTCATCAAATTCTGCCTTGCATTCCAAGTATGCTTGCACTTCCCACTCCACACATCTGGTCCCACATCCCCACTTTCAGTGCATCCCCCATTTCAGTGCAGGATCTTTAGGGGTGGCGAGTACCTTGCTAAACTATGTCCTTTGCAGGGTTTAACACAGTGGTAGGGGATGCTCATAGGAAAGGTACAATAAATATTTACTAACTGGGATAAAATACTCAATTTTTAAAATAATAGGGGAAAAAGTAACTTCATTTATTGATATGCTAAAAGGTTTATATAAAATCCACTAAAAAAATACAGCATAGTTTCCACCAATCACTACATCACATTCTCTATCATGCTGACCTTGGATGGACAACTTATAAAGAAAAATGTGAGTTATTTGATTAGCCTCTGGTCAACCCTATTCCTTGAACAGCAGTGTCTACAAAGCTATTCTAAGCATTCCAATTTACCCTTGAAACAGATTGTATTACTACTGCAGTATTTCTATATGGTATTAGCAGCCTACATGCTTGGTTTTGCTGATTTACAGGACTTTGTAGAAAAAAAAAAGGAGCTGGGCATGGTGGCTCATGCCTGTAATCCTAGCACTTTGAGAGGCAAAGGCAGGCGGATCATTTGAGGCCAGGAGTTCAAGATCAGCCTGGCCAATATGGTGAAACCCTAACTCTCCTAAAAATACAAAAATTAGCTGGGCGTGGGGGTGGGCACCTATAATCTCAGCTACCTGGAAGGCTGAGGCAGGACAATCACTTGAACCCAGGAGGCAGAGGTTACAGTAAGCAGAGATCATGCCACTGCACTCCAGCCTGGGCGACAGAGTGAGACTCCATCTCAAAAAAAAAAAAAAAAAAAAAGAGAAAGAAAGGAAAAAAAGAGAGAAGGAAGGGAAAGAGGACATAGAGAAAAACTGGCTATCTTTATGAAAATGACTTTGAAAGTGAATTCTAGTTTACATTTTCTTTTTTTCCCTCCCTCATTGTCAGATTGTTAGCTGCGGCTGATCGGAGAGTGATTAGCAACACTCTGCTCCTTTCTCTTAGCACAGGGCCTGGTACATAGCAATTCCTTAATAAACATTTCCTACATGAACAAATTAGAGAGATGACGCACCTGAATAGGAAAGATAAGGCCTAAGAGTATGTGAGATACAGTAAGTTCCTAAACTAGGATAATGAGAGTGAAACGTAAGAAATAAAACAGAAGGAAAGTCGGTAAGACTTGAACAGCCACAGAATATAAGAAAATTGGTTTATAGGGTGATGAGCCGGTCATGCTTTCTAACCCTGAACCTTAATTTTGAAATCCCAGGCCAGGCACAGTGGCTCACTCCTATAATCCCCGCACTTTGGGAGCCTAAGGCAGGTGAGGTAGGCTCCCATTTGAGGTAGGGAGTTCGAGACCAGCCTGGCCAACATGGTGAAACCCCATATCTACCAAAAATACAAAAAAAATCAGCTGGGTGTTGTGGTGCACGCCGGTAATCCCAGCTACTCAGGAGGCTGAGGCAGAAGAATCACTTGAACCTGGGAAGCGGAGGCTGCAGTGAGCTGAGATCGTGCCACTACACTCTCCAGCCTAGGTGACAGAGCGAGACTCTGTCAAAAAAGAAAAAAAATTTGAAGTACTGAAGTTGGAGGTAAAAATATACTTTTAATATTCACTTGATATGCTAAGGAAAATGGAGTTTTAAATTTCAGAGTCCTCCTACCAAAAATCCAGACATCCTTAACTTAAATGTTATCATGTGGTTTCTCTGACAATAGAATTAGTTACTCTGGGAAAATCACATAGCAATTGAACATTACTCTGAACATTTTCCTGCCCTCAATCAACATATTTTATGTGCTACTGCCATCTACAGTTAAAAAAAGCCAAGACAGCATATGTATTCTAAAGGGAAAAAAAATTACAAAATTATAAAGTGGTATATTAAGAGATTTCACTATTTGATGGAATTTTGGTTTTCACTATAAGAAGCATGCAGTTTTTACTCTTCTAAAATAAGACAGCCATTAGATTATCTTATACAGTTGACCCTTGAACAACATGGGCTTGAACTGGGCAGGTCCACTTATACATGGATTTTCTTCCACTTCTGCCACCCTTGAGACAGCCAGACCAACTCCTCCCTCTTTCTCCTCCGCAGCCTGCTCAACGTGAAGACGTCGAGGATGAAGACTTTTATGATAATCCACTTCCATTTAATGAATTATAAATGTATTTTCCTAATGATTTTCTTTGTAATATTTTTCCCTAGGTTACTTTATTGTAAGAATACAGTATACAATACATATTAACATATGAAATAACATTAATATAACATAAAATGTGTTATTTGATTATTTATGTTATAGTAAGGCTTCTAGTCAATAATAAGGTATTAATAGTTACATTTTGGGGGAGTCAAAAGCTACCCATGGATTTGTGACTGCACAGGGGCTGTGCCCTTATCCCTTGCATTGGTCAAAGGTCAACTGTATAAATAATCTTAAGATCTATAACATATAACCATAAGACAGCCTGTAAGAAAAGGGCAAGTATCTCAAACTAAAATAGGTACTGCTAAACTAGTTTCCATAACCACACAAAACTTTTCATGGGGCCTTTTGAAATTTCTATCTACCATTAAGATTTGGCTTCCAAAAGACATGTAAAGTTCAAAGGGCAAGCACAAAAAGAAGGCTAAGAAGCAAATGGGTGAGTTTGTAATGCAAGAATTCCTTTTTTTTTTTTTTTTGAGACGGAGTCTGGCTCTGTTGCCTAGGCTGGAGTGCAGTGGCGTGATCTCAGCTCACTGCAAGCTCCGCCTCCCGGGTTCATGCCATTCTCCTGCCTCAGCCTCCTGAGTAGCTGGGACTACAGGCGCCTGCCACCACGCCCGGCTAATTTTTTGTACTTTTAGTAGAGACGGGGTTTCACCTTGTTAGCCAGGATGGTCTCGATCTCCTGACCTCGTGATCTGCCTGCCTGAGCCTCCCAAAGTGCTGGGATTACAGGCGTGAGCCACCACGCCCAGCCTAATCCAAGAATTCTTTAACTAAACAAAAACTTTTTTAAAAATCATGGATGAGGGAGTTAGAGGAGAAGCGATAAATGGCTGTAACTGGGTGTCTTAGTCCATTCAGGCTACCATAACAAACCACCTTAGACTGGGTAATTAATTAATTTTCTTTAAAGTCTTCTGCAAGGAGTACAAAACTGGGTAATTTACAAACCACAGAAATTTATTGCTCACTGTTCTGGAGGTTGCTGAGAGGTCCAAAATGAAAGTGCCGGCAGATTCAGTGCCTGGTGAGGGTTTATTCTCTGCTTCAAAGATGATGCCTTCTGGTTGCATCCTAATAGCAGAAAGGGTCCAGGGTGCTCCCTTCAACCTCTTTTATAAGGGCACTAATTCCACTCATAAGGGTGAAGCCCTCATGACTTCATCACTTCCCAAAAGGCCCCGCCTCTTAATACCACCACAGTAGGGATTAGGTTTCAACATGAATTTTTGGAGGAACCCATTCAAACCACAGCATCCAGTTCCTGGCCCTCTAAAATTCATGTCTATTTCACAGGCAAAATACATTCATTTCATTCCAATAGTCTCACAAGTCTTAACTCCTTCCCAAAATCAGATATGGGTAAGACTCAAAGGTGCAATTCATCCTGAGGCAAATTCCCCTCCAGCTGTGAGTCTGTGAAATCCAACCTGTTTCCAAAATGCAATGATGGGACAGGCACAGAACATGCATTCCCATTCCAAAAGGGAGAAAATAGAAAAGAAGAAAGGGATAATAGGTCCCAACCAATACAAAACCCAACAGGGCAAACATTAACTTTTAAGGCTTCAGAATAATCTTCGACTTGATATCCTGCCTTCTGGACACACTGGAGCAGGAGTTGGGCCCCCAGGGTACCAGGGGCCCCCACCCCCATGACTTTATTGGGGGCAGCCCATGCTGCAGTTCTCCTGGGTTAGAGTTTGAGTCTTCTGCATGTGGCTCTCCCAGGCTGGAGTTGCATGCTGGAAGCTCTACTAGACTAGGGCCTCAGGGAGCAACCCCGCGCACCTCAGCTCCACCAAGCTTTGCCCTGGTGAGGGTTCCCAATGGTGGCCTCACCTCTGTAGCAATTCTCTGCCAGGATCTGCTAAGGCTCTCCAGGGCATCTTTTGAAATCTAGGTGGAAGTTATCATACCCCGCAGCTTGTACACTCTGCACCCACTGGAGATGGCATCACTCAGACACTGCCAAGGTTCACCACCTGTGCCCTCTAGAGGAGCAGCCACTATACTTGGGCCTACTGGAGCCACACCTGGAATGGCTAAGGAGCACTGTGCCAAAATTCGGGGAGCAGACTTGACACAGTGCCAGGAAGGGATTGCCAGGGTTTCATTAGCGCCTGAAGCCCCTCTTTTGATAGTTCTGTCCCCCATGCCTTGGCACTCTGGGCCTGTGATGGGAGGAGCAGCACCGGTAATCACTGAAATGCTATGGGTTTATTCTTCCATTGTTTTGATGAACAACACCAAGCTTCCACCCATGCACGCTAATCTCCTTATCAAAAGGTGACTAGGCCACTCTTTTGGTGTTCTCTCCAAAACATGCTTTTTTATTCTTTACATGGCCAAGCTGAGAATTTCCCAAATCTTCACTTCTGATGATAAATTATATCTTTAATTCATTTCTCTCTTCTCACATTTTACTATAAACAGCCAAGAGAAGCCATGTTGATCCCTAAACACTTTGCTTAGAGATTTCTTTGACCAAATATCCAATTTCACGGCTCCTAAGTTCCTCCTTCCACAAAACATTAAAACAGGAAAACAATTCAGTGAAGTCCCTTGCCACTTTTTTGGTTGTTGTTTAGTTCTTTTATTTTTTTGAGATAGAGTCTTACTCTGTCAGGGTCACTACAGCCTTGGACTCTTGGGCCCAAGTGATCCTCTCTCCTTAGTCTCCTGAGTGGCTAGGTGCCACCATGCCTGGTTTTTTTTTTTTTTTTTTGTCTGAGACAAAGTCTCGCTCTGTTGCCCAGGCTGGAGTGCAGTGGTGCAATCTCTGCTCACTGCAACCTCAGCCTCCCAGATTCGAGTGATCTTCCTGCCTCAGCCTCCCAAGTAGCTGGGATTACAGGCACCCGCCACCATGTCCGGCTAATTTTTGTATTTTTAGTAGAGACAGGGTTTCACCATGTGGGCCAGGCTGTTCTCGAACTCCTGACCTCAAGTGATCTGCCAGCCTTGGCCTCCCAAAGTGCTGGGATTACAGGTATAAGCCACTGCACCCGGCCTAGCTAATTTTTTATTTTTAGTGTTTTTTTTTTTTTTTTTTTTTGATAAAGATGAGGTCTCACTATGTTGCTCAGGCTGGTCTTGAACTCCTGGGCTCAGGAAATCCTTCTGCCTTGGCCTCACAAAATGTTGGGATTACAGGAATGAGCCACTGGGCCCAGCCTTTTGCTACTCTGTAACAAGGATGGCTTTTCCTCCAGTTTCCAATAACATGTCCCTCACTCCTATCTGATACCTCATTATAATGGCCTTTACCATCCATATTTGTGCCAACATTCTGTTCATGACCACGGAGGTAATCTCTAAGAAAAGTGAGGCTTTCTCTATAGCTCTCCTTTTCTGATTCCTCACCAGAATCACCCTTAATGGTCCATTCATCTCAAGAGGCTTTTTCCAGCCTGTTCCTCTGAACTCTTCCAGCCTCTGCCCATTATCCAGTTCCAAAGCCACTTCTACAGTTTTAGGTGTTTGTTATGGCCACACCCCAGTTCTTGGCACTAATTTTTGTCTTAGTCTGCTATAACAAAATACCTTAGCATAGGTAATTTATAAATGATAGAAATGTATTTCTTATAGTTCTGGTGGCTGGGAAGTCCAGGATCAAGACACCAGCAAATTCAGAAGGCTCACTCTCTGCTTCATAGATGGTACCTTCTTGTAGTGTCTTCACTACATGAAGTGGGGCAGAAGGGGGCAAAGAGCTCCCTTCAACTTTTTTTTTTTTTTAGATGGAGTCTTGCTCTGTCACCCAGGCTGGAGTACAGTGCCGCGATCTCTGCTCACTACAACTTCTTCCTCCCGGGTTCAAGCAATTCTCCTGCCTCAGCCTCCCGAGTATCTGGGACTACATGTGTGTCACCATGCTTGGCTAATTTTTTGTATTTTAGTAGACATGGGGTTTCACTGTGTTAGCCAGGATGGTCTCGATCTCCTGACCTCGTGATCCACCCACCTTGGCCTCCCAAAGTGCTGGGATTACAGACATGAGCCACCACACCCGGCAATTTTTGTATTTTTAGTAGAGATGGGTTTCACCATGTTGACCAGGATGGTCTCAGTCTCTTGATCTCATGACCCGCCCACCATGGCCTCCCAAAGTGCTGGGATTACAGGCGTGAGACACCACACCCAGCCTCAACTTCTTTTATAAGGTCACTAATCCCCTCAATGAGAATGAAGCCCTCATAGCTTAATCACTTCCCCAAAGGCTCTATCCCTTAATAGCACCACAATAGGGATTAAGCTTCAACATGAATTTTGGAGGGACACATTCAAGAGACAGCAATGGAATCTTACAACAATTAGGAAACCAAAAACAAAATTCTGATTCCTGCCCAAGAACTCAGAACTGAAAAAAGGACCTCAGAAGTAGGGGGACAAATTAAGTACTTGGGATGGCCCAGTTGAAGGTAGAGTTCCAAATCGCCTCTCCTTCTTGTGACCTTTGTTTTGCTGATCCTGAGATTTACAGTAACTGAGTTAGTAGCACACATCACTACTTATTATTAACAGAACTGGACTGTGTAAGGGCCAAAATGCACATTAGTTCAAACTGACAATGGGAGAAAAATTATACATGCTTCCAAAGGAGAAATTCAAATTGGGGTATAGCAGCATTAAACAAAAAATAATAGAAAATAATCTCTCAAAACAGAAGAGTACTGTAAGGGCAAGACTCATAAAAATTTGAGTATGTTTAATTTTGGTGCTTATATAATCACATTTCAAAATGCAGATTTTTAAGTCAGGTGCTTTATCTCATTTGCACCTATAGTAGTGGCTGAGGAGGGGCAAATGCTTAGCAAATGTCTGAAAATATAACCTGAGCTACCTTGAAATGAGGGCTCTTATTTGAGCTTAAATCTCTATGAGGTTTGGAGCTAGACTACATTCTTCACATAGTTACAGTAAATTGTGTTGTATCTTTAGCTTGATTTCTGCAGATGATAAACAGTCCTCAACTAACCAAGGAAAATATCATGTCTAGAATGTGTCCTGAAGTCTTAGAGACTTTCTGAAACCATTAGGTATGTTAAAAGATATCTTTGTCTAAATAACTTTGCATTTAACATAGTCCACAGTGCTGTTGTACATTATGGGTAAAATTTATCCTTATTGCTCTATAGATGAAAAGATGAAAACACCGGCAATGAAGAGTTATTGCTTAAATGTTTGAGTACTTTTACTAATGGTGGGTGAGGCCATTTAGACATAGTTTCAGAGTAGTGGAATGCAACCTTGCTTATAAATAAGTCTTCTGAAAGTGCTACACACTTCATGCTCTAGCATAATTAATGAATGTCTTTAGAGAAACAGTTGTTTTCCATTTTTCATTCATTATTTCTACTGCTACAGATTAAAATAAATTGGTATATTGTTTTTTCCCCAAAAGTCCTTAATGAAAGGAGTTTTAAATTAATAACTCCAGATGTAAATTAACTGTTGGGTCACAGATTCCATTTATGTGAGAATACATAGTTTAGAGTAGTAAAGGTTATTTTATAAGAAAAAGAAAAAAGCAGGAAGACATAAAGCATAACACATTTCAAATCAATTTAAACAATACAAGAGAAACCTCACATAAAGAGGAAAAGACTTAATACTACACATCCAGAATCCACAGATTCAAATATGTGAAAATTAAATATCAAAGAGCACACAATGTTTCTCAAGCTCAAAACTTGACCAGATACATTCAGATAAAAACAGAACGTTTTTTAAAAGTGACTCAGATAACTGAAATTAACTATAATTTTTTCTTTTTCTTTTTGAGACAGGGTCTTGCTTTATCACCCAGGCAGGAGTGCAGTGGTGCAAACACGGCTCACTGTGGCCTTGACCTCTTGGGCTCAAGCAATCCTCCCGCCTCAGTCCTCCAAGTAGCTGGGACTTCAGGCATGCGCCACAGTGCCCAGCTGTTTTTTGTAGAGACAGGGTTTCACCATGTTGCCCAGGCTGGTCTTGAACTCCTGGGCTCAAGTGATCCACCTGCCTCGGCCTCCCAAAGTGTTGGGATTACAGGAGTGAGCCACCTACCGCGCCTGGTTTAACTGGAATATCTGATCAAATATATTTAATGCAATTATTCTTTAAATTAGTCTTGGCTAAACAAAGTTTCAATTCTAAGATTTGATAATTTTCTTACCATTTGGGGTCCAACATTCACATTTATTGGTCCTAAGGTTTTTGGTAAAATCTTTGTAGGTGAGTTGGTATTGGAAACTGGAAATGCAACAAATGAAATGTTGCCTGAAATGATATCAAAACATTAAGTTAGTATTCTGCCATACCAAGGCCATTTTCTAGCTATATACACACCCATGGTCCTAATTCATTATGTTGAGGTAATTTATAATTATCTTAGGAAGCATATTATGAACAAAATACACCTTACTGAAAAGTCATACTAATGACTGCTTTGTTGTAAGGAATACAATTAATTTTGCTGCATAACTAATCTTATTTATATTTTACTGAAACTCTATAAAATAAATAGTTCCAATTATCTGACAATTAACTACGAAACTTTCAGTTAGTCTTTTAGAAGAAAAAATTTTTAGAGAATATGTAACGCAAATCACAGTTTATATCAGAATTGAGAAAGAGATCTTTAATAGACATAACAGAACAAATAATATACTTGATGATGAAACATAACATGAAAAGTAAAATAACTATTCAGATTTCTTTATAGTATAAAACACTGAGACTAAAAGCTAACATATTTTCAAACTGTCAAATTGGTAATGCTTTAGGGTTTTATAACTAGAGAAAAAACATGGTGCTAACTAGTTATTAATACTAGAAACAGTGGGATCTGTACCGTGTTTTCAAGTGATTTCAGTATTTTAAATTTCAAATTAACATAGCAAACTGCTACCAAGAAAATTCCCCCCAAAAGGAAAAGCCAACCTATTATTTTCTGAACTATAACATCAACTACTTAATTCCCCCAACAAACTTCAGCTTATCAATGTTTCTCTCAGAAGTTAACAGTGTAACAAAATATATCAAAGGAGATCATCCATGAAGTATGTGAAAGAAGGCCAACACTAAAACCCTGGGGACAAGCAACATTTAAGGGTAGGACAACAAAGACATTTCCTTCTTAGTTGCCTTCCTCAGATGACCCCCATCTTCCAAAACTTGACCACACTCTTTAATTCCCTTACTATTTTTTTTTTTTTTTTGAGATGGGGGTCTCGCTCTGACACCCAGGCTAGAGGACAGTGATGCAATCACAGGTCACTACAGGCTCAAACTCCAGGGCTTAAGTGATCCTCCCACCTCAGCCTCCAAAGTGGCTGACACCACAGGCATGCATCACCACACCTGGCTAACTTTTTTATTTTGTAGAGATGGGGTCTTGCCATGTTGCCCAGCCTGGTCTCAAACTCCTGGGCTTCAAGCAGTTCTCCCCCTTAGCCTCCCAAAGTGCTGGGATTAAAGGCTTGAGCCACGGCACCCAGCCTAAATGACTTCTTTTTCTTTTTCTTTTTTTTTGAGAGTCTTGCTCTGTCACCCAGGCTGGAGTTCAGTGGCACAATCTTGGCTCACTGCAACCTCCGCTTCCCAGGTTCAAGTGGTTCTCTCGTCTCAGCCTCCTGGGTAGCTGGAACTCCAGGCACCTGCCATCATGCCTGGCTAATTTTTGTGTTTTAGTAAAGATGGGGTTTCACCATGTTGGCCAGGCTGATCTGGAACTCCTGACCTTGGGTAATCGCCTGCCTCAGCCTCCCAAAGTTCTGGATTACAGGCGTGAGCCACCACGCCTGGCCCTAAATGACTTCTTTCATCTCTGCTCTGCACTTTCTGCCTCTTCAGGGATCTCACCCATCAATTATCTACTCTGTCTCCGGAATTTTCAACTATTCCATTGGCCCTTTCCCTTCAGTTTTTCTGCCCATTTGGCATTATAGAGTTAATTTTCCCCCTAATTCCACATATAAAAATCAAATTCTATTTCTTGTACCCACTCAGCAAGTCCTAGTACCCAAATCTGCTTCTCCTTCCTGTTCTCACTCGATATATGACTGAGCCCTCTTATACGATCATCGAATCCACCCAGTGATCTAATCTAGAAATGATCTTCAGATCTTCACTCCATCTCCTCCTCATTCAACTGACCACCATATTTGTTATTTCCTTATTCTAGTTCCTTTATGCTAGTGGTCCCCAACCGTTTTAGCACCAGGAACTGGTTTCGTGGAAGACAGTTTTTCCACAGACAGGGGTGAAGGGAGGTATGGTTTTGCAATGATTCCAGAATATTACATTTATTGTGCACTTTATTTCTATTATTATTACACTGTAGTATATAATGAATTAGTTATACAAATCATCACAATGTGGAATCAGTGGGAGCCTTGGGCTTGTTTTCCTGCTACTAGAGAGTCCCATCTGGGAGTGATGGGAGATAGTGACAGTTCATCAGGCATTAGATTCTCATAAGGAGTGTGCAACCTAGATCCCTCACATGCACAGTTCACAATAGGGTTTGTGCTCCTATGATAATCTAATGCCGCTGCTGATCTGACAGGAGGCGGAGCTCAGGCAGTGATGCGAGTGATGGGGAGTGGCTGCAAATACAGATGAAGCTTTGCTCACTCACTGGCTTGCCTGCCTGCCACTCACCTCCTGCTGTGTGGCCCAGCTCCTAACAGGCCACGGACTGGTACCTGGTGGCCAGTTGGGGACCCCTGCTTTATGCTGCTGGCACTCGTTTAATTTGCAACTTCATATCTGGTTTGAATACAGTTACCCTCTAACTCAGTGATTCACAATACTGGCTGTCCGGTGGAATCACCTGGGGAACAATGAACAATACCAATTCCTAGGTTCCAATCCTAGAGCTGCTGATATAATTGATCTGGGGTGAACCTGGGCATCGGGCCATTAAATGTTCTCCAGACAGTTCCAATGTGCAGCCAGGGCTGAGCACCACGGCTCTTACTAGATATCCTACCTCTAACAGCTTTCCTAGCCACTCCATGCATCTATAACAAACCAGTCTTTCAACTGGCAAAACTGTTCTGAACACTCCCCTAATAATGGTTTTTAAGGACTCCACAACACTTCCTAAATGCCTCTCAGACTCCTCAACATGGCACAAAAGCTCGCAGTGGAGATCCCACCCCTGCCTCCTTTCACAGTTTCATCTTCAGCTGCTCCCTCCACATGTACCCCACAATCCAACCAGATTAAATACTTTACATTTCCAGAGAGGCCCCAATTCAACCACCTGGCTTTGTTATACACCTTTCCTTCTGCTGAGAAGGCCCTTCTCTACTGAGCCAACTCCTACCTACTAGCACTTCAAAATGGATGGATTCCACACCATTTTCTGAGCAATTATTATGTCCCCAGAGTGTTTCAGAGGTTTCCTACATATACATACATATACGTATGTACATATATACATACGCATATAAAGTGTATATATATATACACACACATATATATGCACACATACACACTGTTGTCCTAAGCATCAATGAGGAAAAAAGTATACACATATATATACATTTTATGTGTGTGTATGTATGTGTGTATATTTTTTCCTCATCGATGCTTAGGACAGACAACAGTGTGAAATAGATTATTAGTGACCCTATTTTGTACATTAAGAAATTGAGATTGAGATTAAATACAAGGTCCCATAGTAGTGAAGCCGACAGCTCCACCTCCAAAGCCTCTGCTCTATGCATCTCCTTCTTGTTAAAAGCTGTCCCATCCCCTGTGGTCTAAATTCTGGATATTCCTCTTCTGGCTTCTCATAAAACCTGTTATTACTGACTTGCAATTCTATTATAAATGGGCTACGTCTCTCAGCTTTGTATCCCAGCATCTAGTTTAGTCCTTGGCACAAAACAGGTGCACAAATGATAAAAACTGTTTGATCAGCAAAGATTGAAAGTATTACCTTTCCTAATCTGGATGCCAAACTTCCTGCAATACAGTTTAATTACAACCCTTATTATTTTTCCAACCAAGATCATAACTCATCCTGAGTTTGAAATCAATTTAAACAGCAGGTCCTTTGTTTATTTTGCTTTTAACATGACTGAACTGGTATTATCAAATAAAGTTTCCCTACCTTGTAATTGTGCAACTGATTTTCTTAAAACAAAATGTGGCCGGGCACGGTGGCTCATGCCTGTAATCCCAGCATTTTGGGAAGCCAAGCAGGGCAGATCACCTGAGGTCAGGAGTTCGAAACCAGCCTGGCCAACATGGCGAAACCCTGTCTCTACTAAAAATACAAAAATTAGCCGGGCATGGTGGTACACACCTGTAATCCCAGCTACTTGGGAGGCTGAGGCATGAGAATCTTGAACCGAGGAGGTGGAGGTTGCAGACAGCCAAGATAGCGCCACTGCACTCCAGCCTGGGCAACAACAGAGCAAGACTCTGTCTCAAAAAAAAAAAAAAAGAAAGAAAAAGAAAAAGAAATTGACAAAACAAAAATTACAGTCCAGAAATAATTTCACCTATACATGAAAATTTTGTACATGATAAAGGTAGTATTTCAAACCAATAATGTTGAGACAAGAGACTATCCATTTGGATAAAAGAAATTTTAGATTTCAATTTTTCACACTGAACAAAAATAAATTTCAGAAAAATCAAATATTGAAACATAAAAATTAAAACTTTATAGAAGTATTAGAAGAAAAAATATAATAATATTTTTATAATCCTGGAATGAGAAAGGCCCTCCTCACCATGTTACAGAATTCAGATATCTTAAGTGAAAAGACTGATGGATCTGACTACTTTAAAAATCAAAACTTTCTCTATAGCAAGACTTAATATACTTAGAAGACAAATGTCAGGCTGGTAAACAAATGTGCAAGGCACAGGTCATTTGATTACCATTCTTAAAAATTTTTGTTTATTTAACCTACTCTTATAAATCAATAAGAAAAAGGCAATACTCCCATATAAAAATAAATCCGGTATATGAAGAAATACAGATGCCAGTCATCACATGAAAAGACGCTTGATTTTAATAATTAAAAAACTAACTTTTGGGCCGGGCGCAGTGGCTCACACCTGTAATCCCAGCACTTTGGGAGGCCAAGGTGGGTGGATCACGAGGTCAAGAGTTCGACACCAGCTTGGCCAACATGGTGAAATTCCGTCTCTACTAAAAATACAAAAATCAGCTGGGCATGGTGGCGTGTGCCTGTAATCCCAGCTACTTGGGGGGCTGAGGCAGGAGAATCGCTTGAACCCGGGAGGCAGAGGTTGCAGTGAGCCAAGATCGCGCTAATGAACTCCAGCCTGGGTGACAGAGCAAGACTCTGTCTCAAAAAAAAAAAAAAAAAAAAACCTACCATCAGAGTGAACAGGCAACCTACAAAATGGGAGAAAATTTTCGCAACCTACTCGTCTGACAAAGGGCTAATATCCAGAATCTACAATGAACTCAAACAAATTTACAAGAAAAAAACAAACAACCCCATCAAAAAGTGGGTGAAGGACATGAACAGACACTTCTCAAAAGAAGACATTTATGCAGCCAAAAAACACATGAAAAAATGCTCATCATCACTGGCCATCAGAGAAATGCAAATCAAAACCACTATGAGATACCATCTCACACCAGTTAGAATGGCAATCATTAAAAAGTCAGGAAACAACAGGTGCTGGAGAGGATGTGGAGAAATAGGAACACTTTTACACTGTTGGTGGGACTGTAAACTGGTTCAACCATTGTGGAAGTCAGTGTGGCGATTCCTCAGGGATCTAGAACTAGAAATACCATTTGACCCAGCCATCCCATTACTGGGTATATACCCAAAGGACTATAAATCATGCTGCTATAAAGACACATGCACACGTATGTTTATTGCGGCATTATTCACAATAGCAAAGACTTGGAACCAACCCAAATGTCCAACAATGATAGACTGGATTAAGAAAATGTGGCACATATACACCATGGAATACTATGCAGCCATAAAAAATGATGAGTTCATGTCCTTTGTAGGGACATGGATGAAATTGGAAATCATCATTCTCAGTAAACTATCGCAAGAACAAAAAACCAAACACCGCATATTCTCACTCATAGGTGGGAATTGAATATTGAGATCACATGGACACAGGAAGGGGAATATCATACTCTGGGGACTGTGGTGGGGTGGGGGGAGGGGGGAGGGATAGCATTGGGAGATATACCTAATGCTAGATGACGAGTTAGTGGGTGCAGCGCACCAGCATGGCACATGTATACATATGTAACTAACCTGCACAAGGTGCACATGTACCCTAAAACTTAAAGTATAATAAAAAAAAAAAGAAAAAAAAAAAAGAAGTGAGGAAAACAAGGAAAAAAAAAAAACAACAAACTTTTTTAAAAAGGAAACCTTTTTGCATACTAGACTGATAAAAAATTAACAAGTCTGATAATGCACTGAGTTGGTAAGGATGTGGCAAAACAGGCACATTTTAAAAGTACTGACTTGGCACCTACTATTCTATGTCAAGAACTAAGGCTAAGCATTAGGATATTCAGTGAACAAGTAACACTGTTCCCTGCACTCAAGGGACTAACATACTTTGTTAGTGAAGGGAATACTGTAGAGCCTTTCTGGAGGTTCTGACAATGTGTTGATTTTAATTAGAGAGGAATAAACTGACCCTTGTTAGAATACAAAATTCTACATAAATGCTTTAAAAATAATTCTACACTTTTTTTTCTTTCTTTCTTTCTTTTTTTTTTTTTTTGAGACAGAGTCTCGCTCTGTCACCCAGGCTGGAGTGCAGTGGTGTGAGCTTGGCTCACTGCAAGCTCTGCCTCCCGGGTTCATGCCATTCTCCTGCCTCAGCCTCCCAAGTAGCTGGGACTACAGGTGCCCACCACCACACCCGGCTAATTTTTTGTATTTTTAGTAGAGACGGGGTTTCACTGTGTTAGCCAGGACGGTCTCGATCTCCTGACTTCATGACCTGCCTGCCTCGGCCTCCCAAAGTGCTGGGATCATAGGCGTGAGCCACCATGCTCGGCCTATAATTCTACACATTTTAAAGCTTTTTTCCATTTCAACAAATACCCTCTGTTGCCTAAGTGGCAAGCTAATGTCTGGCTTCTGTGACATCATGATTGACAATGGGCATACCCTCTGACTAGCAATTCCTCTGGTGGAAATATACTCTAATAAACTAGGCAGATAAGAACAATTCTACATGTCCTGGGATTGGAGCATTGTGGAGAAAAGCAAAGACCTACAAACAATTTAAGTGTTTAAACATCTTTTGGTACATGTGTATGATGGAATATTATATAGTCCCTAAAAATACAAGCACGTATTGCCATGGAAAAATGTCCTATTATAAGAGAACACGATTACATTTACCTGAAAAACTACATATACATATATTTTTCATATATTTTTATATATTCATAAAAAGTCTGCCAAGAGAAACTACAAATTTAATAGTGGTTAGCACTGATGAGTAGCATGGAGGAAGCATTTGTTTTATACATTTTATTATTTAAAAAAACATTTTATGAAGATGCATGCACTTGTTTTATAATTTTAAAAGCTACTGTTGCCAGGCGCGGTGGCTCACGCTTGTAATCCCAGCACTTTGGGAGGCCGAGGCAGGAGGATCACGAGGCCAGGAGTTTGAGACCAGCCTGATCAACATGGTGAAACCCCGTCTCTACTAAAAATACAAAAATTAGCCAGGTATGGTGGCACGCATTTGTAATCCCAGCTACTTAGGAGGCTGAGGCAGGAGAATCACTTGAACCCGGGAGGCGGAGGTTGCCATGAGCTAAGATCGCACCACTTGCACTCCAGCCTGGGTGACAGAGCGAGACTCCATCTTAAAAATAAATAAATAAATAAAAATAAAAGTTACTGTCATTCTGAAAAAGAGAGAGAGAATGAATCAGCCATAGCTACTAAAACAAGTTGAAGATCTAGAAATGATTCTTATAAGTAGTAAAAATGAAATTTGCTTTAAAAGTAGTTAAAAGGATTCCACTAGAATTCCAATAGTTGTAATACCCAGAAATAAAAGCCACATGTTTAGACAAAACTTACTTCCATCAAATCAGCTATGTTTTTGACTCAAAAGGACACCTTTAAATAGATTATAAAGATTCAGTCAACCAAAATTCCAGCCAGGCTGAGAGAAGTAAAGTCTAAACAGTTTTTCCTAAGTGCATGGCCTAAATTCATAGCTCCTTGGCAATAGGAGCTCGACACTGTCCAGAAACTGATTCCTGGGACTCAGTGTATTAAAAACAACGATTTTTAATGTTGCCTGGATTTTGGTTCTGGCAATTCCCTCAATTAACTAAATGAGATCAATCACCTAGAGAAGTGGCTAAGAAACAGAACTAAAAACTTATGCCAGATCTTGGCACAGGCACAAGATTTTGGCTCAAATATTATTTCAATTTATTGAGTAACTGAAATATTTTTGTCTTCCACTAGAATTGTCTAGACACCACATATTTTTTTTTCCACTATAATTCTTTAGGGGGTTCCAGTTACAATTAATCACCTTCAATATGTCCAACTAAAATGAAAAAAAATATCCAGTTACATAATTGTGGTTTGTCTATATGATGCTAATATAACTTTTTTTTCATGGCACAGACTTTCTGAAAAAAATTTTTTTTTGCTTGAATTAGCTTTAGGAAAAACCTTCTTCACCCAAGCCTACATCACATCCTCCTACAAGAACCAAACTGGTAACTTACTATAAGAAATAATACATATTTTTTGTGGGTTTATAAATCTCTTAAATTAGAAGCAATGGTATATCCCATATATACAGGGTCCAACTTCCCAGAACAAGCTAACCTATTGCCCAAAATAAAAGTGTTTGGTTTGTTTGTTTTGAGACAGGATCTTGCTCTGTCATTCAGCCTGGAGAGCAGTGGCACTATCACAGCTCACTGCAGCCTCAAACTCCTGGCTCAAGTTATCCTCCTGCCTCAGCTCTCCAGTAAGCTGGAACAATTGGTGTGCACCACCATGCCCAGGTATTTTTTTTTATTTTTATTTTTTGTAGGGAGGGGGTCTCAGTATATTGCCCGGGCTGGTCTCAAACTCTTGAGCTCAAGCGATCCTCCCACCTCGCCAAAGCACTGGGATTCCAGGCATGAGCCACCACACCCAGCATAAATAAGTTAAAATGACCTAGACTGTGGTGGTGTATGTGTTTGCTGAAGTCCCAGAACACTAGGCTAAAAGGGGTGATTCTACTGTATGTAAACTATACCTTAATAAAATGATGGAAAAATGTAACTTGGGCGAGTTCATATTAATTAGTAAGATGCTAACTATAGATTACACCATCTTCTTGCTTTTCTTCTTCTGTCACCTCAACTGGCCCTTAAAAAAAAATACAGGTAGTTCATCTTCTTGTCTAAAAAACATCCCTTCAACTACTGTCCCTTTTAAGTCAGTCTCCTGCATCATCACAATCTTTCCCTCTCTGTCAGATCATTCTCATCAGCACATAAACATGCATAATTTCTTCCATCTCAAAAACAAAAAACCAACTTTTCTTGACCATCCACGGTCCTCCAGTTACCAACTAATTTGTTGCCCTCTACAGCAAAACTACTCACAAAATCTGCCAGCATTTGCTGTTTCCACTTCCTCCACATCTCAGTTTCTTTTGAACCCTCTCTTCCCAATTTTCCCCCACAATTCCACTGAAATTCTTGGCCTTCAATTTACTTTAACCTTCCATCTACTCTTGACACTTTTTAAAATCACACCTTCTTTAGAAACACTAACTCCACTTGATATCCAAGCCACCATTTTCTCCTGGTTCTCCTCCCAACCTACTGGCCATTCCTTCTCAGCCTTAGTTGTTGGCTCCTTCTCTCTAAACATTTGGGAGCCCCTTAGCTTGGTCCTCCAATCTCTTGTCTGTGAGCCCTTCCTCATGAGATGATCCCATCTAAGTCTCCTGGCTTTAAATACACTGATGACTCTCGTGTATATTTCTCCAGATTACATCTATTCCTTGAACTTTGGATTCACATATCCACTATCTTCTCATATCTCCATTTTGATGTCTTACACGTATCTCAAACTTAACATATCCAAAATCTAACTCTGGACTGCCCCCACCCCATCCAGAAATCTCCTTCTTCATCTCAGTAAATGAAAACTCTATTCTTCAACTGCTCAGACTGAAAAGATTACTGTTGAGACCTCACTTTCTCTGATATCCCACATTCAATCCATTCATAAGTCCCGCAAGCTGGATCTTTAAAATACAGCTTGAATACAACCACTTCTCACCTACTCCTCTGCTAACACTCTGGTCCCGGCCAACATCTTGGCTTCAATTACTGCAATAGGTTCCTGACGCAGCTCCATGCTGCTGCCCACCCTACCCCACAACTCTATTTCCATGCTCTCTAATACAGCACTCACTAGACACAGGTGGCTACTGAGCACTTGAAATGTGGTTAGACCTAGATTTTAAATTAATTTAATTTTAATTAACATATTTTAAAACTAAAGTAAATGAAGTATTTTCCCATTAAACACAACTTTATCATTTTGGTAGGGCTATATTTCACTTCAATTGCTGAAAATGTAGCATCTAAACTGAGATGTGCTCTAGGTATAAAATATGCATCAGATTTTGAAAACTTAGCACAAAAAAACTATAAAATATCTGACTAATAATGTTTATATTGATTACATGTTGGATGATGTTTTCAACTTCTTTATTTTTTCCTTAGAGATGGAGTCTTGCTCTGTCACCCAGGCTGGAGTATAGTGGTGCGATCTCAGCTCATTGCAACCTCCATCTCCTGGGTTCGAGCAATTCTCCTGCCTCAGCCTCCCGAGTAGCTGGAATTACAGGGGCCTGCCACCACACCTAGCTAATTTTTGTAGAGATGGGGTTTCACTATGTTGGCCAGGCTGGTCTCAAACTCCTGATCTCGTGATCCACCCACTTGGCCTCCCAAAGTGCTGGGATTACAGGCGTGAACCACCACGCCCAGCAACATTTTTTTTTTTTTTTTAAGACAGTCTCACTCTGTCACCCAGGCTAGAGTGCAGTGGTGCGATCTCAGCTCACTGCAACCTCCACCTCCTGGGTTCAAGCAATTCTCCTGCCTCAGCCTCCCGAGTAGCTGGGACTACAGGTGCCCACCAGCACACCTGGCTAATTTTTTTGTATTTTTAGTAGAGATGGGGTTTTGCCATGTTGGCCAGGCTGGTCTTGAACTCCTGACCTCAAGCGATCCATGTGCCTTGGCATCCCTAAGTGCTGGGATTACAGGCATGAGCCACCACACCTGGCCAGATGGTAAGTTTTAGTAAATGTTTGTATAATGTTTTAATAAATGTTTGGGTTCAATAAAATCCATCATTAAAATAAATTTCACCTGTCCCTTCATAGTATTAAAATATTGCTACTAGAAAATTTGCAATTACATAAGTGGATTACATTATACTAGGAAACCCAACTGATTTATCCTCCACACAGCAGTCAGAGTGATCCCACTACATGGAGGAGTCCTCTTCAAAACTCTCCAACTGGCATCACATCTCAGTTAGCTTGAGTCCTTAATGAGGGTTTACAAAGCCCTATATCATCTGCAGTCCTCTTTCTGACCTTGTCACCTGTCAATCTCTCCCTACTTCATTCCTCTGCATTCACACTGACCTCTTTGCTGTTCTTCAACCCATGCCAACCAAATTTCTACTTCATGGCCTTTGTCCTTCAAGTCTCCTCTGCCTGTAATCCTCCCCCAGATATCCTACGTCTTATTCCCGTTTCCTTCAAGTCTGCTAAGTTGACACGGCAGCAGAGATATCTACCACCCTATATCAGCACTTCCTAATTTACTATACTTTATTTTTCCACCATAGTACTTATCTCTATATGACACATTACATATTTATATTTACTTATATAATTACTATCTGTCTTGTCACTCTCAGAATGTTAAGTTCTACAACAATAGGGGCTTTGTCATCTCATTCATTGCTCCAGCTAGGTGTCTCCAACACTAGCATACAGCAGAGCTTAATATTTGTTGGATGAATAAATTGGTAAGTACATGAATGTCTACATGGAAGTATATATACAAATTCATAAAACTAGAGTGTACAGTGAAAACTGAGTCTCCTGCCATCCCGAATCACCACCAAAATATTCCCTTCCTTAGTGACAGCTGTGGTGCCAGTTTGTAGATAAGCTTCCAAAAATATCCTCAGCATATGCAAACACATATGCAAAAATATTCTTTTTTTTTTTTTTTTTTTTTTGAGATGGAGTCTCGCTCTGTCGCCTAGGCTGGAGTGCAGTGGCATGATCTTGGCTCACTGCAACCTGTGCCTGCCGGGTTCATGCGATTCTCCTGTCTCAGCCTCCTGAGTAGCTTGGATTACAGGCACATGCCACCATGCCTGGCTAATTTTTGTATTTGTAGTAGAGACGGGGTTTCACCATGTTGGTCAGGCTGGTTTCGAACGCCTGACCTCGTGATCCACCCGCCTCAGCCTCCCAAAGTGCTGGGATTACAGGCGTGAGCCACCGCGCCCAGCCAAAGATATCCTTCTATCAGTCTGAGCGTTGCTTTTATATCCATCTCAGATGCCTTTCCATATCTGTAGATGTAGTGTTGCCTCAATATTTTATTTATTTATTTATTTATGAGATGGAGTCCTGCTCTTGTCGTCCAGGCTGGAGTGCAGTGGCACGATCTTGGTTTACTGCAACCTCCGCCTCCTGGGTTCAGGCGATTCTCCTGCCTCAGCCTCCTGAAGAGCTGGGATTACAGGCACCCATCACCACGCTTGGCTAATTTTTATACTTTCAGTAGAGACAGGGGTCTCGTCATGCTGGCCAGGCTGGTCTCAAACTCCTGACCTCAGGTGATCTGCCCACCTTGGCCTCCCAAAGTGCTAGGATTACAGGCGTCAGCCACCGTACCAGGCCTCAATGTTTATTTTATTAGCTACATAGTATTCCCTTTTATGGCTCCAGCAGTCTATTTATTGAGCTCCTGAGTAATGGAAAAGTTTTAGTATTACATATACTACTGCAATGACTATACATATTTCTTTACCCACATTACTTGTATCAACTGTGTATTTCTCCCTTTAGAAATGCATGAAAGTCTCCATTTACATATATCCTCATTAATCTACTGTTTTTTATTTTTTTATTTTTTTAGAGACGGGGTTTCCTTCTGTCACCCAGGCTGGACTGCAGTGGAACAATCACAGCTTACTGCAGCCTCAAACTCCAGGGTTCAAGTCATCCTTCCCACTCAGCCTCCTCAGTACGCCACCACATCCAGCTAATTTTTAAATTTTTTGTAGAGACAGGGTCTCACCATGTTGCCCAGGCTATTCTTGAACTCCTGGGCTCAAGCAATCCTCCCACCTCGGCCTCCCAAAGTGGGACTATAGGTGTGAGCCACTGCACCCAGGCAATGTGTTTTTAAATTTTATTTTCTTTGACAACTTTTACATTTAAAATTAAGTATAGTAACTCATTTTGGTCTTATTTTGGTTTTAATATATTGTTATGAGTATGGCTGAACACTGAGCATCTTTTGTTTAAAAGTTATGTAAATGTTCCTTCCTGAAAATTATGTCCACCTATTGGTTTTTGGTGAGTTTTTTTTTTTTTTTTTGGTAGAACGTCTTTAAATATTGAAGAAATACGTTTATTCTATTATACTTGCTGCAAATATTTCCCCCAATTGAACAGTGTTTGCTTTTATATATTATTCTTCGCACATTTTTTTTTTTTTTTTTTTTGTTTTGGTGAGACGGAGATTTACTCTTGTTGCCCAGGCTGGACTGCAATGGCACGATCTCGGCTCACCGCATCCTCCGCCTCCCAGGTTCAATGGATTCTCCTGCCTCAGCCTCCTGAGTAGCTGGGATTACAGGCATGTGTCACCATGCCCAACTAATTTTGTATTTTTAGTAGAGACGGGGTTTCACCGTGTTGCCCAGGCTGATCTTGAACTCCTGACCTCAGGTAACCCGCCCGCCTCAGCCTCCCAAAGTGCTGGGATTACAGGCGTGAGCCACTGCGCCCGGCCTATTTGCACATTTTTAAGAATGTAGTCAATTTTGTAACTTTTTAATGACTTTTGTGTCAAACTTAAAAAGGCCTGTGTGTGTTTAAATATAAAAATGAAGGAAGTGAGACTAATTGCCAGGGTTTTCCTAAATTTACCTTTGCTCCCTGGAAGTGTACTTTATACATGCACTTTAAACATGCTGCATTTTACTTATCGTATAGGTTTTATATTTCCAGTTGGATATGCTGTTCTTATAAATTAATTATCAGCAGTTAGAATGTATACTAAGATTATATTAAACACCCCCCCCAACATCTTCTTATACAATTTTAAAGCCTTCATTTTAAATTATAAATCCTTGACCCACCTGGAAGTTATCTGATATAAGAAGTGACAGATCCAAGGTTTTCCCCCTGAGTTAGCCACTTTTAATGAATAATCCACTCCATGCTGATATGAAATGCAACCTTGAGTTTACTTATTTGGGTCAATTTATTGATTTTCTATTCTGCTCCACTGATCTGCCTCTTCATATGTCAGTTCCCCATGGTTTTGTTTCATTCATGATTAACAGTTCCACAAAAGAATAAGCTGAGTCAGAAAAAGAAAGTAGTGTCAGAGCATTTCCTTCCTTCCTGTACTACCTTTTAACTATCTGTTAATAACTACTGTAAAAGACTATCAATTAGCTTCAAATACAGTACTGAAGAGGTCAAGTCACAGGTCAATTCTAGAAGGGGCAATTTGTTTTGCAAAGAGAAATGATTTCACAACCTTAAGACTGTATTTCTAATTTTAGCCAGCCATCTAGAAAGCAATATATGCCACTGAAAACAAAGTAGACTAGGGAGAAAGGATATGGATGACTCAGGGGATATCTATCACCTGTATTTCAAAAATAACTCTTGGGCCAGGGACGGTGGCTCACGTCTGTAATCCCAGCACTTTGGGAGGCCAAGGTGGGTGGATAAGGAGGTCAGGAGTTCAAGACTAGCCTGACCAACATGGTGAAACCCTGCCTCTACTAAAAATATAAAAAATTAGCCAGGAGTGGTGGTGTGTGCCTATAATCCCAGCTGCTTGGGTGGCTGAGGCAGGAGAATTGCTTGCACTCGGGAAGTGGAGGTTGCGGTGAGCCGAGATGGTGCCATTGCACTCCAGCCTGGGCAACAGAGCAAGACTCCGTCTCGGGGGGGAAAAGAAAGAAAGAAGAAAGTAACTCAGGCTCTGTAGGTCAACAGCATCACCTATGTAAATGAAATAAAAACAAACTTTGCAGTTACTCTGACTTCCTTCATTTTTATGTTTAAATATACTCATATACCTTTTTCTTTAAAAAAAAAAAAAAAGTTTTCAGGCTAGGTGTGATGACTCATGCCTACAGTTCCAGCACTTTGGGAGGCTGAGGCAGGAGGATTGCTTGAGTCCAGGAATTCAAGACCAGCCTGGGCAACATAGTAAGGCCTCATCTCTACAAAAAAATAATAAAATTACCCAGGTGTAGTGACACACACTTATGGTCCCAGCTATATGGGAGGCTGAGGCAAGAGGATCTCCTGAACCCAGGAAGTCGAAGCTGCAGTGAGCTGTGTTCATGCCACTGCACTCCCATCTGGGTGACAAAGCAACACCCTGTCTCAAAAAAAAAAAAATAGTTTTCACTTTATTTACTAACTAGTATTACCTACCTGCACATGCACATTACACCACTGTTATGTTTTATTTTGATGCATTTGTACTGAACCATGTTCGCCAAAAGTCACTAAGATTAAATACAAAGTTAATCACTATTACAAAACTTTTTAACTGAATGACCTCAACATCACTATAATTGGGATGGGTGACAAAGAGAAGATAAAAAAGTTCATAATATCTCCAAAGTATAATGGTTAAAGTGACCTCTGGAACCTTCCTCTTTCTATTTGGTTCTAAATGGAGATCAGGCATCCCATTGTGCAAAGATAAGGACAGAAAATCTGACACGCACATTCCTACATATCACATACACGGAAGGAAAAGCCTGAATGTTTCTGCAGCTGCCAGAACATAGAGAACTTTCAGGATTCACCCAAATGGATCACCTAACCAGAATCTTTCCAAAGGATCCTTGAAATGACCATAATATTAAGTGTATTTATAGCTCTATGGTCATATTTCTAAATGAATAAATCTTATATGTCAGTCTTTCCTACATACTTTCCCTAGAAGATCAAACCTGTTCTCTTGGCTTTGTTGAACATTTTCACTTAGGGGACACTTTCTAAAAACGATTAGCTAGCTCCCTCCTTTTCTTGTATCTAGAACCATGAATGCCCTAAATTCTTAAATTTGAAAGGAGAAAAACATTTTTTCTTCTCCATCTTACCACATTGCAAGATTTAAACAGTATCTCCTCATTGCTTAAGCAAACTCCTCAATTCAAGCTCTGGTATCTGGAATATTATAATTGGTTTCATTTAGTTCATCAAACCTAAAAGATCTTAGAAATCACTAAGGTCACTTGCAGGGCCCTTCTCCTTCAATAATTTTTTAAGTGTTCACCCAAAAACATTTGTCTCATCTGTAGGTTTGATACTGCTGGTTTTTCATTGGCTTCTTTATCTTTAGTTAAAATATGTCCTTTTGAAATCTTTTTTCTGTTAGCATATTCAGTCAAGGAAACTTTTTAATTGTTCAATTTCTCATTTTTCTTCCACCTGCTCAACTAAAATTTCCTAGTTTTGAAATGTATCTTCTGATTAATAATTGAGGAAGTTTACTGTATGTCCTCAAACAACTTGATCCTCCCAATCCTTCCCGGCAGTTCTTCCCAAATATGAGTGATCACAAGATTCACTACAAAGGGAAGAGAGGTGTCTCTTATTCAAAACACACACTCCTGAGCTCCACTGGACACCTAAAGATTCAAAAATTAGGTGGAGAATTTGTATTTTTAAGTGCCTCAGATGATTCTTATGGTCTGGTAAGACTCTTTGTTCAAATTAAGGAAATAACGAAATGCAAGTGGACTCTAGTACACTGAACTTATTTCTATTCTCATTTTAAAAGAGTCTGAGTGACCCTTATTTCTTCTGTTTCTTGTTCTTAAGTGTTATATTTTTTCACTGTTTAGCCCATTTTCAATCACCACTGTTAGCACCATCACAACAGTCAATACACCCACCAGATGGCACACAGACACTGTTTACAGGCCTAGTAAAAGAGAAAGCACAGAAAGCAGCACATTTTATCTCATACCAACAGCCACTGAATGGCTAGAGTTGATCAAGACAGCTGAGTGCAACCACAAGGATCAGAATTTATGAGTACTCAAATACCCAAGAGTACTTCACTGGAAATTACTCTCATGAAGAAGCTCACAGTCCGAGAGGGTAGCCAGACAGGGGTAACAGATAAATCCTTTTAAATTTACAGTTAAGTGAGATATTTTTCTAATATTTATAAGAGGTGACCATGACTGCAGACAGACTTTGAATTAAAAAGCTGGGTTCCTGGGCCGGGCACAGGTGGCTCACGCCTGAATCCCAGCACTTTGGGAGGCCAAGGCGGGTGGATTACGAAGTCAGGAGTTTGAGACTAGCCTGGCCAACGTGGTGAAACCCCATCTCTAGTAAAAATACAAAAATTAGCCGGGCGCAGTGGCATGCGCCCGTAGTCCCAGCTACTCAGGAGGCTGAGGCAGGAGAATTGCTTGAACCCGGGAGGCGGAGGTTGCAGTAAGCCAAGATCGTGTCACTGCACTCCAGCCTGGCAACGCAGTGAGACTCCCTCCGTCTCAAAAAAAAAAAAAAAAAAAAAGAAAAAGAAAAGAAAAAGAAAAAAAGTTGGGTTTTTAAAATAAGTTTTTTTATTTATTTGAGATAGAGTCTTGTTGTGTCACCTAGGCTGGAGTGCAGTGGCGTGATCTCAGCTCACCGTAACCTCCGCCTCCCGCGTTCAAGTGAATCTCCTGTCTCAGCCTCCTGAGTAGCTGGGATTATGGGCGTGTGCCACCACATCTGGCTTTTTTTTTTTCTTGTATTTTTAGTAGAGACAGGGTTTCGCCATGTTGTCCAGGCTGGTCTCGAACTCCTGACCTCAAGTGATCCACCTGCCCCGGCCTCCCAATGTGCTGGGATTACAGGCGTGAACCACCACGCCTGGCTGGGGGGTACTTAAAATAAACGTAAAACTTTAGGATACAAATTCAAAGGGACCAAGGACCACCCATGAATTAAGAGTTCCAAAGCAGTTCTTCTCCTTAGCAAATAAAAGAGGGGATCGTTGTTTTATAATACCATGCACTAAGTAGCTCACTCAAAACTGCAGTAAGTTATTGATATTATAATCTCAACAATATATTCTACTTGAGGGCTATTACTGAAGCTACATTTAAATCACATTGTGAAATGCAAGAAATCTTAAAGTTAGACATCAATGTCAACAAAATCTCTTTGTATTAAAAATTTATCCATTAAAGATTTTTAAATTTTTTTTGAGACAGGGTCTTGCTCTGTTGCCTAGGCCGGAGTGCAGTGGCATGATCTCCACTCACTGCAGCCCTGACCTGGGCTCAAGGGATCCTCCCACCTCATTCTCCCGAGTAGCTGGGACCACAGGTGCGTGCCACCATGCCCAGTTAATTTTTGTATTTTTTGTAGAGACAGGATTTTGCCATGTGCCCAGGCTGGTCTTGAACTCCTGAGTTAAAGTGATCTGCCTACCTCTCCAGGTGCTGGGATTACAGGCATGTGCCACCATGCCCAGCCCATTAAAAGATTTTTGAGAACTTTTATAAATAAGTTCTACTGTGTCTACCTGGCACACAGTAAGTGCTCACTTAGTGGTCTGTTCATTTTTCTGTCAGAGAAATTGCCAAGAGTTGCCAAATTTTCACTACAAGTGAGCAAAGTGCCAAAACCAAAGTCCCCGGTTGATAGTCTCCAGCTTTAGAGTTACCATGTAAAAATTCATTTGAAAATTGGTTTCTTGAAACTTGGTAGAAAGAAACAACATAATTACATGACAGGTTCCTGGATCAGTTCACAAAACATAGTTAATTCATAATATACTCAAAGCACCATACTCATACTGGTCTACCTGCTCCTCAACAATGTAAAAGGTTTTCTCTTCAGAGAAATATAGGCATCAGGCACATCTCCCCTCTTACTCCACTCCAGAGATGAGAAATTTCAAGGTGGCTGTTATTTCTAGTTGCATATGTATATATAAGGCAGAAAAAAAAGGCTAAATCATTGACCTCTCTGGGTATTCTGAATCGGGTTACAATAAATAGGTAAGGCTCAGGTTCCTCTAAGACCTCAGTTTTGTGATAAAGAGTTCATACATAAAGCAAGAACTTCAGGTACTCCTGAAGTCTTCTTTCAGTATACATTTTAAATATTTAATTTAAGACCGGGTGCAATGGCTCATGCCTGTAATCCCAGCACTTTGGGAGGTCGAGGCCAGAGGATCACCTGAGGTCAGGAGTTCGAGACCAGCCTGGCCAACATGGTGAAATCCCGTTTCTACTAAAAATACAAAAATTAGCCGGGTTTGGTGGCGGGCGCCTGTAATCTCAGCTACTCGGGAGGCTGAGGCAGGAGAATTGCTTGAACCCGGGAAGCACAGGTTACAGTGAGCTGAGATTGTGCCACTGCACTCCAGCCCAGGCGACAACAGCGAGACTCTGTCTCAAAGAAAAAAAAAAAAAGATTTAATTTAATATTTAAATTGATTATGACTGGAAGTATTTACTAGAAATTAAAGACAATTAAGGAATTACCTCTAAATGGCAGATGAATTAGGAAAGTTTTTGTTTGTTTTTTCCTTCAGACACTCCCAACCAATTTCCAGGTAACAAACTTGAATGGTTTGGTTTCTCATAGAGTATAAATCAACAATATAATATAGAAAATTATACTCTCTATGTTCTATACTCCATATATGCTAAAACTAATGTGCTCTTCTCAACCATAATTTGACCACACATTCAATAATTCCAAGATAATTTACACATACAGAGGCAGTGGGAATTCATCTTAAAATAATTCAACTGATTTTGGTCTTCATTTCTCAATTTGAAGGGCTAGGAGTCCAAACTATGTCCTTGTTGCTGTTGCTGATACTGTTTTCCTTGTTAAGTAACTTATTGTCATGTCTACATTTATAATTGTAAGTGATACACATTTTTTATAATCACAATCTATGATGCTGTCACAGTTATGTATTACATGTGGAGTGACCAACTTTTTTTTAAGCCTGTCTATTCCATCAAAATTTCTGTTCTTTGATCAGAATTGTAAAAAAAGTTCTTTAGGCAAATCTATAGTTTGTAAATCCATTTTAAAGTCCATGTAAATTGTTTTACTTATTTTAGAGAGAAAAAACCTCAACCATTACATGTTGCTATTCCTTAAGATAAGCAAAATGTACATAGATAAGTTTTAGAATCTGAATCTTAATTGAAATAATGATTCAATAAACTTCAAAGGCCAGGCGTGTGGGCGCATGCCTGTAATCCCAGCTACTTGGGGGGCTGAGGAAGGAGAATCGCTTGAACCCAGGAGGCAGAGGTTGCAGTGAGCCGAGATCACACCATTGCACTCCAGCCTGGGCAACAAGAGCGAAACTCCATCTCAAAAAACAAACAAACTTCAAAATCTCTAAATTTGGTCATCATTATTTGAAGAAAAGAAAATCTTCTGGCCGGCGCAGTGGCTCACGCCCATAATCCCAGCACTCTGGGAGGCCGAGGTAGGCGGATCTCAAGGTCGGGAGATCGAGACCATCAGGCCGAGGTGGGCAGATCACGAGGTCAGGAGATTGAGACCATCCTGGCTAACATGATGAAACCCCATCTCTACTAAAAATACAAAAAATTAGCTGAGCGTGGTGGTGGACGCCTGTAGTCCCAGCTACTGGGGAGGCTGAGGCAGGTGAATGGTGTGAACCTGGGACGCAGAGCTTGCAGCGAGATTCCGTCTCAAAAAAACAAAAAAACAACAAAAAAAAACAACAAAAAAATAACTTCAGGTAAGCCCACAGATCTTAGCTAACAGCAAGAGGAATTTTTAATAATCTGCTTGAATGTTGATATCTTTTCCAGCCTTCTCTCTCCTTAGGCCAATTATTTAGAAAACTGTATAATAATTAATCCATATGCAAATTTTAAACTATAGCTCAAAAACTTTATTGGCTACTGTAAATTACTACGAATTTTCCAGTGTAGGGTATGGCAAATATTGAATAAGTGCCTCATATGTGAAAGAGCTGGTGCTCAGCACTGATTTTTCAAGAGCAAACTTAAGAAATGAATAAAGTTGTAATGTGTATACACGCACATTATACAACAGCATAGGACTTCTTTGTGTTACTTGTAAAAGGAAAGGTTTTCACTTTCCTCATTATGAATTCCAAAAATTCAAAAACTGTTTTTCAAAATTTTGACTGCTTTCATTACACGCATAATGCTTCCACACTCTTCATTCCTACTCTTTTCAGCAGATAAACATTCTCCTCTTTCCATTAGCAACCAATCCAAGCTTATTATCTTTCTTTTTAGAGGCAAACTGCAACATATCATTTCAATTAAACCCAAAATATTACTCCCATATTTCTTATGCAAAGGTCTTAGGAATAAGCCTCAGCTTCTCACAGAAGATGAAATCATCTATCAACATATGTAACTGATGTTTCTCATTTTATTTTCATTTTGAGATTTTGTACCTACTGTCTAGTGATAAACTTTTGCAACTGTTTCCTCTATATTTTAGATGGCTTAGGCTTTAAAAAAATGGTCTATATGATTTAATTATCAATTTTTTCCTTAAGTGAAGTTCAACAGAATTAATTTTCTCACATTTTCATTAATTATACAGGCTACAGGCAATATTTAAAGTTTTTTTTTAAATATTGGGTATGTTACTCATTTTGTTACTCTATGACTTTCAATTCCTGAATATAAAATAATAAATTTTAAATGACTAAATTTTATTTATTCACTGATTAAATCAGATTTATGACCTCCTCTCTCCATTCCAGCTACTCTGAGTTTTGAATGAAACAACCTCAATTGTAACAGAAGAAACATCTGTTGCTTTTTTTCTTCACCAGGGCTTTCCTAACTGAAAGAAGAAAGACTCTCTGCCTGACCTCCTCTCCCTCTCCCTCTCCCTCTCCCACTCCCGCTCCCCACCCACACTAAGTTCCTTAAAACTTTTTTAAGTAAATGTATTATTTAAAATTTCACTGTATCTATTAAAAACATCATAGTTTAGAAACATTCACTTCCTTATTGAACTTCAAAGAATGACTAAATGCTATTATATATCAAAAAATAAGACGTGTCTAATAGAATATACGTTGTAACTAAAATGCAAACTTCAAGGGTATAATTGAAATGATCAATTCAATCAAGTTGTCATATATTCCGGGGTCATTAAGAATTGTTTAGGGGTAAGATTTTCTTCACAGTATCCAGATTCATATAGCATCTTGTATGCTATATTTTCTTTGCCAGTCCAAGGCTAACATAATGGCAGTCACTACCCCAAGAGGCAGACACCAAATGGTGCCACCCACACTCTCACACTGTGCCTCATAATAAACCATAAAGCAGTGGAATGCACCGGCCCCTTTATGAGCAAACAATGCCTAAGCTTCATTAGAATACAGCTGACATTTTCAAAGCACAAATACTTTTAAGAAAAATGTACTAGGGAAAAAAAGGAATGAAACAGCTATAAAAGCTGAAATATTTTTCAAGTGTCAGGTTGATTTCCAAGGATCCTTGGGAAGTATATTTTGCTGTTGGCAATTTAAAAGTTTTCGTAAGTGGAAAAAATGTTTAGTTAAGGGCAAAGCTTATTTTATTAACTACTGGGGAAAAAAATGAAAGTAAAAACTATCCTTTGAATTGCTTTCACAAGTAATAACCATGAAGTACCTTTAAAATTACTGATTTCCTCAACTGCTGCTTTAGTTCCTGAATTAAGAAAACTGAGCTCCAGAATTATTTTCACATTTTAATTAATTTATATAAGTAACTGAGTAATAAACTAATTCTTCCCCTCCCCCCCCACCCCAACCCCCATACATAACCCTGTAGTTTTTCTGTCTGCAACAAGCAAGGACGTCTTGAAATCAGCGTGCTCCTGGCTATTTATCAATTTAATATTGCTGCTGCTTAAAGAATATAAAATAAGAGCTGTAAAAACTCACCCAGCAGTGAGAAACAAACTGATCTCTCTTACCTGGTCTAAGGAAGCATGCCTCTCACTGCAGTACCAACAACATTCTACAGTCTTTGTTACCATTCAGTGGAAACTTGAGACTGTGTCAGACGTAAGCAATCGAGCTCAGAAAAGCTCAATTTAAAATACTTCTCAGTAAAACTAAAAAGATGCTCAAGAAAACTGTTTAGTTAACTGGCTTTCAAAAGACATATGAATACTGTTTACAACAAAGACATCTCAAAAGAAATTGAAAAGTGCAGGTCTTAGATGAAGGGGCTTTTCTATGTAGAACCTTGTTTTCTTATTAAATTAAAAGGATATTTTTATTTTAAAAAATGCTTAAAGTACACACTTGATCTTAGCCAAAAGGCCGAGAAGCAATAAAAATGCTTAAAGTAAAAAGGGTGAAATAACTACAAGTTAACATTTTTCTAAATATCACTTGCCTTTTAACTAACTTAAAAAATAAGATTAAACTTACTCGTGAAACCTGCATAATTTGAATTATACATATCAGAGTATCTGCTGGCTCCAAAGCAGTCACAAAGCAGGAGACTTAATGCATCTTGAAAGCAGAGCAAAAGCACCACGAGTTTCAGGGGGAAAAGAGGAGGAGAAACTCTTGAAAAACTGGTCGGGGCTTTTTGAACCTGTAATAACTGTCCAGCTCTTGTGGGAGGAAAAAAATGTCCCAGTCCTGCCCCGAGATAGGAGGCTATGCTTCAATGCCAAAATGAATGACAGGCCCATTTCTGATATCAACAAAGAGCAGCTTAGTTGTGCTTTTTTTTTTTTTCCACTTTCCCACACAGAAGTTCTAAAATTTCCAGGTTAGTCCCTTTATAGCTAGGGTTAAGTACCTTTCTCCATTTTCTCAAGAGGGAACTCAATTATGTTGTCCTGGTTTTTTTTTAAATGACTAATTAAATATACATACCTAATCATCTTACTTAGTTTTCCTAGGCAGGAAGCTGAACAAAAGATGACCTCTTAGGTTCCTTTCCAAATCTATTCTTTTCAATATCAGATAACCATATGACTGTCAATATTAATAAGCTTTTCCAGCATCCTGATGTATGGCACAAGTAGAAACAAAAAGCAAGGTAACATTAAAAACAAAGCAACTGAGATAAAATTTTCAACTAGCAAGATGTAAAGATAATTTACCAAGGTATGTGTTTGATTACAGAAATTCAAAACAAACACTCCAATCAACAACATATATTTGCTGAATACTTATTATGAGCCGAGCACTATTTTGGGCCCTGGAGATACAGTAGTGAATGCAACAGACAAAAGCCAAACAAAAAATCTCTGTCTTTCGTGAGCTTAGTTTATTTCAGTTCACTCTAAGTACAACTCTCCTAGATGACTAAGGTACTTTTCCTTCGTTGACTAGTTATCACCTATTCTGAAATATTCCCCTTGGAAAGTATGTCTTGACAACAGCTCCAGGAGACGCTGTAAAGTATTTGGTGCTCCGTTCAGTGTTGTATCACCAGTGTCTAAAACAGTGTCTGTTAGACACTCAAATACATATTGAATCAAATAGATCAGAGAGCTTCTTCTTACTCAAAATTTTCCTTTGCCAACACATATTATACTTACATGCATACAGAGATATGACAACAATAATACAATACAGGGTGTAAATTAAACTGGGTTGTAAACACGTGTTAGTATAAACAAAACTGAAAATACAACCTATATGGCCCTCTATCTTTCCAGATTCTACAATAAAATCTGTTTTCACTACTGGATGTGAGGTCAGTATAATATCTGAGTAAATAAATCACATAAAATTCTATAAAGTAAGTTTTTGTGGACAGTCAGATTTCAGAGGAGTTTTGAAAGAAAAAAGAAACTTGGAAATTACACAGAATCTGATCAGTTTGGTATATTAAAATCTTACATGTTTATATTCATTTACATTCCCACATTTGGAAACAATTTTAAACTCCCCATCCTGCTTTGCACCATTCTTGATCATCTTACCAGATGACGCTTCTTACAGAGAAAATAAGTGTACACCTTTAACCTGTCAGATCAGCTAGAAGTGCTCACCTGTGTCACCCAAGGCCAGAATATTCAGGGGCTAGATATGGTCACACCTACTCTGTTATAGTCTTAAAACAAAAGGAAATTAAACATCCAAGTACTCAAGTATATTCCCGTGTTCTCTTTTTTTTTTTTTTTTTTTGAGACGGAGTCTCGCTCTGTCGCCCAGGCTGGAGTGCAGTGGCGCGATCTCGGCTCACTGCAAGCTCCGCCTCCCGGGTTCACGCCATTCTCCTGCCTCAGCCTCCCAAGTAGCTGGGACTACAGGCGCCCGCCACTACGCCCGGCTAATTTTTTGTATTTTTAGTAGAGACAGGGTTTCACCGTTTTAGCCGGGATGGTCTCGATCTCCTGACCTCGTGATCCGCCCGCCTCGGCCTCCCAAAGTGCTGGGATTACAGGCGTGAGCCACCGCGCCCGGCGTATTCCCGTGTTCTCTAAATAGGAGAGCACCCCCCCGGCCCTCCAATTGTCCAGAGCTAGACAACAATTACAAGTTAAAATATAAACTATTTAGTGTATGTTTTAACAATAAACCTAACAGCAACCCAAGGTCAGAAAGATGTGATAACTGAGGTCAAGTGACAAATAAAATAAGGTGGGGCCAAAGTAGGATTCTACTGTTCTTGCAGAATGAATTTTCCTTTTCCCATTCCTTCCTTCAATAAATACTGAGCACCTATTATGTATCAGGCACTGAGCTGGGCAACAAATTGACCTGTTACCTACTGTCTACTCCACAGATCTGACCTTCAGCCAATCTATTCCTTCAAGTTTCCTTCTCCATGCTTGCCTTCCTTTCCAGAGCCTTTTCTCTGGTCTCAAATTCTTTACTCATACTACACCCCTTCAATCTGCTCTGATGTCTTTCTTGGCACGTAGCATAATCACTACCTTTTATGTTCTTCTGCAAGTGTATGACACAGTGTGGGGAAAGTAATAAGACTTCCCACTCAGATGATAAAAATGCAGATTATATAGGTTGTGTCAAACAATTTCTCCTTAATCTTATGTAGAAAATCCATTTAAACATCATTAATTACAACTACTGATTATCTGGAAAACACCAAAGGTAGCTGGACATTCTCCTAGGTTTATAAACTGATTTATTTGGACTGGAGTTTGTGACATTTATTGGCAATCTGCCCAAATATTAAGCCCATTTAACAGACACATTTATGATTCTATAGGCAGAAATAACACTATAATAGTGTAATGATGGCAGGCATTGGCCAAATAAAAACTATCTATCAGATCTATATAATGAAGCAGTAGAAATTAGTTACATTGTACCTGTACTTACATTTTCAAGTAAAATATTGAATCTTCCTGACAAGCACTACACCTAAAGCAAAAACTTTCTGCTATCACTTGCATGGTTAGGTGCCAATTTCTTAAAAACATTGCATAGTAAATATTTCATATTTCCTGTTTGCCTGCTGCTCTTCCTCTTTCCACTTTTTTTCTTTCTCTCTCTCTCTCTTTTTTTTTTAAGAGAGAGAGGGTTTTGTTCTTTCATGCAGGCTGGAGTTGATGTGCAGTGGTGTGATCACAGCTCACTGTAGCCTCAATCTCCTGGGCTCAGGTGATCCCTCCCACTTCAGCCTCCCAAGCAGCCAGGACCACAGGTGTGCACCACCATGCCTGGCTAATTTTTGTATTTTTTATAGAGACAGGGTTTTGCTATGTTGCCCAGGCTGAACTCCTAGGCTCAAGTGATCCTCCTGCCTCCCTCCAAAGTGCTGGGATTACGAGTGTGAGCTACTACGCTTAGCTCGACTCTTTCAATATGCACATTTTTCTGAGTTCTGTGCTCAATGCTCTTTTCTTCAAGATCTACACTCCCACTCTAGAGGATGTGACCTATATTCTATAGCTTTATCACCTCTACAAAGATGACTACAGAAATTTATACTTCTAGCCCTGGCTTTTTCTGTTCTGCTGTAAACTCTTCTTTAGATGCCTATTGGACATCTCTGTTTATATATCCCATAATCTCAACTCAGTATTGAACTTCCTGTCTACCTTCCCAAACCCACTCATCCTCCTAGGTTCCTCATCCTTGTTAAAGGCATTAATATCAAGAACAGAAAGTGATTTTCTTCTTGCCTCATCCTCACCACCCAAATGCCCACATTGTTTCCATTTTTTTTCTAACATATATCATTCTCCCAGTTTAAAAACAAAACAAAATGAGAAATATAACTTCTGATGTCTAGAGCTATACCATCCAAAATGGTAGCCTTAGCCATATGTGGCCATTTAAATTTAAGGTGATTAAAATTAAATAAAATCAGCCAGGCGCAGTGGCTTATGCTTGTAATTCCAGCACTTTGAGAGGCTGTGGCGGGTGGATCACCTGAGGTCAGGAGTTCAAGACTGGCCTGGCCAACATGGTGAAACCCCTCTCTACTAAAAACACAAAAATTAGCTGGGCATGGTGGCAGGCCCCTGTAATCCCAGCTACTTGGGAGCCTGAGGCAGGAGAATCACTTGAACCCAGGAGGCAGAGGTTGCAGTGAGCCGAGATTACACCACTGCACTCCAGCCTGGGCGACTGAGTGAGACTCTGTCTTATAAAAATAGATAAATACATAAAATTAAATTTAAAATTTGATTTCTCAGTCATGCTAGCCACATGTCAAGTGCTCTATGGAGCTGCATGTGGCTAACAGCTACTGTATTGAACACTGTAGATATAGAACATTTCCATCACTGAAGAAAGTTCTATTAAACATCTCTGATCTAGAAATCAATGGCAAACCACTTAAATTAGTAATCCAAATTTTTTTCAACATAGACCCAGCTCCAATCTACCTGTGTTAACGTTATCTTCTACCAAAACCCCTATGCATGCTTTATCACAACTTAGTGGGGCCCACAGAATTAAGTTTAAGGCTTCACAAAGATAAGGGAGGCCTACACGAGCTACGTGGCGAGGGATCTATAGGAGGGAAAGAAAGCAAAGATTCTAGAGAGGACAGAAATAGTTCACTAAAGCCCCCACAAGTTAGGGAGGGACAAAATTTTGGAGATAATACCTTTAGCCTTAGAGAAGAAATATGGTACAGTGGAGACAGCATGAGCATTAGAGTCAGAATACTTCATCCAAATTCAAGTATTTGTTTAGTTATAAGGGACAGAAATCGAACTCAAACTAGTTTAACATGAAAGGAATTAGTTGGCTCAGCTGGCACACAGAATCCCAAAGGGTGAGATAACTGAACCAGGAGGGTCCACTTTGCAAAAGGGTCTTTTGTAGGCAACAAGGGCTTTAGCTTTCAAACTTACTTCCCTCTTCAGAAACTTTAATATTTCTCTTCCCACTGAGTTCATCTTAACATTTCAAATGCAGAGATTGTTCCCTTCTAACTGCTAACCAAACTAAAAACATCATACTTCCCATCTCTCTTTAATCACTAAAATTTTTTAGTGTGGTATCTATAGCCACTATCTCAGCTTTTGCACCAACTTTTTTTTTTTTTTTTTTTTTTGAGACGGAGTTTTGCTCCTGTTGCCCAGGCTGGAGTGCAATGGCGTGATCTCGGCTCACCTCAACCTCCGCCTCCCAGGTTCAAGCAATTCTCCCGCCTCAGCCTCCAGAGTAGCTGGGATTACAGGCATGCGCCACCACGCCTGGCTAATTTTTTTTGTATTTTTAGTAGAGACAGCGTTTCTCCATGTTGGTCAGGCTGGTCTAAAACTCCTGGCCTCAGGTGATCCGCCCACCTCGGCCTCCCAAAGTGCTGGGATTACAGGTGTTAGCCACCATGCCTGGCCTGCACCAACTATTAATTAATTATTAAATCTTCAAAAATGCACCAAGTACCTCTGACACAACCACAGTTAGGCACTAGAGAGAGAAAAATAAACAAGACATTGTCCTTATCCTCAAAAAATAAAACAAAACAAAAAAACAAAAACCCAATTTGGCTTCTATCCAACTGCTCAAATGAACTGCATTGTCTAAAGCAGACAATGAGCTCTGCCTTGATAAATCTAATAATGTGTGCTTATGCTCCATAGCCTTGCTGTATCTGGCCTTGCTGATCTTACAAATCCCATCTTCTTAATACTATTACAACAATCTTCTCTTGGCTTTTTTTTTTTTTTTTGAGACGGAGTCTTGCTCTGTCACCCAGGCTGGAGTGCAGTGGCGCAATCTCGGCTCACTGAAAGCTCTGCCTCCCAGGTTCTCACGGCCTCAGCCTCCCAAGTAGCTGGGACTACAGGCACCCGCCACCACACCCAGCTAATTTTTGTATATTTAGTAGTGACAGGGTTTCACCGTGTTAACCAAGATGGTCCCGATCTCCTGACCTCGTGATCCGCCTGCCTTGGCCTCCCAAAGTGCTGGGATTACAGGTGTGAGCCACCACACCCAGCCTTCTCTTGGCTTTTATAAAGACTATTCCTTCTCTGTTTCCACCCCAAAACTTGTGGAGTGGTTCCTTTATTTTTTTCTTATTACTTGTATTCTAAATGGCTCAACCACAGCCATCTCTTTTGCTGTACTGTTGTTTCAGAAGGTGACTGATTACATAATTTATTATCTAAACTGAATTACCATTAGGAGTGAAAGGGGCACACCATAAATAATTAGGAGCTGTTTGGGAAAAGTGGAACATATGGATTCCTGCTTAAAAACTTTCAGTAGTTCCTGCCTCCAAATCTTTAAGCATGCCATACAAAAACCTACTTTGAACTAATTGCATTTATGGATTAAATTTCTATCTTTTTATGGCTGTCTCAAGGTCTGTCTTCACTCAGCACTCAGAGTACACTGAGACAATAGTATGTCTAATCAAGAGTCTCATTTGACTGTCTCCCCCATCTAACAGCAACCTCATTACATCTCCTTGGTCAAAAGTGCCCATAAACCACTCATAAGCCTCATTGAGAGAGATGAGAAAACGTAGGCTTACTAATATCAAATAACTTGCATAAATGCTAGCAAGTGGTAAAACTGAGATTCTAACTGATATGGTTTCGCTGTGTCCCCACTCATATCTCATCTTGAATTCCCATGTGTTGTGGGAGGGACCTGGTGGTAGGTAATTGAATCATGGGGGCAGGTCTTTCTGGTGCTGTTCTTGTAATGGTAAGACTCATGAGATCTGCTGGTTACTATAAGTGGGAGTTTTCCTGCACAAGCGCTCCTCTCTTTGCCTGCTGCCATACACATAAGACATGACTTGCTCCTTCTTGCCTTCCAGCATGATTGTGAGGCTTCCCCAGCCACATGGAACTGTAAGTCCAATTAAACCTCTTTCTTTTGTAAATTGCCATGTCTCAGGTATGCATTTATCAGCAGTGTGAAAATGGACTAAATACTAATCAAGTTCTTGACTTCTCAAAGTCCACATACTTGGTGACTATCAGTATTAATTACAGATATGAATTCAATGAGTAGATTTTAATCAAAAAGCTAACTAAAGCCTAATACTGTTCTCCATGTCATATACTAGTCCATTTGTGCCAAGTAAACTATTCTGGATGGGAAAAAAAATAAAGAAGATCACTTCAGTCCTCTATATGAGAACTTTTGATGGTTCCTCATTAAATAGATAATACAAGGTCCTTAATGGATAACTGTTTTAGGATAACTGTTTTTCTAGGCTCATCTCCCACAATTCCAGGTGCATGACTTATTTACCATTCCCTGAATGGTCCATGACTTTACTGCTAAGGTCAGAATTTTCTTTACCTGGTAAATTAATGCTTATCCTCCAAAACCCATAGAAAATGTCACCTCCTTAGTTAAGATATTCACAACTATCTGAATAAACCTGGTCCTATTTTGAGTTCCCACAGTATTGATGATGTGCATTTATTACAACATTTATCACAACCCTTTGTAATTTGCATGTCTGTCACTTCCCACAGTCTGCGAGTTCCTCCACAGCCGGTTTTTGGCTCTCCAGCCCTCCTATTCCATCTCTGTACCCTCCTCATCTAGAAGACCACATAGTAGACAGCATGCACTCAATAAATATCTATTAATAAACAAATTAATAAATGACAAGGGACCTTCACTTGATCAAATACCTTCAGTAGCTTCCCATCTGTTAAAAGAACTGCCCTGAATACAAAAGATATTCCAACTACCTTGGCCTTCTTTCCAGGCTCTTAATGATTAGACCTAGATGAAATTTTCTAACTAGTAACATTCCATTTATAATTACCAGCAAGTAGCTCCATTAGTCACCCACAATTCTCTGTCATGTTTTCCCAAACATGCTAAAGATATTCCTGCTGTCCTGTCTTAAAAAACTCATGGGGCAGTCTTGTTCAAAATGTCTTTCCCCCTCTTCTTTGTCTCTTCAAATTCTACACACTCCTCAGCGTCCAATGGTAGTCTGAACTCGTTATAAGACTCTCTATGACCTCGAGTGTAACCTAAACTTCTTCCTCTACATTCCTACATAAAATATATTAAATATCAAACCAATATAGCTAAAATAAATATGTGTTATAAGAATAACTTTGGTATGACAACTTTCAACTAAGTAACATGATAAATTCTTAATAAGCTGTCATCAAAACTGCAAAATTTAGTTTGTTCATTCAATCTACACATATTTGCTGACTGTTTACATGTGCCAGACATTAGGAGAGGACCTAAAAATATACTTGTGAAGATATAATTCCTAGCCTCAGGAAGTTACAGTCTACTGGAGGACACATTATAAACAAGCAAATAAATACAAAAACATCATCAACTGTGTTAACTGCAATGAAAAAAACTAGTGGGCATTAGAGAGATGGTAAAGGGTATTAGTAATACATTGTATGCTCTTTTATTATAGATAAGGTGGTCCAAGAAGACCTCTCTGAGTATTATTTAAGCTGCAACCTAGAAGGTGAAGAGGTCTCAGCCATGGTAAAAGCAGGGAGAAGATAATTTCAGGCAGAAAAACAGAACTGTGCAAAGGCTCACATAATACCCATAATTAAAGTAAAGCAAATAAATTGAAACTGAGGAAGACAAATACACATAAGGAAATGGTTTTGTGGGGGGAAAAGTAATTTACTAGTTGTGGTTATTTACACAAAGTAAGAGAGGGAATCCAGTCCTTACTTTCTTATCTGGGACTACAGTAAAAAACATGGGGAAAGAAACATAATCATGGATGCCATTCTGAGCAGAAGACTAAGAAGCAAGAAGATTATCAGACATCAATAAATATTCTTTAAATACTCTCATGAATGCATAATATTCCACTATACAGTTGTGTCATATTTTATTTCCCTTTTAAGTGGATATTTACAGTCTTCATACTTTGCAGTTATACATTATCATGTAATAAACATGTCTCCACCCACATCTCTGATTCTTTTCTAATGACAAATCCCCCAGAAGCCTTTCTACTGAGTGAAAGAATATAAATTATTTTAAGGGGTTTGACATTTATTACCAATTTGCTTCCCAAGAGTGCTTGTGCTGATCCCCTACAGAAGTAGATATAAAGAAGAAGTAGAAGGGCCAGGCGCAGTGGCACACGCCTGTAATCCCAGCACTCTGGGAGGCCGAAGCAGGTGGATCATGAGGTCAGGAGATTGAGACCATCCTGGCTAACACAGTGAAACCCTGTCTCTACTAAAAATACAAAAGATTAGTCGGGAGTAGTGGCGGAAGCCTGTAGTCCCAGCTACTCAGGAGGCTGAGGCAAGAGAATGGCGTGAACCCGGGAGGCAGAGCTTGCAGTGAGGTGAGCTCATACCACTGTACTCCAGCCTGGGCGACAGAGCGAGACTCCATCTCAAAAAAAAAAAAAAAAAAAAAAAAGAGAATAAGTAGAAATACTGTAGATGAGAAGAATTAAATAGATGTAGAATAAGAAGTGGATATAAAATAAAGATACCAATTTCTCATACCTTTGCCAACAAAGGTAATAATTTTAAGAAAATCTTTGCTAATTGATAGAGGAAAAAGATTTCGTTTTTAAATAGCTTTTTATATAATGTCCAAAATACTGCACATGCTCATGTCAGAAAAAACTGCAAAATATAGAAAAGCACACAGGAGGAAACAAAAATCATCTAGAATTCAATCATCCAAAAATTACAATTAATGTTTTGTGTACACATATCGAGTCTTTCTATGATACATATTTTTTTTTACAAAAAAGGGGATCACACCATACATGTTAGTTTAACTTTTTGAACTTAACAAATTGTTTAACTTTTAATATCTACAGAATATCACCATACAAGAATATCACAATATACTGTTAATTATCATGCTACTTTCAATTTTTCATTATTATTAACAATGCCGTGATAGGCACCCTTTGACTAAATCTTCCCACAGATCTTCCTTTACTTTATTAAGATAAATCAACGGCACAGACATGGCTAAGTCAAATAATTTGTACAATTTTAAGCCTTTTGATATGATACTGCGCAAATTATCCTCCAGAGAGGCTGTATTATTCTGAGTTCCCATATTCTCTACAACCTTGCCAAATGCTAGTATTAACAAAAACAATCCTTTGCTAATGTCACTGGCAAAAATCAGTTTTTGTCATTTACATTTGAGTTTAATTACTAGTGAAGTTGAATTCATACTCATATTTTTATTAGCCATTTGCATTTCTTCTCCTGTGAATTACCCATTCTGCTGCCCTATTTTTTCTTACAGTGCCAATATTTATTTTTTTATTTGTATTGCATTTAGTCATCATGTTTCCTTAGTCTCCTCTGGTATGTGACAGTTTCTTGGCTATTGGCTATGTTTTGTTCCTGATGACCTTGACAGTTTTTTGGGTTGTTGTTGTTGTTTTGAGACAGGGTCTTGCTCTGTCACCCAGGCTGGAGTGTGGTGCCACTATCATGGCTCACTGCAGCCTCGACCTCCTGGGTTCAAGTAAACCTCCCACCTCTCACATACCCTATTGCTGCTGGGGGAGAGGTAGAAGCAAACATCTTGTTTCTGGGAGAGCAGGAGAGAATCCTCATTGGCCCAGGATTCTGATGCCAAGCAGAGGTTTGCTACTGCTCAGGAAAGGGCAGATTAAGTACCACCCCTGGGGTTCAAATGAACAGGGACTGCCTAAAGCTAAGGCTGAACCAGGACAATAGAAAACCACCTATGACACCACCATAAGCCTAGCACTGAGTAACAAGCAGCATCAGTCAACCACTAGTGAAGGGGCAAGGATATGAATAGAGACTCCCCCTCTGTGATGGAGGCATGATGGGACTGAGGAAAGCCAACAGTGGAACAGAAACACTGAAGAAAAACCATCTGGTACCCCAGGCTCCAGGTACCAGGTAACAGCAGCCCAAGTACACTGAACATAATGATACCAACATCAAAATCCAAATCCACCTCAACTCCAGACTAGGTTGACTCAATGTCACAGGCAATTGGCCTGATGGGAGAGGCGTGCCTATATCCAGACACAAAATACCATCTACCTCAGTCTCTACTGTTCTTGTATACATGATGTTTGCCATTAAACTAAAAATTATAAGACATACACAAAATAAAACACACACACACACACACACACACAGGCATGCACATTACCAAGAGATAAAGCTATCAACAGAACGAGACTCATTTATGACCTAGATGTTGGAAATATCAGGGGCTTTAAAATAACTGTTCTTTCACTTTTCTCATCATTAAACTGGAAGAAAATCTTTTCCCTTTTTAATCACTTCAAAAGATAACTAATATTCTATGGTAGGCGCAGTGGCTTCTGCCTGTAATCCCAGTACTTTGGGAAGCTTAGGCAGAACTGCCTGAGGCCAGGAGTTTGAGACCACCCTGAGTAACGTAGCAAAACACTATCTCTACAAATTTTTTTTTTTTTTTGAGACGGAGTCTCGCTCTTGTTATCCAGGCTGGAGTGCAATAGCACAATCTCAGCTCACCGCAACCTCTGCCTCCTGGGTTCAAGCGATTCTTCTGCCTCAGCTTCCCGAGTAGCTGGGATTACAGGCAGGCATTGCCACCATGCCCGGCTAATTTTGTATTTTTAGTAGAGACAGGGTTTCTCCATGTTGGTCAGGCTGGTCTTGAACTCCCGACCTCAGGTGATCTGCCCACCGTGGCCTCCCAAAATGTTGGGATTACAGGTGTGAGCCATCACGCCCAGCTAAAACTTTTTTTAATAAAAAATAAATTAGCTGGGTGTGCTAGCTCACACTTGTACTCTCAGCTACTTAGGAGGCTAAGGGAGGAAAATCACTTGAGCCCAGGAGTTTGAGGCTACAGTGAACCATGATCATAACACTACACTGCAGCCTGGATGACAGAGCAAGACCTTTTAAAAAAAAAAGATAATCAAGACTCTAAAGCAACCACTAAAAATGTATTGTGGGGTTTATAACTGTATTTGATAATTTCCTGGACTCTGTCCTATGTGCCTTTTCTTTTGACAAATTTTAATCTGTCTCCTTCAGCTGTAATAAACTGTAACTGTGAGTATAACAGCTTACAATGAGTTCTGTCAATTCTCCTAGTGAATTATCAATCCTAAAGGAAGTTCTGGAAACCCCTGAACTTGCAACTGATGTCATAAGTGAGGGCTGACTTGTGCATGGCTTCAAAACTTTGCAATTGACTAACCACAAAGTCCTTTAACAGAAATGTATCTTGAAAGTATTTTCTTCCAGTCCATGACTTGTCTTTTCATTCTCTTAACAGTATCTTTCTCAGAGTAGAAGTGATATGGTTTAGCTGTGGCCCCACCAAAATCTCATCTTGAACTGTAATTCCCTTAATCCCCATGTGTCATGGGAAGGACCAGGTGGGAGGTAATTGAATCATGAGGGCGGGTTTTTCCCATGCTGTTCTCATGATAGTGAATAAGTCTTACAAGATCTGATGGTTTTATAAAGGGCAGTTCCTCTGCACACGCTCTCTTGCCTGCCATCATGTAAGACGTGACTTTGTTCCTCCTTTGCCTTCTGCCATGATTGTGAGGCCTCCCCAGCCATGTGGAACTGTGAGTCCATTAAACCTCTTCTCTTTATAAATTACCAAATCTCAGGTATTTCTTCATAGCAGTATGAAAATGGACTAATACAAGAAGTTTTAATTTTAACAAACACCAACATCAGTTTTCTCTTTCATGAATCATGCTTTTGGCGTTGTATCTAAAAATCATTGCCAAACCCAAGGTTACACAGATTTTCTTCTAGAAGTTTTATAGTTTTATATTTTACATTAGGTCTATGATCCCTTTTGAGTTAATTTTTTGTGAAAGGTATAAGGTCTATGCCTAGGTTCATTTTTTTGCATACGGACTTTGATTGTTCTAGCATCATTTGTTGAAAAAACCCATTCTTCCATTAAACTGTCTTTGCTCCTTTTTCAGAGATCAGGTGACTATATTTGGGTGAGTCCATTTCTGCACTCTTTATTCTGTTCTACTGATATATGTGTCCATTCTTTTGCCAATAACACATTATCTTGATTACTGCAGCTTTATAGTAGGCCTCAAAAATCAGGTAATGTGAGTCTTAGATATGGTTTTTGACAATTCCTGAGTCTATCTTTTAAACTTATATGTTAACATATTCATTTTTATTCTAATTACTAATAAGGTGGTCTTATATTTGTCACTCTATTATGTTCACTGCTCTTCAACACTATCGCTTATTGTCTTTTGCTAATAACAGTGCAGACATTTTCTTTTTCCTAATAACACTGTAAATAGTGTTTCTTTTTTTTTTTGAGATGAAGTCTCGCTCTGTCACCAGGCTGGAGTGTTGTGGCATGATCTTGGCTCACTGCAACCTCCATCTCTTGGGTTCAAGTGATTCTCCTGCCTCAGCCTCCTGAGAAGCTGGGACTGTAGACATGTGCCACCACGCCCGGCTAATTTTTGTACTTTTGTACTTTTAGTAGAGACGGGGTTTCACCATGTTGGCCAGGATGGTCTCGATCTCTTGACCTCGAGATCCGCCTGCCTCAGCCTCCCAAAGTGCTGGGATTACAGGTGTGAGCCACTGTGCCTGGCCAGTGTTTCTTTTTCTTTCTTTTCTTTTCTTTTCTTTTTTTTTTTTTTTTTTTTACCATTTATTAGTGCAGCAGAAAATCTGTGATGAATTTTATATATAGCTTTTTGTAGCAGTCTCTTTTCTACCTCTTGCCTGGACGCTTTTTTTTTTTTTTTTTTTTGAGACGGAGTTTCGCTTTTTTGCCCAGGCTGGAGTGCAATGGCTTGATCTCGGCTCACCACAACCTCTGCCTCCCGGGTTCAAGCAATTCTCCTGCCGCAGCCTCCCAAGTGGCTCGGATTACAAGCATGGGCCACCATGCCCGACTAATTTTTTTGTATTTTTAGTAGAGACGGTTTTTCTCCTTGTTGGTAAGTCTGGTCTCGAACTCCCGACCTCAGGTGATCTGCCCGCCTCGGCCTCCCAAAGTGCTGGGATTACAGGCGTGAGCCACCGTGCCCGGCGATGCTTATTTTATTATTTTTTTTGAGACGGAGTCTCGCTCTGTCGCCCAGGCTGGAGTGCAGTGGCACGATCTCGGCTCACTGCAAGCTCCGCCTCCCGGGTTCACGCCATTCTCCTGCCTCAGCCTCCCAAGTAGCTGGGACTACAGGCTCCTGCCACCACGCCCGGCTAATTTTTTTGTATTTTTAGTAGAGACGGGGTTTCACTGTGTTAGCCAGGATGGTCTCGATCTCCTAACCTCGTGATCCACCCACCTCGGCCTCCCAAAGTGCTGGGATTACAGGCGTGAGCCACCGCGCCCGGCCGCTTATTTTTACTCTTATTTATTTATTTATTTTTGGAGACTGAGTCTCACTCTATCACCCAGGCTGGAGTGCAGTGGTGCGATCTTGGCTCACTGCAACCTCCACCTCCTGGGTTCAAGCGATTCTCCTGCCTCAGCCTCCCAAGTAGCTGGGATTACAGGCGCATGCCACCACACTCGGCTAATTTATTTTTACAAGCAGATAAAGGTTTCTTTTATTTTAATGGCTGATCTATGTAATCACGGAGGCCAGTATGTACAGACAAAGGGGGAGCTTTTATTTCTTGGTCTCTTCCTCCTTAGACAAAGTCTTGATGATCTCCTCCTTCTTGGCCTGCAGGCGTTCTTCACCGTGCTTGCGTGCTTCCTTGGTCTTAGACCTGGGGGCCTCAGCCTGGTCAGCCAGGAGCTTCTTGCGGGCCTTGTCTGCCTTCAGCTTGTGGATGTGCTCCATGAGAATCCGCTTGTTTTTGAACACATTTCCCTTCACCTTCAGGTACAGGCTGTGATACATATGGCGATCAATCTTCTTAGATTCACAGTATCTTCTAAGCAGCCGGCGCAGAATCCACATGACCTTCTCTGGCATTCGCGCATTGGCTGTACCCTTCCGCTTACCTATGCCACTGTGCCTGCCTTCCGGCGGGCCAAGGTCTTTTTCCGGCATCAAGCCCAGGAATGGACTGTCAACAGGCTTGCTGATGATCAGCTCATCTTTGATCAGCTTCCGCATCTGCTGACGGGAGTTGGCATTGGCAATTTCACTGGTCTCATTCGGGTCCAACCAGACCTTCTTCTTGCCACAGCAGAGGACAGAAGAGGCGAGCCTCTTCTGAAGCCTGAGCATACTCATGGCTGCGGCGGCGGCAGCAGCAAAAGGGTTTTTTTTTTTTTTTTTTTTTTTTTTGAGCCGGAGTCTCGCTCTGTCGCCAGGCTGGAGTGCAGTGGCGCGATCTTGGCTCACTGCAACCTCTGCCTCCCCCGGATTCAAGTGAATCTCCTGCCTCAGCCTCCCAAGTAGCTGGGACTACAGGCGTGCACCACCACGCCCAGATAATTTCTGTATTTTTACTAGAGATGGGGTTTCATCATGTTGGCCAGGATGGTCTCGATCTGTTGACCTCATGATCTGCCCATCTCGGCTTCCCAAAGTGCTGGGATTACAGGTGTGAGCTGCCACACCCGGCCTAATTTTTGTATTTTTTAGTAGAGACAGAGTTTCACCACGTTGGCCAGGCTGGTCTCGAACTCTTGACCTCAAATGATCTGCCCACCTCGGCTTCCCAAAGTGCTGGGATTACAGGCGTGAGCCACCGTGCCCGGCCCTAAATAATTTCTTTTAAAATTCCAACACAGAAGAGTACAAAGGATGATCCAAGATCCTGTGAAATCATCCTTATTTCTTCTCTCTCTAGGTCCCTGAAGTCAAAGTGTATTTGGGATCAAATCTGAGACCTCCTTCTTATTAGTTATACAATCTTAGGGAAGTAATTTAACCTCTTTACCTCCGTGTTCTTGGGAATAACCATTTACTTAGATTTAATTAGCTAATTCATGAAGGCTTTAATATAGAATCTGGTACTCAATATATATTTAGTTATTATTATTATAATTGCTGACATCTCAGTTGGTTTCCTTCTATGGCAATCTGCTATCTTCTACATATTTTTCAGATTCATTAAACAAACCCCATGAGAATAAAGAAAATACCATCTAATATTGTTTCCTTTCTCAACTTTTTCAAAGTATAATTTTTTTCTGTTTCTTAAATATCAGATGTCCTTCTTTTATTTTGCAGAATCTCTTTCCTTTTTTTTTTTTTTTTGAGACGGAGTTTCACTCTTGTTGCCCAGGCTGGAGTGCAGTGGCACGATCACGATCTCGGCCCATTGCAACCTCTGCCTCCCGGGTTCAAGTGATTCTCCTGCCTCAGCCTCCCCAGTAGCTGGGACTACAGGTGCCCACCACAACACCGGGCTAATTTTTGTATTTTTAGTAGAGACAGGATTTCGCCATGTTGGCCAAGCTGGTCTCGAATTCCTGACCTCAGGTGATCCGCCCACCTTGGCCTCCCAAAGTGCTGCGATTACAGGTGTGAGCCACCACACCTGGTCGTGTTTTGAAGAATTTCTTAATAAATCCCACGATGCCTTTAAAAATTTCTGTCAATTATTTGAAAGTTGAGAAATCTATCCAGGTTTGGTGTTTTCTAAGAAAAAAGTTAAGTAAATTCTAGGTGGTCTCTGTCCACCTAGGTATTATTTGACTTTTTTTTTTTTTTTTTTTAGACCAAGTCTCGCTTTGTCACCCAGGCTGGAGTGCAGTGGCAGTATCTCAGCTCACTGCAACCTCCGCCTCCCGGGTTCAAAGGATTCTTCTGCCTCAGCCTCCCAAGTAGCTGGGACTACAGGCAAATGCCACCATGCCTGGCTAATTTTTGTACTTTTTTTTTTTTTTAGTAGGGATGGGATTTCACCATGTTGGCTAGGCTGGTCTCAAAATCCTGACCTCAAGTGATCCGCCCACCTTGGTCTCCCAAAGTGGTGGGATTACAGGCGTGAGCCACTGTGCCTGGCCTGACTTTAAACTTTATCCACACAAGCCAGACCTAGTATTGAGCAGTCACATAATACTATGGCTCTCACCTATTTGGAGGATTAAAGATCCCTTTGAGGATCAAATTAAAATTATATACTATCTAGAGCACACAATTTTGCTCATCAATTCAGTTTGTCATGACTTAAAGTCAATTTGTGGATCTAATGTAGGGATCCCCTGATTTACTATGGCGCTGATAAACTAAGGAAGATCTTCTGACCCTGTTGTCTTGTTCCATGTGCACGTGATTGGCAATCTAATCCTACATACTTTGAAACAGAATATAGTTCTCCCCTAGTCAAAAACAGGACCTAACCAAGAGTTGTTTAACCTGGTGACTGGTTTATTAAACTGTTCTCTTTACTCTTGTAAATATCTGAAATTTTCCATAATAAAAAGCTTAATCTGTGTGTCTGTCTAAAGTAGGGCCTGAGAAAAGGCATACTACTCCCATGGATTTTCTTCTCTTTGCCCCTTCTCACCACTACCTTCATCACATCTGAAAACGTACCCCCAACAAATCCACTTCTGCCACTGCCTTTACAGAGCTGTGGTCACTAAGGGAAGTACAGAGGTAATGATAAGAGAGATGGGAGGGAGAAAAAGAGCCCTGGATGTTGCAGATAGCAGTTGCAACACGGCGTTGGTGTTGGTGGGAAGCTGCCAAGTTTCTGGTTGGTAAAGATCCTACTTCCTTAAATTTGTAGGTATGAAGTAGAGAAGGGTAGAAATCTACCTTTTTCCTGCCTGTCCCCGCTATTTTGTCTCAGGGATCAATCTTCATTTCTACTCATCGAAATTCCTCCTGTTGCCTGGCACATTTTAATCTGTATTGCCAATCTCTATTTGTAGCTTTGCTTTTTTGTGTATATTCCCAAATTTGACCGAAGCATAAGACAGAAAATTAAGTTGGGTCCCACCAGCTAGCTATCATCTAAATTCAGGCTTCCCCATTGATTTTTTGAGCCCAAAAGGTCCTAAAATAATCTAGCACACATTCAACCTGGGAAAAGCAGATAAGTGGAAGCAATAGCTTCTCATGTGCTCTTGCCCCCCTTCAGCCTTCAGCCACACTACAATCTTACATAAACAGAAATATGCCTATTGATACTATTGAGCATATTAAATACAGTATAGTAAAAAAGAAAGTGGCATTTTCTCTCAAGGATCTCTAATCCAGATTAACAACGTTGAAAGACTTCCAATAGATGTGAAGTTTAAACTGAAGCACTGTAGCAACTGAGAAAAGAAAAGAACTTTTATCTGAGGAATGCAAGTCCTTTTAAATATCAGGCCCAGATAGATATTAAAATGAGATTACAATCATGCCTACTCCCCTCCTTTGAGCTATGTATTCATCTGTTTAAACTGCTTACTATTGCCATAAGTAGCCATAAATTAGCTTAATAATCCACATCAGGTGTGAATTATAATAACACTATAATCCATACCTTATAGGTTAACAACGTATAGTCAATCACTAATCAATTCTCACTGGTTCTGTAAACCAGTGAGAATTCCTAGCAAACAACTTTGTACAGTCCACCCCCTGTCCCCCTATTTTGCCTTTCAAACTCCACTTGTAACTGCTGCTAACAGGAGTGTATATTCAGGGAAACTTGAATCTATGTTCCCAGGTTGTAATCCTCAAGTTTGGCCCAAATAAACTCTCCACTTATATTAGTTTTGCCTCCATTTCTTCATTTTAGGTTGACATATCCAATTAGAAACACTCAAGTTAATTCACAATAATGTGTGCTTGATAAAACTTGCAAATTAGTGAACTAATATGCTTTTTTTTTTTTTTTTTTGAGATGGAGTTTCGCTCTTGTTGCCCAGGCTCCAGTGCAGTCAGTGGCGCGATCTTGGTTCACTGCAACCTCCGCCTCCCGGGTTCAAGTGATTCTCCTGCCTCAGCCTGCCAAGTAGCTGGGATTAAAGGCTCCTGTCACCACACCCAGCTAATTTTTGTATTTTTAGTAGAGACGCGGTCTCACCACGTTGGCCAGGCTGATCTTGAGTTCCTGACCTCAGGTGATCCACACACCTCGGCCTCCCAAAGTGTTGGGATTACAGGTGTGAGCTACCACTCCTGGCCCTAATATGCTAATTATTAGACACTTTCAAACTGAAAAATAAGCACACAGAGAATATCAAAACCAATTAGCATAAAGAGGTGCTCTGAGATTAGCTGGGTGTGGTGGCTCACACCTGTAATCCTAGCACCTTGGGAGGATGAGGTGGGCTCATTTCTTGAGCCCAGGAGTTCAAGACCAGCCTGGGCAACATGGTGAAACCTCGTCTCCACTAAAAATACAAAAATTAGCTGGGCATGGTGGCATGTACCTATCATCTCAGCTACTCAGAAGGCTGAGGTAGGAGAATTGCTGGAGCCTGGGAGACAGATTGCAGTGAGCCGAATTTATACCGCTATACTCCAGTCTGGATGACAGAGAGAGACCCTGTCTTAAGGGAAAAAAAAAAAAAATCAAAAGAAGAGAAAAAAGATTAGTAGAGGTATAGTTTTCTAAATTCCTCCTAGTTTTGTCAGTAATATTTCAGATTAATAAAATATTTCTAAAGAAAGATATAAATGCAGAGCCGTTTTCAACCTCTGATTTGAAAGACCTGATTTTTTATTTTATAGGGTCTCGCTCTTTTGCCCAGGCTGGAGTACGGTGGTACAATCACAGCTCACTACAACCTTGACTTCCCAGGCTCAAGCAACCCTCCCACCTCAGCCTGCCCAGTAGCTAGGATTACAGGAGTATGCCACCATGCCTGGCTAATTTTTAATTTTTTTGTAGAGACAATGTGTTACTATGTTGCTCAGGCTGGTCTCAAACTCCTGGGCTCATGTGATCCTCTTGCCTCAGCCTCCCAAAGTGGTGGGATTACAGGCATGAGCCACTGTGCCCAGCCCGAAAGACGTAATTTGAACTGCCTCTATCACTTGGGAAATTAACTGCTCTGAGTCTCCGTTTTATCCACCTCTAAAATGGGCATCATAATAGCATCTATCTTGAAGAAGGTTCTGAGGATTATATGAAATAACGAATATGAAGGGCTTCTTGTAGTTCCTGGCATATAGCACTCAAAACACAGCAGATTTCTTATAAAAAGTGTTCATCCTCTGAAAATAGTGAGAGAAAGTAAGATGGCAACTAAGGTTAAAAGGTACTTCAGAAAAGGAATACAAACAAAGAAAATAACAAAACAAAACCATTTTAAGTAAACTACGGCCCAATATCCCTCATGAACACTCACAAAAATTCTAAATGAAATTTTAGCTAACTGAATTCTAGAATATATAAAAAGGATAACATATGCCTGAGTTTATCCCATGAATGGCAGAAGGTTGATTTAACATTGGAAAATCAATCAATATAATTCCCCATATCATCAGAATAAAAAAGAAGAACTACACTATCATCTTCAATAGATGCAGGTAAGGCATTTAACAAAATTCAACAATTATTCATGACAAAAACTCTCAGCAGACAAGGAATAGATGGGAACTTACTCAAAATGCTAAAAAGCAACTATAGAAAACCCATAGCTAAAAATCATACTTATGGTAAAAAAATTGAATGCTTTTCCCCTAAAATCAGGAACAAGACAATGATGTATACCTTTACTATTCTGACAATGAACTAGAGGGCTTAGCCAGTGTAATAAAGGAAATGAAAGGTATAAAATAAGAAAGGAATACGTAAAATTTGTTTGTACATAAACAAAATATTGGTCTATATGGAAAATCCTATAGAATCTATATAAATGGACTAGGAGTGAGTTTGGCAAGGTCACAGGCAACAAGGTCAATATACAAAAGCCAACTGTATTTCTATCTTCTGCCAACAAAACAAAATCAGATATTAAAAATTTTAAACATATTATTTACAATAGCATAAAATATTAAATATTTAGGGATAAATCTAACAAAATTGTACAAGAGTTATACAATGGAAACTGCAATAGATTGCTGAAACTATAGAAGACAAATTAATGGAGAGAAAAAACATGTTTATAAATCAGAAGATTCAGGCTGGGTGTGGTGGCTCACACCTGTAATCCCAGCACTTTGGAAGGCTGAGGCGGGCAGATCACAGGCCGAGGTCAGGAGTTCGAGCCTGGCCAACATGGTAAAACCCCATCTCTACTAAAAATACAAAAATTAGCTGGGCGTGGTGGCAAGCGTCTGTAATCCCAGCTACTCGGGAGGCTGAGGCAGAATCGCTTGAACCCAGGAGGCGGAGCTTGCAGTGAGCCAAGATCCAGCCACTGCACTCCAGCCTGGGTGACAGAGCAAGACTTCATCTCAAAAAAAAAAAAATAATAAAAAAAAAAGATCCTTTATGATAATGGTTCTTGTTTTCATCTTTACTCTTATCCCAGACACCTATCCTTCTGCGACACTGAATTGCTTTTAGTTCCCTGTTTTCTCTTCTAGCCTTTCTATATGCTCCCAGTGGCGGGACACGGTGGCTCACGCCTGTAATCCCAGCACTTTAGGAGGCCGAGGCAGGCGGATCACAAGGTCAGGAGATCGAGACCATCCTGGCTAACACGGTGAAACCCTGTCTCTACTAAAAACACAAAAAAATTAGCCGGGTGTGGTGGCACGTGCCTGTAGTCCCAGCTACTCGGGAGGCTGAGGCAGGGGAATGGTATGAACCTGGGAGGCAGAGCTTGCAGTGAGTCACGATCACGCCACTGCACTCCAGCCTGGGTGACAGACAGAGCGAGACTCTGTCTCAAAAAAATAAAAATAAAATAAATATATACTCCCAGCTACTTGGGAGGTTGAGGCAGGAGAACTGCTTGAATCTGAGAGGCAGAGGTTGCAATGAGCTGAAATCACTCCACTGCACTCCAGCCTGGGTGACAGAGTGAGACTCCATCTCAAAAAATCAATCAATCAATCAGGAGATTAAAAATTGTTAATATGTCAATTCTTCCCAAATTTATCTATAGATCAATGTAATCCTAATCAAATCTCAGCAGATATTTTTTGTAGAAATGTATAAGGTTGATTCTAAAATTTATATAAAATGCAAAGGACCTAGTATAGCTCAAACAACTTTGTAAAATAACAAAATCGAAAGATTACACTATCTGGTTTTAAGGCTTAGTATGCAGCTACAGCAGAGTTTCTCAACCTTGGCACTACTGACATTTTGGACCAGCTAATTTTTTGTTCTGGAAGACTCTCCTGCGCATTGCAGAATCTTTAGCACCATCCCTGGCCTCTACCTCTACCCAGGGGCAACCTTCCTGCCTACCCCCCAAGTTGTGACAATCAAAAATGTCTCCAGGCCTGGCGCGGTGGCTCAGGCCTGTAATCCAGCACTTTGGGAGGCCAAGATGGGTGGATTACTTGAGATCAGGTGTTTGAGACCAGCCTGGCCAATGTGGTGAAACCTCATCTCTACTAAAATTACAAAAATTGGCTGGGCGTGGTGGTGTGCACCTGTAATCCCAGCTACTCGGGAGGCTGAAGCGGGAGAATTGCTTGAGCCTGGGAGGCGGAGGTTGCACCACTGCACTTCAGCCTGGGAGACAGAGAGAGATTCCATCTCAAAAAAAAAAAAACCGTCTCCAGATATTGCCAAATGTCCCCTAGGGGCAAAATTGTCCTTCATTGAGAACCACTGAGCTACCAAGAGAGTACAGTATTGGCATGAAGATAAGACACGTACATCAATGGAACAGAACAGAATCTAGAAACAGATCCTCAATTACATAGTCAATTGATATTTGACAAAGGTACAAAGCAATTCTATGGGAAATGATAATCTTTTTTGACTGGTTGTTGCTGGAATGATTGGATATTCATATGATACAAAAATAAACCTTTCCTCTCATTCCATATATAAAAATTAACTCAAAATTTATCATAAGGCTGGACTTAGTGACTCATGTTTGTAATCCCAGCACTTTGGGAAGCTGAAGCGGGAGGATTGCTTGAGCCCAAGAGTTCGAGACCAGCCTAGCCAACATAGGGAGACCTCATCTCTACAAAAAATTTAAAAATTAGCTGGGTGTGGTTGCACATGTCTGTAGTCCCAGCTACCCGGGAGGCTGAGGTGGGAGGATAGCTTGAGCCCAGGAGGTCAAGGCTTCAGTGAGCTGTGACTGCACTACTGCACTCCGGCCAAGCAAGACTGTCTTGGAAAAACACAAAAAACAAAACTTACCATAGACTTAAATTTAAGAGCTAAAATTAGAAAACTTCTAGGAAAGTTCTAGGAAAATAAAGGAATATAGCAACGTAAAAACTTATAGGAAAATGTACGAGAAAACCTTAGTATTGGCCGTGCGCGGTGGCTCACGCCTATAATCCCAGCACTTTGGGAGGCCAAGGCGGGCAGATCACAAGGTCAGGAGATCATGACCATCCTGGCTAACACGGTGAAACCCTGCCTCTACTAAAAAAAAAAAATACAAAAAAATTAGCCGGGCGTGGTGGTGGGCGCCTGTAGTCCCAGCTACTCAGGAGGCTGAGGCAGGAGAATGGCGTGAACCCAGGAGACGGAGCTTGCAGTGAGTGGAGATCGAGCGGAGATCAGCCTGGGCGACTGAGCGAGACTCTGTCTCAAAGAAAAAAAAAAAGAAAACCTTAGTATTATTGGCTTAGGCAAAAATTTCTTTTCTTTCCTCTTTTTTTTCTGAGATGGGGTTTCACTATGTTGCTGAGGCTGGTCTCTAACTCCTGGGCTCAAGGGATTCTCCCACTTCCGCCTCCCAAAGTAGCTGGAACTACTAGGCTGGGTAGTCTCCCTCCCAAGGGTAGTCCACCCCTCCCAAGGGTAGTTCCGCCTCCCAAGTAGCTGGAACTACCCTGCCTGGCTTAGATTTCCCTTTTCTTTTTTTTCTTTTTTTTTGAGATGGAGTCTTGCTCTGTCGCCCAGGCTGGAGTGCAGTGGCATGAACTCAGCTCACTGCAAGCTTTGCCTCCTGGGTTCACGCCATTCTCCTGCCTCAGCCTCCCTAGTAGCTGGGACTACAGGCACCTGCCACTACGCCCGGCTATTTTTTGTATTTTTAGTAGAGATGGGGTTTCACCGTGTTAGCCAGGATGGTCTCGATCTCCTGGCCTCGTGATCCACTTGCCTCAGCCTCCCAAAGTGCTGGGATTACAGGCGTGAGCCACCGCGCCCAGCCCAGATTTCTTAAATAGGATACAAAGAACCACAAACTATCTTTTTTAATTGAAAAACTGCACATTAAGTGATATAGTTTAGATGTTTGTCCGCTCCAAATCTCATGCTGAAATGTAATCCTCAATGTTGGAGGTGGGGCCTGATGGGGGTGTTTGGGTCATGGGGGAGGATCCCTCATGAATGGCTTGGTGTCATCCCTATGGTAATGAGTAGTTCACATGAGATCTGGTTGTTTAAAACAGTATGGCACCTCCCTCCATCTCTCTTGCTCCCTCTCTTGCCACGTGACTTGCTGACTCTCCTTTGCCTTCTGCTATGACTGTAGACTTCCCAAGGCCCTCACCGGAAGTAGATGCTGGCACCATGCTTCCTGTACAGCCTGCAGAACCATGAGCCAAAATAAACTTCTTTTCTTTATAAATTATCCTGCCTCATGAGTCCTTTATAGCAACATAAACAGACTGATGTATCAAGATATAAAACATGTCTGCTCTTCAAAATCTCTTAACTTTAAAAAGTTAAGACTGAGAAAGTAGAACCTCATGAGCTTTCTAATCTGGATTTTAAGCAGGAGATATTGGAAAAGCCTTTAAAAAGTTAAGAGAAGAAAAAGACACATGACAGCCTGGGAGAAAATGTTTGCAAAATACACATGTGATAAAGGACTTGTAACATGAATAAGACAATAACAAGACAAACAACTCAATAAAAAATCTGCAAAAGATTTAAACACTTATGTAACCAAAGAAAATATGCTGATGGCAAATAAGCACATGAAAAGATTCGTAATATCATTAGTCATTAGGGAAATACAAATTAAAACCACACTGAGCACCAAACTCACTTGAATCACTAAAATAGAAAACAAAAAAAACTGACCATACCAAGTGCTGGCAAGGACACAGGGCACTAGAACTCTCATACACATTGCTGATGGGAATGCCAACTTGTACAAACACTTTGGGAAACATGTTTGGTAATTGCTTATAAAGTTAAATATACACTTACCATATGACCCAGCAATTCCACTTCTAGGTATTTACCTTAGAGAGATGAAAACTTATGTCAACACATAAGCTTGTATTTGAATGTTCACAGCAGTTTTATTAATAATGCTCCACAAGTGAAACAACAAAAATGTTCATCAACCCATGACTGGATATACAAATGGTGGTATATCATATAATAGAATACTATTCAGTAATAGAAAAGAACTACTGATTCACACAACATGAATGAATCTTGAAAACATTATGCTAAGTACAAGAATCCAGACACAAAATGAGATTAATAAAATATCAAAAAATATTCTATATGGCTAAAAATAATTATGACTTTAGTAGCTGGTTTTGCCTATATGAATCATTGACACTATGTTTTGTTATTTATGTATCAGTTCTCCTTAAATCAACTATAAACCCTCTGCTATAGGGGTTACCGTGTATCTCAGGTGGCACTTCATAATATTAACACCTCGTGTTTGTATATCAATGCACAGGTTTCATAATTCTCATCCACTGAAACAACTGGCATGTAGTATGCATATTGCAATGAAGTCAACATACCTAGGTTCAAATCCCAGCTGATTTGTGATTTGTCAACATACCTAGGTTCAAATCCCAGTCAACATACCTAGGTTCAAATCCCAGTGTGTGGTCTGCAGTAAGTCATTTTACCTTTATGAGATTCACTTTTCTTATTCATGAAACTAAAAAGCATGGATCAAGTGGGGAAAGACAGTGTTAGGGACATAAGAGATGGTACAATCAACAATTCTAATGCATGTAAGACTATTAAGGACAGAAACCTCCAGAGACGTGAAGGGCCAAAAGTTATACTTGAACCTGATTTTCAGAAGAGCCAAAGACTGAGAAAGAAGAACCTCATGAGCTTTCTGATCCAGATTTTAAGCAGATATTGGATATTGGAAAAGTCATCACAGAGATAACTAGTTTGTGGCAGACAACAATCATAAAAACATCCACTTTTGATCCTGCAATGCAGTCAGTCTCCTCCTATCACTGGGAATGGGATTCAACAAGCATTGAATTGTTCATCTACATATAAGAGAAATGAGCTATTTTAGATTATCATAAAACAGGTTAATTTTATTCTTCTGGTGTGTTGTGGCCATAGTAATCCATCTCAGTAAGAGATAAAACATAGGTTCAGATATTTGGTATATGTACTTGGATGAGAATCTACAATTGGTGGAATTATAAATGCCTATCAATCCAAAGACAGAATCACTCACGGGACATATGGTAGCCCCAGGAAGCTTCATTAGGGATTTGCTGTGTACCTACCATGTGCCAAAAACAGGCACTCTGCTAGGCAAGGTCACTTGTTTTATCATTTAATCCTCACAATAGCCCTTATGAAAGTGCATGATCACTCCCATTTTAGAGATAAGAAAATCGACATTTTGAAACATGACAAATTTGCCCAAGAAGTCACCTTTAGTATGTGACAAGGCTAACATTTAAACTCAGACCTATTTGATTCCATGTCCTTAAAACCTATTATCATTACATAAAGCCCAGCTTCCAATTATTGAAGCTAGTACAATCCTAGAAAATAGTAGGCTTTATCATTTTTTTTCCTGCTTCCAAGAGGAAACAGATATTATCTCCAGCTACCAGAGGGGAACCTGAAGCTTATATATAAAGTGATAACACAAGTTCTTGAATCTTGGAATTACTAGCCCTTTTGCTGCATTAGCATTCTACTGAGATTCATGATGACAATCAAGAAAAGGTGGAGGAGAAAAGTGCATGCAATTATAAGACCAAGTGTTTTCATTCTTGGAAAGCCCACATGCATTTATTAAGTACCTTTTTTTTTTTTTTTTTTTTTTTTTTTTTTGAGACAGAGTCTCGCTCTGTCGCCCAGGCTGGAGTGCAGTGGCATGATCTCGGCTCACTGCAACCTTCGCCTCCCAGGTTCAAGCGATTCTCCTGCCTCAGCCTTCTGAGTAGCTGGGATTACAGGTACGCGCCACCACATCCGGCTAATTTTTGTATTTTTAGTAGAGATGGGGTTTCACCATGTTGGTCAGGCTGGTCTCGAACTCCTAACCTCATGATCTGCCCACCTCGGCCTCCCAAAGTGCTGGGATTACAGGCATGAGCCACCATGCCTGGCTACTGAGTACCTATTATAGGTCAAGCACAGTGCTTGGCACTGGGGATATAACAGTGAATTAAAAAAAAAAAAAAAAAGACAGTTTATTCCCATGGAGAAGTTTCACCCTAGTGGGAAGATACTGGCAACTAAATAGACAATTAAAATATAGTGCGGTAAATATAGAAGCGGGATAGCACAGGGTATCACAGGTGCACAGAGAAGACAAACTAAACCCAGAAAGGCTGTCAGATAAAATATAAGATACCTAGTTAAATTTGAATTTTAGATGAACAATGAATAATTTTTTAGTAGAAGTATGTTCCAAATATTGTCCTCTACTTGCTATATCTGGCAACCCTTGGTGGGAGTGATGTTTAGAAAAAGCATCTCAGAATAAATGATACCTAAGACAAAAACCAAACTACTCTTACTTGTCCCCAACAAATCTGGACCCTGAAAAAGTATGTTATTTGCTGCCCTGTGGAGACAACCATGTGACAAGGATCTGAAGTCAACAGCAGTCAGCAAGGAACTGTAAGCTCTTGCCAATATCCATGTATGAATATGTGAGCCATCCTGGAAGGACATCTTCCAGCCCTAGTCCAGCCTGCAGATGACTACAGCCCTGGCCAATTGCTTGACTACAACCTCATGAGGGACCCTGAGGCAGAAATACCTACGTAAGCCACTCCCAGATTGCTGATCCTCAGAAACCATGTGAGATGAATGTTTGTTTTAAGCTGTTAAATTTTAGAGTAATTATTATGCAGTAATAGGAAGTAATGCCCTGCTGATTAGAGGAGAACTGTGTTTCTTATGAACAGGCCTACACTCATTCATTCACTGGCCATGTGGAGTCACCATCAGTGTGACCTCAGCAAGAATGAGGTGGTGGATCCAGAGGGACCACAGCTGGGACTGTCAGTCATTTGTGCCTCCCACCAGCAGGAGGTCTGAATGGCACACTTCCATGGCCACCATAAGATTACAAAAAGTGTATTAGCTATAGCATGTCCTTTCTGAAACAAAACAGTAAGAACCTTTTTAAAGACGAAATTTAAAAAAATACTTAAGTACAGCTTAATCACTTGAGAGAGTTGTGTGAAAATGAAAATACAAGCAAAATAATAAAGAAAATTAGCAGAGCTAAGACAACTCTAAAATCTTGGATTAGCTCTGGTTCTTAGCTCGATTTCATGTGTGCTAAGAATGATACTGCTCTGCCAACCAAGAAAATAATTTGTTCCTGGGTGGGTTGTTTTGTATCTCTTACTCAGAAAGGAATTTTTGAAATCTAAGGATAATGTGCAACTGGGAAGCTATGAACTGTGGTTAATCAACTAATCCAGAATTTCTACAAGTAGTCTGGTGAAACAATCTGAGTGCTATGAATTCCATAAATTATTTTATTCCAAAAGATAAGTTTAAGTAAAAGTGACTGCATTTCAAACTATATTAGGAGAAAAGAAAAACGTTAGAGAAAGACTTTATTTCCCTAATAATACAGAATGAGTTGAGAGGGAATGGTAATACCTATAGAATTATGTATGGCTACAGGGAGACGCTAGAAGTTTTCCTCTTTGACCACGGTGCCCGGATTCAGTTCCTTGGCTTTATAAAGTTCTCCATCCATACCATCACAGAGTTTCTGCTATTATGACATACTTTTCCCCAGGCCAGTTCAATACCAATCAAGCTTGGTATGTGTTTGTGTTAGAATCCTTTAAGGTCTATGGTCCAGATATACCAGATGTCACTTTTCTCCTTATGGCCTATAAAATAGTCACAATTATCTTACAAGATTCCACACTCAAATTTCACAGAAACGGAGATAAGGATATTGCCTTAAAGTGCTTACATCTCCACTGATTTATACAGCCTGATTTAACCCTTGTTTATTTATAAATTAGTATTTTATTCTATTTTTTAAATGTCCAAGTCATTTAAAAATTACCTTGATAACTAACCCTCGATATTAAAAGAGAGAAGCCAGTGATCATACACATAAAATCTACACCATCTTTGAATTTAAGTACCTAATAATGAACTGTTTTTACTCACAACACTTCTGACACCAAATGTTTGGGTTTTTTTTTTTTTTTTTAAATCACACCAACCAATTCTCCAATTCTTCAGACACCAATTAGGTGTCTAACAATTCAATACAATTTTGATAGTAACTACCTGGAGTTAGCCCAGACCTCACAGACTAAGAGGTCAGTCCCATAAGACTGCCTGCCACAGCTGCTAGCCACAGATGACATGCCCAGGCTACTCCCATTTCTGCCTACAGACTACAAATTTGAGGGTTCCCATGACCCCGCCTCAGATTTAATAATTTGCTAGAATGACACAGAACTCAGTATAGCACTTTACTTACTATTACTGGTTTGTTTAAAAGGCTACTACAACTCAGGAAGGCAACAGCCAAATCGAAGAGAAACGTAAGACAGGGCAATGGGGCAGGGGTAGGGGGTGGGTGCACAGAGCTTCCATGCCACCTCCAAGCACGCCACCCTCCCAGTACCTCACTGTGTCCACCAACCCAGAAGCTCTCCAAACTGTCATTTATGGGGTTTTATAGAGGTTTCCTTATGTAAGCATGATTGATTAAATCATGGCCATTGGTAATCATCTAAATCTCCAGGCCCTCTCTCCCTGCTGGAAGTCAGAGGTGGGGTTGAAAGTTTCAATCCTTGGTCTTTCTGGCACCAGCCCCCATCCTAAAGCTATCTAGGGGACCCCAGTCAACAATCTTCTCATTAGAGTACAAAAGACACTCATTACTTTGGAGATTCAAAGGGCTTTAGGAACTGTGTGCCAGAACTGGAGGCAATGAACAAAATTTATTTTTTATTATACACATTGATATTACAGAATAAAGCAACAGTTACTCAGCTATTTTTCTATGGTAATCAGTAGCAGTCATAGATATGCTTTGATCAATTCTATATAAATTGATACATGTATCAAACAAAGCCCTGAAGCTTCAGGCCTAAGCCTCATGCATTTGCTTGTGGCCATTCTACCACATATGGTTAAGATTTTCCAATGACTGTATCAATGTTTCCTAACAAGTGGGTTGTTTCATAGTGAGGTCTAAAGATCTGGAATAAAAAAAAATCAAGAAAAGCTTCACAAACTGGCCAGTAAAATAATCAATGACCAATGGTCAAAATAATATACGACCAATTTCTAAAGGATTAGCTGTCTTTTCTAATACCACACTATTACATTTTATAATTCAGAGTAGAAGAGAGTTGTGAAAAAAAAGCATTCAACAGAACTTTTTAACATCATCTAGGATAACAGATGCTATTGAGACATAGTGTCACCGTTCTCTCCAGCTTTCTTTCTTTTTTTTTGAGACAGAGTCTTGCTCTGTCACCCAGGGTGGAGTGCAATGGTGTAATCTCGGCTCACTGCAATCTCTGCCTCCCAGGTTCCAGCGATTCTCCTGCCTCAGCCTCCTGAGTAGCTGGGACTACCAGCGTCGGCCACCATGCCCAGCTAATTTTTTTGTCTTTTTAGTAGAGACGGGGTTTTGCCATGTTGGCCAGGCTGGTCTCAAACTCCTGATCTCAGGTGATCTGACTGCCTCGGCCTCCCAAAGTGCTGGGATTACAGGCTTGAGCAACTGTGTCCAGCCCCTCTCCAGCTTTCTTTCCTTCTATTTGGAACTTCTTTTATTTACCTCCTCTTAAAACACGTTTTTTCTAGTTCTCTTTGTTCATAAGTAATCCAATATATATTATAGAATTTATCTCATGGATACATCTTAAATAATATAAAGATAACATTAACTTTGCTTTTTATTTTAATGGGTACTTGAATAATTAGATTCTCCCAAAATAAGTACCACATAAAAAATCACTAAAATGTATACTTATTTTCCAGTCATTTTACAATTTTACTGTTCTCCTTTCTGACTGTCTATATGAGGTTATCTTGAGAGAAAGTTCCACTTTGAAAATTTTACTAACAGAAACTTTCCTGAACTCCTTGCCTCAAGTGATCCTTCCACTTCAGCCTCCCAAAGCATTAGGATTATAGGCGTGAGCCACTGTGCCCAGCATAACAGTAACTTTCTCATATCCATCTTAAGTACTCTTTTTAAAATTAAAGATCCAAAACTGGTGGGTAGGGGACAACAAATGGAAGCTCCCAACAAAACCTAAAAAGAGAAAAACCCAACAGTAGAATTTTTTCATTGTCTTATCCACTCAACAAATATACAGTGAGCTCCTGTGAGACAGGCACTATGCTAGGTACAAGTCCCATGTTGTCTCAATAGCCTGCCATTACAATATGATCTTAAAATGCCAATGAGGTTAGCAGCATTCTGTATTTATTTATTTAAATTATACTTAAATATATAAAAATGTGTGTGTGGAGGGGGGCAGTTTTTGGGTTGTTCTGTGCCTTCTACCTTGTTCTAAAAACTCAAGACAATAGCAAGAATGGAATAAATTCTGAGAACTACACATGGAGGGTTAGGAGTAAGGTATCAGTGGATAAAACAGAAAGAAAACCAAGATGTTAAGAATATTTCAAAGATTTTAAAGCTCTAAAAGTAACACAAACATCTGGGTAGTGCTTTACAAATATTATCTTACTTGAGTCTAGCAGTGTTCCTGATGACAACAGCCGACAGAGACTGGTTATCAACTTACTTATTTGTCTTTGGCAAAAAATTTCAACTCCGTCTACTGAACGATTTTTCATATGAGAACGTCTTTAATTTTTATAGCTGAAGCCAACAGGAAAATAACATTCAATCATAAAAGTATAATTCAACTCAAACTAAATCTCATTAGGTACCATATTACAGGACACTAACACTTGAGACTTTAAAAATTAAATGTATGCTATTTTTAAGTTTCATACATAACCTTGGATCAAGTTATAATATCCTTTGATATATTTTGTAAAATACTTCTTATAATTAAGTTCCTTGAAATAAAGTTAAAATATATCTGATACTGAGCTGCAAACTACAACAACGTTTTAGCATAATTTACAACCAAAAATATAGGAAAGGCTCTCAATTCATTAATCATCCAGGAAATACAAATTAAAGCTACCATATATTACCACTGCACACTTACCACACTAAGTATAAGAAAACAGATGAAAAATACTGTGATGGTTAACTTTTGTGTCAACTTGACTGAGCTAAAGGATGCCCAGATAGCTGATAAAACATTGTTTCTGGGTGGTCTATGAGATGTTTCTGGAAGAGACTAGCATTTGAATCAGTAGAGTGAATAAAGAAAATCACCCTCTCCAATGGAGAGGGGCATCATCCAACCTGTTGAGGGCCCAAAGAGAACAAAAAGGCAACAGAAGGGAGAATCTGCTTCTGTTTGAGCTGGACATTCATCTTTTCCTGCCTGTGAAATTGGCACACTGGTTCTGAGGCCTCTGGCCTAGAATTGGGACTTGTACCATCAGCCCCTCTAGTTCTCAGCCCTTCAGACTTGAGCTGGGACTTGTGCCACTGGCTCCCGTGATTCTCAGCCTTCAGACTCAGACTGAATGACATCACCAGCTTTCCTGGTTCTCCAGGTTGCAGACAGCAGGTCACAGGATTTCTTGACCTACATAACTGTATGAGCCAATCCCTATAATCAATCAATTTCTCTCTCTCTCTCTCTACACACACACACACACACACACACACACACACACACACACACACACACACACACAGAGCTGATATTTGAATAACAGGTTCAAACTGTACAGGTACACTTATACACAGATTTTCTTCTGCCTCTGCCACCCGAGACGGCAAAATCCACCCCTCCTCTTCCTACTCCTTCTCAGCCTACTCTTCATTAACATGACAAGGATGAAGACCTTTATGACAAACCACTTACACTTAATGAATGGTACACATATTTTCTCTCCCTTAAGATCTTCTTAATAACATTTTCCTTTCTCTGGCTTACTTTATTGTAAGAATACAGTACACAATCTATAACATACAAAATATGGGTTACTTAACTGTTCATGTTATCGGTAAGGCTTTTGGCCAACAGTGAGCTATCAGTAGTTAAAATTATACACAGATTTTTGACTGCACAGGGAGGTCAGTGCCCCAACCACTGCGTTGTTCAAGGGTCAGCTGTATATATACACATATATATATATTATATAATATATATGTGTGTGTGTGTGTGTGTGTGTGTGTATATATATAGTCATAAAAAACCAATAGGAGAGACAGCGGTTCTGATTCTTTGGAGAACCCTGACTAATGCACATTAGGTATTGGCAAGGATGTGGAGCAACAGAAATCCTCATCTGTTGCCAGTGGGAGTGTGAACTGGTATAACCACTTTGAGAAAAATCATCTGGGAGTATCGACTAAAACTGAACCCCAACCAAACAGTTCCAATCCTAGGTGTATGCCCTGTAGAAATACGTACATGTGTTCACCAAAGGACATGGACTAAAATATTTATGACATAACTAATCATAATATTCCCAAACTTAAAATTACCTACCCAAATGCCCAATAACATTAAAGTGAATAATGGTTTATTCACACAATGGAGTATTACATAGCAATGAGAAAGGATGAACTATGATTACTAAGCTTGATCTCACAACATCTTCTTAAGCAAGAGAAGCCAGTCACAAAAGAATAAATACTGTATGATTACATTTATATAAAGTACAAAAACAGGAGAAAATAATCTGTGCTTTTAGAAGTCATGATAGCAGTTATCCTTGAAATAGAGCACAAGGCATGCTTCTAGGGTGCTGGTTATATTCTGCTTCTAGATATGAGTGCTGGCTTATAAAACGTCACTGAGCTGTACACTAATATATGTGTGTAAATAAAACTTGAAATAATATGTAAATATAAAACATGAATATTTTAATTATAAAAGTAATATCCAGTCATGGATATGTTACAAATACAGAAGAGAATATATAGTAACAGTCAATCATAATCTCACATTCTAAAGATACTTTGTAAAAAGTAATTTGTTATATTTCCTCATTTTTCTCTATAAATAAATCTCACATAGTTAAGAACCTAAAATACAATTTCACTTAAATCTGAGCTCTTAAATTTTATTAAAATATGCTTACATAAAATAATTCTTGTATATCAAGCATTTTTAACTTTAAAATGCTTCTCTTCATAAGCAAAACTTAATGGCTACAAAATTAGCTATCATATACATACATACACAGTTTATTTAGTAATTGCAAAACTACAGACTTCAGTGTAGGAGCTACTTTTCTGCTCTTTATAATAAACATCTATGATAAACATCTCTGTCTGTGTCTACATTAATCAATTGTTGAAAGTTATTTCCTTAGGATAGCTACCTAGAGGTGGAATTGCCAGAAATAATGTTTGCACATTAAAATTGGTAAAGGGTAAAATATTACCTAGCATAAAAACAGAGGGTTGAAAAAGCAACAAAATGAATAACTTTATTTCTTTCTTTACTAGTCTTTTATTTTAGACAGTGCTCCTTAGTTGGTGAAGCCTCTCAATAAAGCAAAAGATCCACTGTCGAAAAGTCTAAGACATGTAAAGCTTGATGACATCGTAGTATTAGACACATAGCAGGTACTTAAAAAAAAAAATTTCTGAATTGAATGAAAACCTTAGGCAGGAAAATCAGGCTGATCCTACTTGTTGCTCATTCTCCACTTTCATATACCCTACCATATACCAGTAGTTTTTTGGTTTTTAGTTTTTTTCTTGTTTTGAGACAGAGTCTTACTCTGTCGCCCAGGCTGGAGTGCAGTGGTGCAATCTTGGGTCACTGCAACCTTTGCCTCCTGGGTTCAAATGATTCTTGTGCCTCAGCTATCCAAGTAGCTGGGACTACAGGCCTGTGCCACCACATCCAGGTAATTTTTGTGTTTTTATAGACATGGGTTTTACCATGTTGGCCAGGCTGGTCTCGAACTCCTGGGCTCAAGCGATCTGTCCACCTCGGCCTCCCAAATGCTGAGATGACCGTGCCTGGCCAACAGTAGTGCTTAAAGTATGGTCCAGTGCTAGTAAACATCAGCTTCTCCTGAGAACTTGTTAGCGATACCAATTTTCAGGTCCCACCCCAGACCTACTGTATCAGAACTCTGGAGGTGATGCCTGGTAATCTTTATAACATGCCCTCTAGGTGACTCTCATGCTTGATAAAATTCGAGAACTACTGACTTAAAGTATTCCCAACCTCCAAGCATACTAAGAAAATATCACCTTTATTAATCAGGGAGTAGAAAAAAGATGAATCACTTTTTCAAATTATTACTCAAGTGCCTACTTTGTTCATTTGGGAGACTGAGGACCTTATTGATAAATAATGTTTTCATCTTCTCTAATTCCTTTAGATTTGCGATTTACATGTCTGCAGTGTCAGTCATGCTGCTTTTCATATGTAAATGGGTCCCAAATGGACTCACTAAAGGATGTAAAGAATACACAAGTGTCACTGGATGTTATCCAATGTAAAACAACGTCACTGAAAAAAGGGATAATAAGAGTTTCCAATACGCAATCAAAGAAACAGAGCAAAGTTGTATAATTCTACCTAATCACAACAATATATGTTGCAAAAGTAGTTAACAGGAAGATAAAAGATGTGGTAACCTTAGTCTCTTTAAAAACACTTTAATATTTTCCTTTATTTTTTGTTTTAAATCAGGAACTCCTCTGATTTTCATTTTTAAAAGGTAGTTCTTATTGAATTGTAGTATCTAATTATTTAATATGGTAACAAACCACTATTAATTTAAATAAAATGTATCTGAAGATAAACAGGAAAAATACAAACAAGAAAAAGGATCAGATGGTAAAGGTTTTTCAGGTAAAGCAACTCGCTGGGATGAACTGGTCAATAAATAAAATTATTTGCAGAATGGAATTCTGTTTTCAGATCATTAAGATTTTTTTTTTTTTGAGACAGGGTCTCACTCTTTCACCCAGGCTAGAGTGCAATGGTGTGATCTCAGCTCACTGCAACCTCTGCCTCCCAGGCTCAAGCAATCATCCCAGTTCAGCCACACAAGGAGCAAGGAGCTGGGACTGCACAGGCACAGGCCACCATGCCTGGTTAATTTTTGTACTTTTTGTAGAAATGGGGTTTTGTGTTGCCCAGGCTGGTCTCAAAGTCCTGAGCTCCAGTGATCTACCCTCCTCGGCCTCCCAAAGTGCTGGAATTACAGGCGTGTAATTTTAGTTATCCTAAACCAAAAAAAGAGGAAAGCTAGAACCATTCACTCTGTGTGTGTGTGTGTGTGGGTGTGTGTGTGTGTGTGTTTGAGACAGAGTCTCACGCTGTCGCCTAGGCTGGAGCAGGGTGGCGCAATCTCGGCTCACTGCAACCTCTGCCTCCCAGGTTCAAGTGATGCTCCCACCTCAGCCTCCTGAGTAGCTGGGACTATAGGTGCACACCCCCATACCTGGCTAATTTTTGTATTTTTTAGTAAAGAGGAGGTTTCGCCATGTTGGCCAGGCTGGTCTCAAACTCCTGACCTCAAGTGATCTGCCTGCCTCGGCCTCTCAAAGCGCTGGGATTTGGACACCTGCCAAAGAATTTTTATTGAAATAGCAACCAAATATTGCTTATACCTATTACTCAAAATAATACAAAATAAAACAGGCTTACTAGATATTTTGGGGCTTAAATTTGTGAAGTAAAATCCAAAAAAGTAATGCAGGTAAAAGTTAGCAGCTTAAGTAAACATGAAACTCTAAAACATATAAGCTACTGAATTTTTAAGATTTTAAACACTGAAGTAATTTCTAATACCAATTCTCTACTCTTTTCCCTTTCCAACTCCCTTTAAACTTTATCTTACTCTCATCAAGAAAAGCACAGTTCTCACATTTGCATCTCACCAGAAATGCATTATTATGGTCCCTACAGGGAGCCATTCCAGCAACTCTCTCAGTAGAACTCTGAATTCCTTTTGCTCCTAATGCTTTGCCCACAATATGCTTCTTTTATTCCTGTTTCCAGGCTGTGAAGATTTGTTCAAAAATGTTATAAAACCTGAAACAATTGGTGCCACTATAAATGTATGTATAGATGCTATGAAGGTAAGTATGATGCGGTTACATCCTGATAAACCCATTGTAAGATGAAAATATTGTAAGTTGGAAATTCATTTAATGCACCTAACCTATCAAACATTATAGGTTAGCTCAGCCTACCTTAAGGTGCTCAGAATACTTACATTAGCCTACAATTAGGCAAAGTCATCTACCACAAAGCCTATTTTATAATAAAGTGTTGAATAACTCATGTAATTTATTGAATACTGTACTGAAAGTGAAAAACAGAACAGTGGTATGGGTACTCGAAAGTATGGTTTCTACTGAATGTGTGTCACTTTCGCACCATCATAAAGTCAAAAATTTTTAAGTCAAACCATCGTTAAGTTGGGGATCATCTATCTTCTGGGGACTCTAACTTCAGCTGGTTCCTTGCTGTGACCCAGGGGACCCCAGACTCATCTCTAAGACTATAAAGGACTAAAAATAATACAAAACAGGATCTAATCACCAATACTCTCCAAATGGAGAATTTGTGTACTTCTCTCATAACTGAGGTTTATCCAGGAAATCCAAGGCTGATTTGACATATAAAAATCAATCAATGTAATAATATACCATATTAACAGTACTCCACCATGTAATCATTGCAACAGGGGCAGAAAAAACATTTAACAAAATCCAAAAACCATTCATGTATAAAATTCCCAGAAAACCAAGAACAGAAGGAAAACTTACTCAACCTGATAAAGGGCAGCTATAAAAAAAATCTACAGCTAAAATAATACCTAAAAATAAAAGACTTAACACTTTCCTCCTAATATGGGGAACAAGGCAAGGATTTCTGCTGCCACCATTTTTATCAAACCTTGTGCTGAAAGTCCTAACCAGTGAAATTAGAAAGCAATTATATATCTATATGTTAGCAAAGAAGAACTAGAAACTGAAAATTAAAATACCTCTTACAATCAAAAACTCTCCTGCAACTGATAAGCAATGACAGCAAGGTTACAGAATATGAAGTTTAACATACAATTAATTGCCTTCTTATATGCCAGCAATAAACAATTAATATTTGAAATTAAAAACACAAGACCATTTACATTAGCACCAAAAATGAAATACTTAGGTATAAATCCAATAAATATATATATATATATAAGATCTCTGGGGGAAAACCATAAAACTCTGATAAAAGAAATCAAAGAAGACCTAATTAATGTAGAGCTATTCCATGCTCATGAATAGGAAGAATCAATATTATTAAGATTTCAGTTATTCTCAACTTGATGTACAGATTCATTGCAATCTCAATAAAAATCCTGCAAGTTACTTTGTAGTTATCAAAAAACTGATTCTAAAATTTATATGACAAGGTAAAAGACTCAGAAGAGCCAACACAATAGTAAAGAAAAGCTGGAGGACTAACATTATCCAACTTTAAGACTGACTGTAGGTCGGGCATGGTAGCTCATGCCTGTAATCTCAGCACTGACTCAGACCAAGGCAGGAAGATAGCTTGAGCCTAGGAGTTCAAGACCAGCCTAGGCAACAAAGTGAGACCCTGTCTCTACAAACAAATTTAAAAATTAGCTGGCCATGGTGGCACGTGCCTATAGTTCCAGGTACTTGGGAAGCTGAGGTGAGGAGATTACCTGAGCCCAGGAGGTCAAGGCAGCAGCAAGCTGTAATTGTGCCACTGCACTCCATCTTGAGTGACAGAGTAAGACTCTAGCTTAAAAAAAAAAAAAAAAAAGACTGTAACTATAAAGCCACAATAATCAAGATAGTGTGGCACTGGCAAAAGAACGGCAAAATAGATCAACAAAACAGGACAGACAGCCCTGAAACAGAACAATAAAAATATGGTCAACTAATCTCTCACAAATGGGCAAAGGCAATTTAATGGAGAAAAGAGAGTCTTTTCAATAAATGAGGCCAAATGAACTGGATATCTACATGTAAAGAAATGAATCTAGACACAGATTCTTTATACCTGTCATAAAAATCCAAAATGGATTCTAGACTTAAAACATAAAATACAAAACTATAAAACTCCTAGAAGACAATAAAAAAGAAAATCTATGTGACCTTGGTTTTGGCAATTACATTTTAGATACAACAGCAAAAGCATGATCCATGAAAGAAAAATTCATGTTGAACTTCATTAAAATTAAAAATTTCTCCTCTGTGAAAGACACTGTTTTTCCACTACCAGATAACCAATGTCAACAGTTTCTGTGTATCCTTACAAGAAACATTATATGTTTTCAAGTTTGTATGTTGTGTCATTATTTCTCACTTTTTTTTTTTTTTAGAAAGGGTCTCACTCTGTCACCCTGGCTGGCTGGAGTGCAGTGGCACAATCTCAGCTCATTGCAACCCTTGCCTCCTGGGCTCAAGCAATCCTCCCACCTCAGCCTCCTGAGTAGCTGGGACTACAGGTACACACCACCACCCCCAGCTAATTTTTCGTAGAGACAGGGTTTCACCATGTTGCCCAGGCTGGTCTCAAATTCCTGGACTCAATGGATCTGCCCGCCTCAGCCTACAAAAGTGCTAGGATTATCAGTGTGAGCCACCACGCCAGGCCTGTTCCTCACTTCTTTAAACTAATAGTTATATACCCAGATCACTGTTTTGCACTTTTCTTTCCTTTTTCTTGTTTGAGACAGAGTCTTGCTCTGTCACCCAGGCTAAAGTGCAGTGGCGCAATGTCGGCTCAATGCAACCTCCGTCTCCTTGGTTCAACTGATTCTCCTGCCTCAGTCTCCTGAGTAGCTGGGATTACAGGCGCACACCACCATGCCTGGCTAATTTTTGTATTTTTAGTAGAGACGAGGTTTCATCATGTTGGCCAGGCTGGTCTCGAACTCCTGACCTCGTGATCCACCCGACTTGACCTCCGAAAGTGCTGGGATTACAGGAGTGAGACACCGCGCGCGGTTTCTTTTGTTAATTCAATGTGTCTTCTAGATCATTCTATATTTGTACATAGCCTTTCTCATTCCCAATTTTACATCTGCATAGCATTCCATTATATGTACTGAACACAATTTATTTAACTACATCCTAGTGATGGATTTACATTGTTTCCAATACTTTACTATTACATATTATACTGTAAAGATTAACTTTTATTTCCTAAATTTGTGAGCTTAGCAATAAAATAAATTCCTAGAATTGAGACTGCTAAGTCATAAGATATGTTAATGTTAAATTAATAAATATTGCAAATTCCCTCTCATAAAGGCTGTACTAATTTATGTTCCCACCAGTAGTATAGGAAAGCATGTTACCTTACACCCTTGACAAGAGTGTTTTTGTCAAACATTTTTCCTTTCCTTTTTTTTTTTTTGAGACGGAGTTTCGCTCTTGTTGCCCAGGCTGGAAGTGCAATGGTGCTATCTCAACTCACTGCAACCTCTGCCTCCCAGGTTCAAGTGATTCTCCTGCCTCAGCCTCCTGAGTAGCTGGGATTACAGGCATCCACCACCATGCCTGGCTAATTTTTTGTATTTTTAGTAGAGACGGGGTTTCACCATGTTGGCCAGGCTTGTCTTGAACTCCTTACCTCAGGTGATCCGCCCACCTCAGCCTCTCAAAGTTCTGGGATTACAGGCTTGAGCCACCACGCCTGGCCTTTTTTCTTTTTTTTGAGATGGAGTCTTGCTCTGTTGCCCAGGCTGCAGTGCAGTGGCGTGATCTCGGCTCACTGCAACCTCCGTTTCCCAAATTTAAGCTATTCTCCTGCCTCAGCCTCCTGAGTAGCTGGGACTACAGGCATGTGCCACCACGCCCAGCTAATTTTTTGTATTTTTAGTAGAGACAGGGTTTCGCCATGTTGGCCAGGCTGGTCTCAAACTCCTGGCCTCAAGTAATCTGCCCATCTCGGCCTCCCAAAGTGCTGGGATTATAGGCGTGAGCCACCGCACCTGGCCCAAACTTCTTTTTTTCAATCCTGCACAAACTTCTTAATACTCACCAATCTTATAGAGTGAAATACGATACATCAGTGTTTTTATTTTTTTGAGACAGGGTCACCCAGGCTGGAGTACAAGTACAATGGCACGAACACAGCTGGCTCACTGCAGCCTAAACCCCTGGGCTCAAGCAATCCTCCTGCCTCAGCCTCCCAAACAGCTGGGACTACAGATGCATGCCACCAAGCCTGGCTAATTTTATTTTTATCTTTTGTAGAGGCAATGCCTCCCTGTGCTGCCCAAGCTGGTCTTGAACTTTGGGCTCAAACAGTTCTCCAGCCTTGGCTTCATTAAGTGCTGGGACTACAGGCATGAGCCACTATGCCCAGCCCTCAGTGTAATTTTAAAGTACATATGCCTTATGAATGAGGTTGAGTACCGTTACATATGTGTAAGAACTGTTAATATTTCCATTTCTGTGAACTTTCTTTTCATAAGTTTTGTCCATTTTTTGAAAATTGGACTGTTGTTTTGATTATTTATCATTATATAATATTCCTCTTTGTCCCTTTAATGCCTTGAGGTTTGAAGTATGTTTTATTTTATTTAGTATCAATATTATATTCTTGCTCCTGGTACATCATTGGCCATTTCCATTATTTTTAATCTTCTTTCCATTTAGGAGTTTTAAATATTTTTATTTGAGAGGCTTACAGGCCAGTGGAAATAAGACCTAAGCTTAGATGCAAGGGATGAACAGGAATTAGCTAGGTGATATGTATAAATATAGCAGGAGTGGCATGAAAGATGGTGTCAAGGAAGCATAAAATTCCAGACCCAGAGAGGAGCATATAGAAAGGCTAAATAAGACAGAGAAAAGAGAACAGGGAACTAAAAGCAGTTCAGTGTGGCAGAAGGATAGGTGTCTGGGATAAGAGTACAGATGAAAACAAGAACCATTATCTTAAAGGAGTTTTTTTTTTTTTGAGATGGAGTCTTGCTCTGTCACCCAGGCTGAAGTGCAGTGGCTGAATCTTGGCTTACTGCAAGCTCTGCCTCCTGGGTTCAAGCGATTCTCCTGCCTCAGCCCCCCTAGTAGCTGGGATTACAGGCGCACACCACCGCACCGGGCTGATTATTTATATTTTTAGTAGAGATGGGGTTTCACCATGTTGGCCAGGCTGGTCTCGAACTCCTGACCTCAACTGATCCAACTGCATTGGTCTCTCAAAGTGCAAGGAATACACGCGTGAGCCACCGCACCCGGCCATAAAGGATCATTTAAATTGTAGTTTGGACTTTATCTTGAGGGCAATAAGGAACTATTAAAATGTTTTACAACATGAAAAGATTTGTGCAGATCTGTGTTTGAGAAAAAGTATGCAGCTACAGTACAGAGAATGAAACAGAAAATCAGCTGCAGTAATCCAGGAAATGGTTTATAGTAGTCTGACCTATTACAGCAGCAGTGAAGGCAGAGAAAATGGGTGAGGAAGGCTCAGAGAGTTAGGTGGAATCAAAAAGCCTTGTAAGTGATTTGACTGGGAGTAGACAGAAAGAGAAAGGAATTAAAGATGACACCTCTGTTTCTGGCTGGGATAAAGGGCAGGTGAAGGGGGACAGCAGATTTTGGGAGGGTAAAATAATTACTTTAATTCTGGACAGACTGAGTCTGAGGTGCATTAAAGTTATTCAAATGAAGGTACCCAATAGGCTGTCGGATATACAAAATCTTAAGACAAGTATTTGGGCCACAGGTATAGATTTCGGAATCATACATATACATAACAGATGACAACTAAAGCTATAAGAATAGGTGAAATCACCTGGGGAGAATACACAAGGTGAGAAGAAAACCTAAGACCATGGAACACTATAGCATTTAGAAGACAAAGGAAATCTAATAGAGTAGACTGTCAGGGAACAGCCAAAAAGGAAGGTGAAAATATTATAAACAAGAGAAAAAAGCAAGCACAGAATGAATGCTTACTATGTGCTACGCATAACTTACTATGTGCAGTTGCTCATTTAATCTTTACACATTCTATGAGCAACCTACTATTATAATATGTATCATTACAGATGTGGACACTGTAGTTTAGAAAGATCAACTTGCTCAAGATCACACATTTGGCTGGGTGTAAGAAATGGAACCAAGATTACATTTTAGTCCTCCAGAGCTCTTGTTCTTAACTACTACACTATACTACCTTCTATGAAAGACTAAGAAAATGTAGTATCACAGACACAAAGGATAAAACAGTGATTCAAAAAGAAAGGCACCACTCCAGTAGCAATGAGCTCATTTAGCACTGAGATACTGGTTTCTAATAACATTCTCCAAGACAAGGAATCCATACTCTGGAAAAATGACTGATCTGAGGACCGGGCAGGAAATACACAAGATGAGTCTGGGGGATCTTGCAGTGCCAACAAGTAAGGAAGTATCAAAAACAAACACAATGACTAGGATGTGTCCAAGGGACACGGAAACCAACTGAAAGAGCTTCCAATGGCCATATCTGGAAATGTGAGCAAGAAAATAAAAGTAGTATTGGATTATAACCCAGAGTATAAACTAAATATCCATGAGTCCATACTAATCTAAATAAATGATTGAATCAATAGAGGAGAAGGGACAAATCTAGAGCACCAAAGAGTTCTAATTGGTGTAAATGTTAATTTAACTTATGTAGAAACTCCCCTCAAGGAGGGAGAGCATAACTCCCTGCTCCTCAAGTGTGCAATCCACACAATGACTTCCTTCCAAAGCCTATGATGCAGAAAAGGAGAGGGGTAAAGACTAACTTTACTGTGGAGAAACCTGACAAAAGCGACATCGGCCAGCTGATCAAGGTTCACATCAACAGTGATAAGTCATGTTGATAGTATGTGCCTTAATATGCTGTGATGAAAATGTCACCCAGGCTGGAGTGCAGTGGCAAAATCACAGCTCCTGTGGCCTCAAACTCCTGGGCTCAAGTGATCCTCCCGCCTCAGCCTCCTGAGTAGCTAGGAGTACAGGTATGTGCCACCATGCCCAGTTAATTTTTAAAAATGTTTTTGTAGAGGCAGGGTCTCACCATATTGCCCAATCTGAGTTTTGTACGCTACTGATAGTAGGAGAAACTGAGTGAAGGGTATAAAGTAACTCTGTACTATCTTCAAAATTTTTCTGTAAGCCTAAAGCTGTTCTAAAATGAAAAGGTTATTAAGAAAAACAAAAGAAAGATATCAACTGTGTTAAATGCTTAAAAACAAACAAACAACCCCCCCCCCCCCGCAAAAAAAAAAAATAAAAAAGACAAAGACTAAGGGCAGTTTCATATAATTAATGGAAACAAAAGCCAGATTATATTGGACAGAGGAGTGAATGAGAGGTGACAATGGCACTGAAAGCGTATGCCCTCTTCCAAAAAGTCTGATTATAAGAGGAAGAACAAATCACAGCTGGAAGTAGACGTCAAGTTGAAGAAAGTGTTTTTGCTTTTGTCTTGTTAAATCAAGGTATAATTCACTTGCAAACAATTCACTTTTGAAAGTAGGTTTTAGTATATTTACAAAATCATAAAACCATCACCTCTATTTAATTCCAGAACATTATCATCACTGCAAATGAAATGGTGAATTAAAGACTAGATAAATGTTCCATTTGAATGGAGCATTAAGATCAATAAAACCAAAGCAATCTAGAGATTCAATGCAATCTCCATCAAAATGTTAAGTGTCTTTTTTCAGAGAAATAGAAAAGCTGATCCCCAAACTCACATGGAATTCCAAGAGCCCTAAATAGCAAAACAATCATGACGAAGAATAAAGTTGGAAAACTCACACTTCCCAATTTTGAAACTTACCAAAACTACAGTAATAAAAACATTATGATACAGACATATGGACAGACACAGGCTGATGGAATAAAATCAAGAAATCAGAAATAGGCCAGGTGCAGTGGCTCACGCCTGTAATCCCAGCACTTTGGGAGGCCGAGGGCGGGTGGATCACCTGAGGTCAGGAGTTCGAGACCAGACTGGCCAACATGGTAAAACCCTGTCTCTACTGAAAATACAAAAACTAGCCAGGCATGGTGGCACACACCTGTAAACCCATCTACTCAGGAGGCTGAGGCAGGAGAATCACTTGAACCCAGGAAGTGGAGGTTGAAGTGAGTTGAGATTATACCACTGCACTCCAGCCTGGGCAACAGAGTGAGATTCTATCTCAAAAAAAAAGAACTCAGAAATATGCTGGGTGCAGTGGCTCACACCTGCAATCCCAACACTTTGGGAGACCAAGGCGGGAGAATTGCTTGAGGCTGGAAGTGCGAGACCAACCTGGGCAATAGAGCAAGACCCCATCTCTAAATATATAAATTAAAAAAACAGGCCAGGTATGGTGGCTCACACCTGTAATCCCAGCACCTTGGGAGGCCGAGGCAGGTGGATCACCTGAGGCCAGGAGATTGAGACCAGCCTGAACAACATGGTGAAACCTGGACTCTACTAAAAATACAAAAATTAGCCAGGCATGGTGGCGGGTGCCTGCAATCCCGGCTACTCGGGAGGCTGAGGCATGAGAATCACTTGAACCCGGGAGGCAGAGGTTGCAGTGAGCCGAGATTGTGCTACTGCATTCCAGCGTGGGCGACAGAGTGAGACTTTGTCTCAAAAAAATAAAATAAAATAACAATTAATGAATGAATGAATTTAAAAAGTCAAAAATAAAGTATCACAAATACAATCCACTGATTTTCGACAAGGGTGCCAAGACCATTTAATGAGGAAAGGACAGTCTTTTCAACTAATGCTACTAGAAAAACTAGATATCCACATGCAAAATAATGTTGGATTCTCACGTTACACCATTAAAAAAATCAACTCATAATGGACCAAAGGCCTAAACTTAAGAGCTAAAACTATAAAACTCTTAGAAGGATCTTCATGACATCAGATTTGGCAATGATTTCATGAATATGACAGATACGAAAAGCACAGGCAACAAAAGAGAAAATGAATTAACTGTAATCCATCAAAATTAAGGACTTCTGTGTATCAAAGTATACTATAAAGAAGTGATAACACAACCTATTGAATGGAAGAAAATATCTGCAAATGATATATCTGAAAAGAGGTTAATATCCAGAATATATAAAGAACTCCTCAAACTCAACAACAAAAAAACAAAACAACCTAATTTCTCCCCTTTTGAGCCATCATGTTTGCCTCAATCTCTGCCATCAAATTCTTCCAGCCAATAAGATTTTGTTTTTTCTGCGAAAGTTTAGTATCCTGCGTAGAGCACACTAGTGCCTGTCCTCTGACTGAAACTAAAAACTAAAAAATGGTAAACTCACCTGGCTAAACAAGTACAACTCTGTTAGTCCCTCTCTACTGCTTTGAGATACTTTTAAAAAAATATATTGTATCCAGGCCACACATGGTGTCTCATGACTGTAATCCCAATACTTTGGGAGGCCAAGGCAGGAGGATCTCTTGAGACCAGGAGTTCAAGACAAGCCTGGGCAATGTGGCAAAGCCCTGTCTCTACAGAAAAAAAAAAAAAAAAAAAAAAAAATAGCCAGTGTGGTGGTGCATATCTGTAGTCCCAGCTAGTCAGGAGGCTGAAATGAAAGGATTGCTTGAGCCCAGGAGGTCAAGGTTGCAATGAGATGTGATCATGTCACTGCACTCCAGCCTGGGCAACAGAGCCAGAACCTGCCTCAAAAAAAAAAAAAAAAAAGGCTTTCCCGGCATGGTGGCTCACGCCTGTAGTCCCAGCACTTCAGGAGGCTGAGGCGGGCGGATCACCTGAGGTCAGGAGTTTGAGACCAGCCTGGCCAACATGGTGAAACCCTGTCTTTACTAAAATACCAAAAATTAGCTGGGCATGGTGGTGCATACCTGTAATCCCAGCTACTTGGGAGGCTGAGGCAAGAGAATCACTTGAACCCAGGAGGCAGAGGTTGCAGTGAGCTGAGATCACACCACTGCACTCCATCCTGGGCAACAGAGTGAGACTCCGTCTCAAAAAAAAAAAAAAAAGAAAAAAGAAAAAAGTTTTATCCAGAATTTCTAGTTGTTATTTGCAATAGGTTTGGTCCAATAGAAGCTAAATACCCATACCAGAAGCAGAACCAGAAAGTAATTCAGAAAGATATTTGCTGTGGTACCATTTATCAGAAATAAGATAGAGACAATCTAAGTGTTGGACAATGGGGGAATGGATAGGTAAATTGTAATATATCCACTTAATGGAACAGCATATGACTATTAAAATATTTTGATGCAGCTATAAATAAAATGGAAGAAATGTTTCAAGTTTAAGGCAAGATGAAAAAAAATGAAACATAGAAATAATGTGATAGTGGTTTCAATCTTTAATCTTAGATTTATTGCAAACGATCTTCCCTATATATATAGATGAGGTTGTGACTAGTAAAACACAAATTAATTTTTAAGTGTTAATGAAGTAATATTAGCTTAACAATATGTTCCTCAATCAACATTCTAAGATTATGACTTAACATGTAGTTCTGTGTGCAGTTTCTTCAGTTGTCACAAAATGTTTCTCAAACTTGAAAATATTAGCTGGGGAATGAAGCAAGATGGCCAAATAGAAGCCTCTACCCATGGTCCCTCCATTTACAGGAACACCAAATTTAACAACTATCTACACAAAAAAGTACGTTCATAAGAACCAAACATCAGGAGCGATCATAATACCTGGTTTTAACTTCATATTGCTGAAAGAGGCACCAAAGAGGGTAGGAAAGAGAGTCTTGAACTACCAACTCCACCCCTTCCCTATCCCCTGGCAGCAGCCATGTGGCAGAAAGAGAGAATCTATGCACCTGGGGGAGGGAGAGCTCAGTGACTGTGGGACTCTGTATTGGAACTCAGTGCTGTCAACACTGGGCAGAACTCAGCTGATACCCACAGAGGGAACATATAGAACAGCTCTAGACAGAAGGAATCGTCCATCCCAGTGGTCAGAACTTGAGTTCTGGCAATCTCTGCCACCACAGGCAGAGCTCTGGGGTCCTAAACAAACTTAAAAGGCAGTCTAGGCCAAAAAGACTACAACTCTTCAGCAAGTCCTAGTGCTGTGCTGGGCTCAGAGCCAGTGGACATCGGGGGCACACAACCTAGTGAGACATCAACAGGGGTGGCTAAGGGAGTGCTTGCGCCACCCCATCCCAACATCAGGCTGCACAGCTCCAACCTGAAAAAGACACTCCTTCTTTCTGCTTGAGGAGTGGAGAAGGAAGTTAAGAGGACTTTGTATTGCAATTAGGATACCAGCTCAGCCACAGTAGAATAGGGCACCTGGCAGAATCATGAGCCCATTCTAAGCCCTAGCTCCCAGAAGACACTTCTAGACACACCATGGTCCAGAAGGGAACCTACTGCCTTGAAGGGAAGGACCCAGTCCTGGCAGGATTCCTCACCTGCTGACTAAAGAGCTCTTGGGCCCTGAATAATCAGTAGCAGTAGACAGGCAATACACTTCATGGGCCTTGGGTGAGACTCTGAGACATGCTGGCTTCACGTATGACCCAGAACATTCCAAGCTGGGTCATATGAGAAACTCCTTCTGTTTGAGAAAAGCAGAGGGAGAAATAAAGGAGACTTTGTCTCACAGTTTAGGTACCAGCTGAGCCACCAGCTGAGGTAGAGCACCAAGTGGGCTCTTGGGGTCCCTGATTCCAAGCCTGGGCTCTTCAACAGCATTTCTGGACCTACTCTGGATGAGAGAGGAGCCCATCAACCTTAAGGGTGAGTCCCAGGCCTGGCAGCATTCACCACAAGCTGACTGAAGAGCCCTTGAGCCTTAAGTAAACCCTGGAAGTGGCCTCTCAGTACTCTCTATGGACCTGTGGTGGTGGCTGGGGGAAAGACTCCTCTGCCTGTGGAAAGGGGAGAGAAGAGTGAGAAGGACTTTGTCTTGTGGTCTGGGTGCCAGCTCAACCATAGCAGAATACAGACCCAGGTAGATTTCTAAGGTTTCCGACTCTAGGCCCTGCCTCCCAGATGGCGTCTCTCAACCCGCATGGGGCCCAGGAGAACTCGCTGCCCTGAAGGGAAGAACACAAACCCAGCTGGCTTCATCACCTGCTGATTGTAAAGCCCCAGGGCCTTGAGCAAGACCCAGTATTGTGCTGGCTTCAGGTCTGAACCAGTGCAGTCCCAGTGGTGGTGGCCACAGGGATACTTATGTAACCCCTCCCCTATCTCCAGGCAGCTCAGCACAGACAGAGACACTCTGTTTGGGAAAAAGAAAGGAAAGATAATCAGAGTTTCTGCCTGGTAAACCAGAAAACTCTCCCAGTTCTTATCCAAGACTACCAAGGTGGCACCTCTACAAGTCTGCAAGAACCACAGCATTACTGGGTTTAAGGTACCCCCTAATGCAGATACAGCTGCCATGACTAAAAACTTGAATCACAACACCCAAGTCCCTTAGAATACCTAGAAAGCCTTCCCAAGAAGCACAGGTACAAACAAGCCCAGACACCAAAGACTACAATAAATATATAACTCGTCAATGTTCAGACATCGATGAACATCCACAAGCACCAAGACCATCCAGGAAAACAATACCTCAACAAATGAACTAAGTAAGACACCAGTAACCAATCCCAGAGGAAAAGAGGTATGTGACCTTTCAGACAGAGAATTCAAAATTGCTGTTTTGAAGTAACTCAAAGAAATTCAAGATAACACGGAGAAGGAATTCAGAATTCTATCAGATAAATTTAACAGAAAGATTGAAATAACTAAAAAGGATCAAACAGAAATTCTAGAGTTGAAAAATGCAACTGACACGATGAAAAATGTATGAGTCTTCTAACGGCAGAATTGATCAAGCAGAAGAAAGAATCAGTGAGCTTGAAGACAGGCTATTTGAAAATACACAGTCCCAGCCTGGCCAACCTGGTGAAGCCCCATCTCTACTAAAAATACAAAAATTAGCTGGGTGTGCTGGCGGGCACCTGTAATCCCAGCTACTCAGAAGGCTGAGGCAGTAGAATGGCTTGAACCCGGGAGGCAGAGGTTTCAGTGAGCTGAGATTGCGCCATTGCACTCCAGCCTAGGTGACAGGGCGAGACTCCATCTCAAAAACAAAAAACAAAAAACACACAATCAGAGGAGACAAAAGAAAAAAGAATAAAAAAGAATGAAGCACACCTACAAGATCTAGAAAATAGCCTCCAAAAAAGCAAATCTAAAAGTTGTTGGCCTTAATAACTTAAGGTGGAGGCAGAGAAACACATAAGGTAAAAAGTTTATTCAAAGAGATAATACCAGCAAAATTCCCAAACCTAGAGAGAGATATCAACATTCAAGTACAAGAAGTTTATAGAACACCAAGCTGACTTAACCCAAAGACTACCTCAAGGGATTTAATAATCAAACTCCTGAAGGTCAAAGATAAAGAAAGAATCCAAAAAGCCCCAAGAGAAAAGAAACAAATAACATGCAATGAAGCTCCAAAGCACCCGGCAGCAGACTTTTCAGTGGAAACTTTACAGTCCAGGAAGAGAGTGGCGTGACATATTTAAAGTGCTGAAGGAAAAAACCTTTTGCCCCAGAATAGTATATCCAGCAAAAATATCCTTCAAACATGAAGGAGAAATAAAGACTTTCCCAGACAACAAAAGCAAAGAGATTTCATCAACACCAGACCTGTTCTACAAGAAATTCTAAAGAAATTCCTTCAATCTAAAAGAAAAGGATGTTAATGAGCAATAAGAAATCATCTGAAGGTACAAAACTCACTTATTTTTAATTTTTTTGACATGGAGTCTTGCTCTGTCACCCAGGCTGGAGTGCAGTGGCACGATCTCGGCTCACTGCAACCTCCGCCTCCCAGGTTCAAGTGATTCTCATGCCTCAACCTCCCAAGTAGCTGGGATTACAGATGCACGCTACCATGCCTGGCTAATTCTTGTATTTTTAGTAGAGATGGGGTTTTTGCCATGTTGGCCAGGCTGGTCGCGAACTCTTGAACTCAAGTGATCTGCCCGCCTCAGCCTCCCAAAGTGCTGGGATCACAGGAATGAGCCACCACATCCAGCCAGTTATCATCTGTTTAAAAAATAATGGGTTATATTATTTGCAAGCCTCATAGTAACCTCAAATCAAACAACATACAATGGATACTCAAAAAATAAAAAGCAAGAAATTAAATCATACCACCAGAGAAAAATCACCTTAACTAAAAGGAACGCAGGAAGGAAGGGAAGAAGGAATGAAGAGAACATCACAAAACAACCAGAATACAATAAAATGGCGGGAGTAAGTCCGACTTATCAACAATAACATCGAATGAAAACGGACTCAACTCTCCAATCAAAAGACATAGAGTGGCTGAATGGATAAAAAACAAGATCCAATGACTTGTTGCCCACAAGAAACATACTTCACCAATAAAGACACATGCAGATATATGAAGAGATGCAAAAAGATATTCCATGACAATGGAAACCAAAAAAGAGCAGATGTAGCTATACTTGTATCAGATAAAACAGACTTCAAGACAAAACTATAAAGAGACAAAGAAGGTCATTACATAAAGGGGTCAATTCAGCAAGAGGATATAACAATTGTAAATATATATGTACCCAACACTGGAGCACACAGATATATAAAGCAAATATTACTGCTAAACAGACAGATAAACCCCCAATACAATAATAGCTGGAGACTTCAATATCCCACTTTGAGCAATGAACAGATCTTCCAAACAGAAAATCCACAAGGAAACACTAGACTTAATTTTCGCTATAGACCAATTGGACCTAATAAGATATTTACAAAACATTTCATCCAATGGCTGCACAATACACATTCTTTTCTTCAGCACATGGATCATTCTCAAGAGCAGACCAAATGTTAGGTAACAAAACAGTCTTAAAACATTCAAAAAATTGAAATATTATGAAGCATCTTCTCTGACCACAATGGAATAAAACTAGACATCAATAACAAGAGGAATTCTAGAAACTGTACAAAGATATGGAAACTGAACAATATGCTACCAGTTGACCAGAGGGTCAAAAAAGAAATTAGAAAGAAATTTAAAATGTACTTGAAACAAATGATAAAAGAAACACAACACACCAAAACCTATGGGATATAGTGAAAGAAGCACTAAGAGGGAAGTTGATGGTATAAGTGCTTATACATCAAAAAAGTGAAAAAACTTCAAATAGATAACCTAATGATGCATCTTAAAGAGCTAGAAAAGCAAGAGCAAACCAAACCTAAAATTTGTAGAAGAAAAGAAAGAATAAGGATCAGAGCAGAAATAAAACAAATTGAAACACAGGAAACAATGCAAAAGATCAATGAAACAAAAAGTTGGTTTTCTGAAAAGATAATATTGACAAACCTTTAGTCAGACTAAGAAAAAAAGAGAGAAGACCCAAATAAATAAAATCAGAGACAAAAAAGGAGACATTAAAATTGATACCACGGAAATTCATTAGTGGCTACTAGGAGCAACATGGCTACTATATGCCAATAAATTGGAAAACCTAGAAGAAATGGATAAATTCCCAGACACATACAACCTACCAACACTGAACCATAAAGTAATCCAAAACCTGAACAGACCAATAACAAGTAACAAGATTGAAGCAGTAATAAAAAGGCTTTCAGTAAAGAAAAGCCCAGCACCTGACAACTTCACTGCTAAATCTTACCAAATATTTAAAGAAGAACTGATATCCATCTTACTCAAACTATTCCAAAAAGTACAGCAGGGGTCCCAAACCCCTGGGCCACAGACTGGTACTGGTCCGTGGCCTGTTAGAAACCAGGATGCACTGCAGGAGGTGAGTGGCGGGCGAGTGAAAGCAGCTTCATCTGTATTTACAGATGCTCCCCACTGCTTGCATTACCACCTGACCTCCACCTCTGTCAGATTAGCCACGACATTAGAGTCTCACAGGAGTGCAAACCCTGTTGTGAACTGTGCATGTGAGGGATCTAAGTTGTGTGCTCCTTGTGAGAATCTCATGCCTGATGATGATCTGTCACTGACTCCCGTCACCCCAAGATGGGACCACCTAGTTGCAGGAAAACAAGCTCAGGGCTCCCACTGATTCTACATTATGGTGAGTTGTATAATTACTTCATTATATATCACAATGTAATAATATTAGAAATAAGGTGCACAACAAATGTAATACACTTGAATCATTCTGTAAACCATACCACCCCTCACCCCAGTCCATGGAAAAATTGTATTCCACAAAACCAATCCCTGGGGCCAAAAAGGTTGGGGACCATTGAAATGGAGGAGAGATGAATACTTCCAAATTCATTCTACAAGGCTTGTATCACCCAGATGCCAAAACCAGACAAAGAAACATCAAAAAAAGAAAACTACAGGCAAATATCCCTGATGTACACTGATGCAAAAACCCTCAACAAAATACTACTAAACCGTATTCAACAACACATTAAAAAGATCATTGATCATGACCAAGTGGGATGTATCCCAGAGATGCAAAATGGCTCAATGAATGCAAGTCAATCAATGTAATATATCATTTCAATGAAATGAAAGACAAAAACAATATAATCATTTCAACTGATGCTGAAAAAGCATTTGATAAAATTCAACATCGCTTCATGATACAATCCCTAAAAAACTGGGTACAGAAGGAACGTACCTCAACATAATAAAAGGCATACATGACAGACCCACAGCTAGTAAAATACAGGATAGGAAAAAGTGAAAGCCTTTCCTATAAGATCTGGAACACAACAAGGAAGCCTACTTTCAACACTGTTATTCAGTATAGTACTGGAAGTCCTAGCTACAACATTCAGACAAGAGATAAAAATAAAGGGCCATTCAAATTAGAAAGGAAGAAGTCAAATTATCCCTGTTTGCAGATAATATATTACATTTTGAAAAATCTAGATTCCACAAAAAAACTATTAGAATTGCTAAGCAAATTCAGTAAAGTTGCAGGACACAAATCAACATACAAAAATCAGTAGCTTTCTAATGGCAACAGTGAACAATCTGAAAAAGTAATTAAAAGTAATCCCATTTATAGTAGATACAAATGAAATTAAATACCTAGGAATTAGTCAAAGAAATGAAAGATCCCTACAATAAAAACTATAAAATACTGATGAAAGAAATTAAAGAGGACACAAAAAATGGAAAGGTATTCCATATTCATAGACTAGAAGAATCAGTATTGTTAAAATGTCCACAGTACCCAAGGCAATCTTTAGATTCAATGCAATCCTATCAAAATACCAATGACATTCTTCACAGAAATAGAAAAAACAATCCTAAAATTTATATAGAGCCACAATAGACCCAGAATAGCCAAAGCTATCCTGAGCAAAAAGAACAAAACTGAAGGAATCACATTACCTGACTTCAAATTACACTACAGAGCTATAGTAAACAAAATGGCATGATACTGGCAAAAAAACAGACACATAGACCAATGGAACAGAATAGAGAACCCAGAAATAAATCCATACACCTAGAGTGAACTCATTTTCCACAAAGGTGCCAACAACATACACTGGAGAACAGACAGTTTCTTCAATAAACAGTGCTGGGAAAACTGGATATCCGTATGCAAAAGAATGAAACTAGACCCCTATCTCTCACCATATACAAAAATCAAATCAAAGTGGACTAAAGATTTAAATCTAAGACCTCAATCTATGAAACTACTACAAGAAAACCTTGGGGAAAATCTCCAGGACATTGGTCTGGGCAAGAATTTCTTGAGCAGGACCCCACAAGCACAGGCAACCAAAGCAAAAATGGACAAATGCGAACATACCAAGTAAAACGTTCCTGCATAGCAAAGGAAACAATCAACAAAGTGAGAGACAACCCACAGAATGGGAGAAAACATCCGCAAACTACCCACCTGACAAGAGTTTTATAACCAGAATATAAAAGAGCTAACAATTCAATTAAAAAATGGGCAAAAGATCTGAATAGACATTTCTCAAAATAAGACATATAAATGGCAAACAGGTATATAAAAAGTGCTCAAAATCACTGATTATCAGAGAAATGCAAATTAAAACTACAATGAGATATCATCTCACCCCAGCTAAAATGGCTTTTAACCAAGAGACAGGGAATAACAAATGTTGGTGAGGATGTGGAGAGAAGGGAACCCTTGTACGCTGTTGGCAGGAATATAAGTTAGTACACTATGGAGAACAGTTTGGGAGCTCCTCAAAAAACTAAAAATTGAGCTACCACATGATCCAGCAATCCCACTACTAGGTATACACCCAAAAGAAAGGAAATCAGTATATTGAAGAGACATCTGTATTTCCATGTTTGTTGCAGCACTATTCACAATAGCCAAGATTTAGAAGCAATCTAAGTGTCCATCAACATACAAATGGATAAAGAAAATGTGGTACATGTACACAGTGGAGTACTATTCGGCCATTAAAAAAAATGAGATCCTGTCATTCACAATATGGAAGGAACCAGAGGTCATTATGTTAAGTGAAATAAGCAAGGCATGGAAAGATAAACTTCACATGTTCTTACTTATTTGTGGGTGCTAAAAACTAAAACAATTGAACACGTGGAGACAGAAAATAAACTATGGTTATCAGAGGCTGGGAAACATAGTGGCGTGGCAGGGATGGCAGGGGGAGTGAGGGTGATTAACGAGTACAAAAAAAAACAGAAAGAATAAATAATATTTGATATTAGATTTTTTTATTTTTATTTTTTTTGAGACAGAGACTCGCTCTGTCGCCCAGGCCGGAGTGCAGTGGTGTGATCTCAGCTCAATGCAACCTCTACCTCTCAGATTCAAGCAAGTCTCCCACCTCAGCCTCCCAAGTAGCTGGGATTACAAGCGAGTGCCACCACACTCGGCTAATTTTTATATTTTTAGTAGAGACAGGGTTTCACCATGTTGGCCAGGCTGGTCTCAGACTCCTGACCTCAAGTGATCCGCCTGCCTCCCAAAGTGCTGGGGTTACAGGCATGTGCCATTGCACCCAGCCGGTCAATAATTATACATTTATAAATAACTAAAACAGTGTAACTGGATTGTTTGTAACCACAAAGGACAAATGCTTGAGGGGATGGATACTCCATTTACCATGATGTGATTATTACACATTTGATAAAGTATGACTATATCAAAGTAACTCAAGTACTCCATAAATATATATGTATACACATCTATTATGTACCCACAAAAAATTTTAAAAATTTTTAATCAAAACTTCAAAATATTAGAAATAAATATGATTATAACCTTATTTTTAAGCTGCACATAAAAAATAATAAAAGAAAATACATTGTTTTAATCTTGTGTATTTGAACTAGATTTTGTATTTTTCTCATTTTTCTTTGTATTTTTTAATGAGCATTTATTACTCTTTTATTAAGGGGGAAAAGTAACAAAAATTTCCCCTGCCAACTGTACATCTGAGCGCAAGGACAAGGGAAGCTGGAAACAGTTAAATCTTAAAAAAAGAGCTCTTCAGGGTATGTGCATATAACGCCTCTTGTCCTACTTCCCATTAGAAGTATTGCTAATAACCTCAGGAAGCTCCACCCACATTAGCCTCATTTTGTCTAACTGATATATTGGATTCCATGTAAGATTTTACTTGGGAAAAGGGTTCTGCTGGTAAAACAGAGAATGGATGGGAAATCTCTACCCATTATCTACTCAATCAATCAAACTGTGATCCCAGCAATCTACCTTGATTAGTACCTTGCCTCTGACTGAGGTGACCAAACCTCAGTCACCAAATCTACTTTTAAAATATTATTCATGCTTATCATTTCTTTCCCTTCCCTTCTGCCACTATCTTCCGCCCTTGTTCTTTTTCACCTGGATTTGGTGGTAACTTCTGAGAACTTACTGCCTCTCTCTCTTCAGGATCACCTCCACTTCTAGTTTTGTCTACATTCTGCTTCTAGGGTTCTCTTTCTGATGGTATCACTTTATTAAGAATGGGAAAAAAAACCAAAGTGTTTTTCCAACTCTTGTACACCATTTAACACAAAACACTGCCTCTGGTCACCAAAATGTGTGGGGATTTCTCCCTACTAGCAAAAAATAAATTCTGACCCTACCAGGAGATCGCATCAGATCCCACTGGTTAAGGGCTCAGAGCCATAATACTGTCCCCCACTTCACATGCCAGTTGCAAGCACCAGGTTGTAACCTCTGCTTCTGACCAACCAGCTATAAATTGGGGTTCCTCAAACTCCCTACTCAGGTTCGATTAATTTGCTAGAGTGGCTCACAGAACTCTAGCAAAAGGGAAGCACTTTACTTATGTTTATCAGTTAATTTTTAAAGGATATAACAAAGGACGTAGATGAACAAGATCAACAGCCAGATGAAGAAATACATAGGGCAAGGTATGGAAGGGCTCCAAGCTCAGAAGCTTCTGTCCCCAGAGTTGGGGTGTGCCACCCTCCTGACACATGGGTGTCTACACCAACCTGGAAACTCTCCAAACCTTACAGTTCAGGGATTTTTATGGAGGCTTCATCACAGAGGTATGATTAATTATTAACTCAATTTCCAGCCCTTCTCCCATCTCCAATGGATAGAGGGTAGAGCTGAAAGCTTCAAGCTTACAATCGTGACTTTATCTTTCTGGTGACTAGCCCCCATCCAGGAGTCCACCAAGGGTCACCTCATTTGTACAAAAGTCACTCCTAATTACCCAGGAAATCCTGAGGGATTTAGGAGCTCTGTATCAGATGCTCCTACCACTCAGGAAATTACAAAGGTCTTAGGAGTTCTGTGTCAGGAACTGGGGTCAAAGACCAAATATTACAACAAAAGATACTCCTAGTACTCCTATCTACAAGGGTATTAGGAACTCTGTCTCAGGAATCAGGGCAGCGATCAAATGATATGACAAATGATTCTCCTAGCACCCCTATCATTCAGGAAATTACAAGGGTTGTAAGAGTTCTGTGCCAGAGAGTAGGAGCAGAGACTAATATATGTAGTCATGTGTCAACTGGCAATGGGGATAAGTTCTGAGAAATGCTTTGTTAGGTGATTTCATTGTTGTACAAACATCATGGAGTATACTTACACAAACCTAAATGTGTAGCATGTTACTGTACTGAATACTGTAGGCAACTGTAACACATGGTAAGTATTTGTGTACCTAAACATAGCTAAACATAGAAAAGGTACAGTAAAAACAGACTATTATCTTATGGGACCACCACTGGATAGCCATTCATTATTGACTGAAACATCATTATGCAGCACATGACTGCATTTCTTATTATTTCACATACTTCTTTTCTTTTTTTTTTTTTTTGAGACAGGGCCTCACTCTGTCACCTAGGCTGGAGTTCAGTGGTACGATCTCAGCTCACTGCAACCTCCACCTTCCAGGCTCAAGTGATCCTCCTGCCTCAGCCTCCAGAGAAGCTGGGACTACAGGTACACGCCACCATACCAGCTAATTTTTTTGTAATTTTTGTAGAGGTGGGGTTTTGCCATGTTGCCCAGGCTGGTCTTGAACTGCTGAGCTCAAGCAATCCACCCCCCTTGGCCTCCCAAAGTGTTGGGATTATAGGCATGAGCCATGGCACCCAGCCTATTTTGCATATTTCTTTACTGATTCATTAAGTCGCAGTCTAATTAGCATTACAGATTATGAGTAATAACTTTATTATCTAGGTCTCTACTGTGTAGTCACCTCCTCTGCTACATTGTTACTTCCTCAGTGCATTCTTCTCTGACCCACCCCATCTAAAGCTGAATCTCCTTGCTGTTGTATCCTCAGTCCTATACCCTGATATACAGATTTTTTCACATAACCAGTTTTTTATGTGTATGTGTTTGTAATCTATCTTCCTCACCAGAATGTAAGCTCCATGAGGGAAGGGACTTTGTTCTATTCCTTGTTTATCCTTAGCACCTAGAAAAATGCCTGGCACATAGTAAGTAAGTACTATTCAATAAATATTTGCTGAATCAATGAAAGAATGTGGCCTACCTCTCAGGTCTCATTTCTTGCCACAAAACAATCTTTATATGTGTCTCACATCTATACTGTTTTCCCTTCTGTAGTACTGGCTGGATATAACGCAACCCTGGAGCAGTCCAGCTATCTTTTTTTTTTCTTTTTTCTCTTTTTTTTTTGAGACAGAGTTTCACTCTATCCCCCAGGCTGGAGTGCGGTGGCGTGATCTTGACGCACTGCAACCTCCACCTCCCGGGTTCAGGTGATTCTTGTGTCTCTGCCACCCGAGTAGCTGGGATTACAGGCATGCGCCACCACACCTGGCTAATTTCTGTATTTTTAGTAGAGACAGGGTTTCATCATGCTGCCTAGGCTGGGGGCTCGAACTTCCCAAAGTGCTGGAATTATAGGTGTGAGCCACTGCGCCAGGTCTTTTTTTTTTTCTTTTTTTTTTTTTTTGAGACAGGGTCATGCTCTGTCACCCAGGCTGGAATGCAATTGTGCAATCATAGCTCACTGCAGCCTCAAATTCCTGGACTCAGGAAATCCTTCCACCTCAGTCTCCCAGGGTGCTGGGATCATAGGCATGAGCTACTGTGCCCAGACCAGCTATCTTTCTTATCAGTGCTGCTGGACAAAAGTAGTCGACCTCCTGGATTTAATATCTTTTTTTTTTTTGACGGAGTCTTGCTCTGTCACCCAGGCTGGAGTGCAATGACGTGATCTTGGCTCACTACAACCTCTGCCTCCCTGGTTCAAGCGATTCTCCTGCCTCAGCCTCCCAAGCAGCTGGGATTACAGGTGCCCGCCACCATGCCCAGCTAATTTTTGTATTTTTTAGTAGAGACAGGGTTTCACCATGTTGGTAAGGCTGGTCTCAAACTCCTGACCTCAGGTGTTCCACCCCCCTCAGCCTCTCAAAATGCTGGGATTACAGGTGTGAGTCACTGCGTCCAGCAGGGTTTAAGATCTTTAACCTCAATTGAGTTCAGTGCTGCTCTAACATTCTACAATTTCTTTGTCAATGCTCTTGCATTTGTGCTTTCACCCTCTCTCCTCAGTAGAAAAAAAAAAAACATAAAGAACCCAATGGAAATTCTCGAACTGAAAAATGCAACGTCTGAAAAAAAAAATCACTGGCTAGGATTAATAGAATAGTGATAACTGAAAAAAAATAAGCTAACTTGAAGACAGATTAATGAAAATTGTCATATGTGAAGAACACAGAGGAAAAATGGTAGGAAAAAAATGAACCTAACTTCAGGACCTAACTTCAGGGTGTTGCAGGTAAGGGATTTGGGATTTTATTTTAATTTAAATAGGAAGTTGCTTAAAAGGGTTTAATTAGGCAGGGGAGTGACCCAGTAACTGCACTTCTGAGTACTTATCTTAATAAATAAAAAGAAACAAAAACTTAGCTGATTAAAGATTCATTATGATGTCCAACATCATAGGTTTATATCATATATAGAAATATATATGCATCATATATAACCAACAAAAAAGACAAATATCCAACAATAAGGAAATGAAAAAATGTTTAATAAATCATTACTCATAAGCACAATGAAACAGTATGAAGCTCTAAGAAAGGTATTTATAAATGTGAAAACATGCAAAGTGTGTTTTTTAGATTCAGTCAAAAAAGGAAAATAGACAACTATAATACTTACCAGTTTTATAACTTTAAAACATAGTTATATAAATAATTATGAAAAATTACAAAAAAGAAAAGGTTGTATTAGAAAGGCAGAATTTTTTTTCTATTTTTCAAAAGTTTCTATAATATCATTGCTACATCATCATTTCAATTAAGAAAAATACTTTTCTACATCTCACTTCCAATACAACTCTCATCTTGGGCCTGTAACAAATATTAACTGAATTTTACCAATTAAAAGAAATCTCTTCCAAATCTTGTTGGTTCACTTAATGTGAAGTTCCTTCTGCTGTTACTAGCTAACAGCTCAAAGAAGAGCAACAGTTTTCTTTTAAAACATATAATTATTTCAGCCAGGTGCAGTGACACATGCCTGTAGTCTCAGCTACTCCAGAGGTTTGAACTCCAGGAGTTCAAAACCACCCTGGGCATAGCAAAACCCTGTCTCAAAAACAAACACATGCATATAGCTATTTCAAAATCTGATCTCTCTAGTCCACTCTTAAATGATTCTCTGTCTTCCTCTCCATTTGTTCTATAAAGTTAAACAAACTGAGGTTTTACTCTGTAACTAAACTTTACTGGTGTTAACATCTGTCCAGGGCTAACATTTATAACTAGTACTTACCCTTCAGATGCCTATTCTACCATCAAAGACAATCTTTCTCACCTAAACCCCCATTCTCTTTCTTTGTCTTCTGTCTTTTGGAAGCATTTTTCTTTCTTTCTTTCCTTTTTTTTTTTTTTTGGAGACAGACTCTCATTCTGTTGCCCAGGCTGGAGTGCAATGGCATGATCTCAGCTCACTGCAGCTTCCGCCTCCTGGGTTCAAGTGATTCTCTTGCCTCAGCCTCCGCAGTAGCTGGGATTACAGACACCTGCCACCACACCTGGCTAATATTTGTACTTTTAGTAGAGACAGGGTTTCACCATGTTGCTCAGGCTGGTCTCAAACTCCTTACCTCAGGTGATCCGCCCACCTTGGCCCCCCAAAGTGCTGGGATTACAGGTGTGAGCGACCATGCCCAGCCAAAAGCATTTTTCCATGTCACTTTTCCCCTTTATGACTTGCTATCCTCTCTTTATTTTCAAGGTTGCTGCATCATTCCATTATTCTCATTATTGCAATACTCAATATGTCTTCCATGTCTACCAAGCTTGTTGTTCCCACTTCCTTCCCCTGACCTGATTACTACGTTTTATTAGAGCAGAGATTCCCAGTTACGTGTTGTGAATAAGCTATGGGTATACAAAAGAATGGAGTCCCTCAGCCCTCACGGCAGTCTGGAGTGGCCTCGGGCAGCTGAAGCTTTTAGGTAGCTTAATCCTGACCTTAAGCAGCCTTTTTGTTTAGCCCTAGTGCATCCCACAAATGTTATCATTTTCTATGAATGTTGTCATGTGGGAAAAAAAATGAGGAGCATTGAGGCTTAAAGTATCTCTTAAATGGCCTCATAATACATACCTTAACTCTCAGAATCATTCCCACAGACTATTACTATTATTAAGCTAGGCCAGGTGTGGTGGCTTAAACCTGGCCAACAAGGTGAAACCGTGGAAACCCTGTCTCTACCAAAAATACAAAAAGTAGCCAGGCATTGTGGCATGTGCCTGTAATCCCATCTACTTGGGAGGCTGAGGAAGGAGAATCACTTGAACCCGGGAAGTGGAGGTTGCAGTGAGCCAAGATCATGCCACTGCACTCCAGCCTGGGCAACAGAGTGAGACTCTGCCACCAAAAAAAAAATAAATAAAATAAGCTAGACATTTTTATATTGGAATATAGATGTCTCTAGCCTGCTCTCTAGAACAGTGGTCCCCAACCTTTTTTGGTACCAGGGACCAGTTTCGTGGAAGACAATTTTTCCATGGATGGGGGTGGAGAGAGATGGATGGTTTCAGGATGAAACTGTTCCACCTCAGATAATCAGGCATTAAATTCTCTAAAGGACTGCACAACCCAGATCCCTCCCATGTGCAGTTCACAATAGGGTTCGCCCTCCTATGAGAATCTAATGCTCACTTGCTGGCCGCTCACCTTCTGCTATGCAGCCTGGTTCCTAACAGGCCATGAGCTCACAGCCTGGGAATTGGGGACCTCTGCTCTAGAGTACGTCTCCCACCTTAGACATAAACCCTTTAAGGAAGCTGATGTTTCTCTCATAGCTATTTGTATTGTAATAGATCTTTTTCCTACAGTTTATAATGAAAAATTTCAAATACACACAAAAGAGAAAGGAAAGGAATAATGAAACCCCACAGAAATATTACCTAACTTAAACAAATAATCAACTTAAGACAATATTGTTTTATCTATAATACCACCCACTTTACCCTCCTTCTCCTAGTGGATTATTTTGAAGCCAATTCCAGACATCATATAATTTCATCCGTAGACATTTCAGCATGTATCTCTATATACCACAAGATATTGTTCAAAGAGACATATTGAAAGATACTGCTGGTTCCTGTGTAAGTTCTTGTACTGGTGGGTCAGAATACTTTTTTTTCTTTTGAGACAAGGTCTCATTCTGTCACCCAGGCTGGAGTACAGTGGCATGATTATGGCTCACTGCAGCCTCAACCTTCCAGGCTCAAGCAATCCTCCTACACTGGCCTCCTGAATAGCTGGGACTACAGGTACACATCACCATGCCCGGCTAAGTTTTTGTAAAGACAGAGTCTCACTATGTTACCCAGGCTGGTCTCAAACTCCTGGGCTCAAGTGATCCTTCTGCCTCGGCCTCCCAAAGTGCTGGGATTACAGGTGTGAGCCACTGCACCAAGCCAGTGGGCCAGATTTCTGATATAAGCATTCTTCCAGTAAGACATATATTAGTCAAAGAAATACACACATACACACGTATATAAAATATACAAAACACATATATACGTATTTTCTCTACTGTACTTCCTTACAACTTAAACCATTTGAAAGTAGGATTGTCAAACAAGAAAATCAAGAAAAAAGTGGTCTGAACAGTTTCAATTGTAATAAGATCATTGATAAGGGATCTTAGAGATCTCTTAGGAAAGAGAAAAATCACACACAAAAATCCTCCGTCTGTCAGAGGTAAATGACTTTCATACAGCACAAGTTATGTGGCATGGAACAACGTGCTAATATCATAAAATTATTATACATAAAGTAATTCATGTAGCTGCATATTTTACAAAACAAATGCAATAAAACTAACTTAATTCAGAAAAATTTTATTCAATAATCCTTACCTTTTGTTGGACTGAGATTCTGATCTATAAATCCTCTTACTTCTGCATTTGTGGAAGTCAAACCAACCTGAATAAAACCGTTTAAAAAGTTAAAAATAGAATATTAAGTAGTATGTGTTCACTTAACAAGCTATTTTATATCTTCCATCAGACATCCATATCAAATATATATAGCCACATCAAATGAATTAATTATATTAACCACAGGAGTATTATTTTAAAATGAAATGTTGACATATTATTTAAAAGGGGAAGAATATTGCCTGTAGTCCCAACTACTTGGGAGGCTGAGGTCGGAGGATTGCTTGAGCCTGGGAGGCAGAGGTGTTGCAGTGAGCTGAGATCATGCCACTGCACTCCAGCCTGGATGACAGAGTGAGACCCTGTCTCAAAAAAAAAAAAGGTGAGGGGAATATGAATTGTCCAGCTTAAGATAAAAATTAATGAAATACTATTACTTATGAGCAGAACTGAGATTTTACAGATTTTACTGACAGTTCTTTGAAAGCAAGTAAGTAATGTGGCAGCCATGAAGTTGCCAATAGATATTTCAAAATTCCATCCCCACTGTTGCCCTTAATTTGTACTATTCTTAATCACTATCTAAAATGCTTTCAATACTATGACATGTGAGGAATCAAATAAAGACCATTAATACCACAATGCAGAAGTAAAATACATTGGCCTTAAGTCCAACTGCTTGGATTCATATTCTGGACCATCAAGCCTACTAGGGGTTTGGCCTTGGTCAAGTCATGCATTTCCTCATCTGTAAATTGGAGGGTGATACCAGTACTTAGCAATTCAGGTTGTTATAAAGACTAAATGAGATAATTCATGTAAAGCATATAGCACAGGATTTGGCACATACTGCTCAATCCATGTCAGCATACGTTACTGTCAGTATTATACTTGAGGGACTACCCACAGCAAGTATTTATGAATTCACTTTTAGATAATTTATTTCATTTAAGGTAATATCCACTACACTACTTGGCATCACAGAGCTGAATACAGGAATATCATCAAACAGAATATCAGAAATATATTACAAAGCCTGGAGGAAAAAAAACCCTCAATTTTTGAAAACTTGGCAGAACGCAAACATCCAAAAATTGGCTCTATTATTACTATCAAATACTTTTTGTAAGCATTGAAGATTTGTAACCTTGAAACATTACAATTTTGTTACATTACACTAACTTGTAACATCACAAGTTTGTGGTATGATACCTCAAACTGTACTTTTTTTTTTTTTTTTGAGATGGCGTTTCACTCTTGTGGCCCAGGCTGGAGTGCAATGGCACCATCTTGGCTCACTGCAACCTCCGCCTCCCGGGTTCAAGTGATTCTCCTGCCTCAGCCTCCCAGGTAGCTGGGATTACAGGCACCTGCCACCACGCCCAGCTAATTTTTGTATTTTTAGTAGAGAAGGGGTTTCACCATGTTGGCCAGGCTGGTCTCGAACTCCTGACCTCAAGTGATCTGCCCACCGTAGCTTCCCAAAGTGCTGGGATTACAGGCATCAGTCACCACGCCCAGCCCTCAAACTATACTTTCAAGACACTACCACATGGAAAGGATTTTTTAACCCCTTTACTGAGATATCATTGATATATAAAAATGGCATACACTTAAGGTGTACATCTTGATGTTTTGATATATGTATACATTGTAAAATGATCACCACAGTCAAGCTGACATATCCATTACCTCTATATAGCTATTATTGTGTATATGTGTGTTGCGAAGATTCAATTTAAGATCTATCCTTTTAGCAAATTACAAGCACACAATACAGTACTATTAATTATCATCACTGTGCAGCACATCAGATCTCCAGCAATCTGAAAAGATTTTAAAGCACACAAAGCTTTATAACTTTATAACTATCCACTTATTGTTCTAAACACTGACTACTTATATTTTTCTTCTTCTTTTTTTTTTCAGATGGAGTTTCGTTTTTGTTGCTCAGGCTGGAGTGCAGTGGCACAATCTCGGCTTACTGTAACCTCTGCGTCCCGGGTTCAAGCAATTCTCCTGCCTCAACCTCCCAAGTAGCTGGGATTACAGGCGTCCACCACCACGCCCAGCTAATTATGTATTTTCAGTAGAGACAGGGTTTCACCATGTTGGTCAGGCTGGTCTCAAACTCCTGTCCTCAAGTGATCCACCCGTCTTGGCCTCCCAAAGTACTGGGATTACAGGCGTGAGCCACCACGCCTGGCTGTATTTATATTTTTCATAAGCAATTATTTGATAGTTTATAATATCAATGTAAGAGCTAATTATTTCATTATTTGATAATTCAATGCTCTACTAAGAATTCAAATGCTCTACTAATAGCTGTTTCTTTCTGTCAAGAAGTATGTTAGCAGTAATATTTTTACATATTTTTCATATCCTAACAAGTGATTTTGATGCAAATCTCTAGAATCTATCATCATCAAATTTTTATGACAGTAGCTGAGACTAAGTCATCTAGAAAATGGCCTCTTAATTCTATGTAGATAATAGTGCAGATACTTAACTTTGTCCAGCTTCTTATCACTTTTCAGTTAGAAATAAAGACAATACTTTCCAACAAAATTTGCAACAAATAACTATATGTTATGGCTCTTCAGTTGCTCACAAATAATGTTAAATATCCAACTTGTTGATTTGTTGAAGAGTTTATTGTGCCATTACTAATAACTCCCCCCTCCTTTTTAAACTCTTCTGCTATAGGAAGATGACAGAGGCAAAACTTGTTGGTGTTCTACTTTAAAAAGAAAGCAAAGAAGGCAAAGACAGCCTTTAATAAATTCCATGCTTGATACAATATAACCATTTAAATACATGTATTATAATAACTTCAAAAGGATCAGTTTATACCTTTTTGTTATTATACAACCTCAACTAAACCTCAAAAACCTCAACTAAAACCACATATTCATAATAGAGAGTTCAGTTACTGGGTTACCGTTATGCTTAAACACCTGCTCTTAATATCCAACTTCTGCAGAGTAAAACAGCCAACGAATGTGGAAACTTTTTAAGCAGCTGTACACCTGCATCTTAAGAACCAACAAATTGTACTCCAAAAAGATAAAAGTCAATTGTGAGTCCATACTGCATGCTAATCTTAGTCTCATAGATGGAGGGGAGGTGTTTGTATTTAAAGCTTATATATAAAACCAAAATATATTTAATTAAAACTTCAAAATATGTATTAATTTCTACTATCATAAACATTTTGTAAAGATTCAAAAAAACTGTATTATTTGAGAGTAGAAAAAGTTGGCTAGCGAAAGCATCCTAAAATATTAGCCATTCTTCCCTTATTCTACCTATTTAAAAAGGACTTATCTTTCAATGAACAAGAGAAAAAAGTGAACTCATATTTCATGTTAAATTCTTTGCCTAATCATGTCCTGAGGAAAATATGCTGAGTATTCCTCTCTTTTTTCTCAATTTTTAAAAATAAATTGTATTGTCTGTATTTAAGGTATAAAACATGATGTTATAAGATACATATATATAAAATGGTTACTATAGTGGGTATTCCAATGCTGTGTTGTGTACTATATAACCAGTCACTATGCGTTTACTGAATTCAAAGTATTTAAGTTCAATTTTTAAGAATCAGATCATATTGACTAATAATATTGTAATTTCATTGATATTCAACATTTCTGACTGACATAACATTACTGAAATGTTCAGAGTAAGATCATCTGTGCTCAGTTAAGCTCTACCTTTCACAGGCAAGGTGATCGTGGAACGGTCACTACAAAATGGGAATGATAGAACGTATGTGCAAGACAAACTAAAGAGCTCATAGGATCGAGTCAAATGATTATGTAAATTTATCTGTTAATTTGGCAAAAATATATCTATTAATATGCCAAAGCAATATTTAAGTGTGGGTTGTCATCCAAATGGCAATGGCTTCCAACACTTCAACCCTGACACAGACCATATGCAAAAGAGAAATGCAAATGACCAATAAACATACAGAATGTTAGTTTACTTAACTAGTAATCAGAGAAATGTAATAAATTGCACACCATTTTTTGCTGATTAAATTGGCAAAGATTTATAAACATATAAAAAGAAATGTCACTTTCATATACCACAAGTATATATATAAATCTGTGCAATCTTAGCAATATGAATCAAAAGCTCTAAAAAATTATACACACTTTGGCTCAGTAATTTCATAGAATTTTTCTTCTGGAGATAATATGATGAGTGAGCAAAAACAGACAAAATGTTCCAAAAAGGAAAAAAGCAGAAGTAACTTAATGGTCAATATTAGGAAACTGGTGTAATATCCATACAATAAATAACATAAAATAGCCACTTAGGCCAGGCACCATGGCTCATGCCTGTAATAGGAGCACCTAGGGAGGCTAAGGCAGGAAGATTGCTTGAGCCCAAGAGTTTGAGACCAGCCTTAAGGAACATAGTGAGATCCTGTCCCTACAAAGAAAAGAAGAAATTAAGTGGGCAAGGTGCCTGTAGTTCCGCTACTGGAGAGGCTGAGGTGGGAGCATCGCTTGAGCCCAGGAGGTGGAGGCTGCAGTGAGCCATGATCATGCCACTGCACTCCAGCCGGGGCAACAGAGCAAGACCCTGTCCCAAACTAAACTAAACTAAAATAGACACTTAAAATGATGTTCCAGAGATATCAAGATAAGAAAATGCATTCATCACAGAAATTAAATAGTAGCCAGGCACGGTGGCTCATGTCCATAAACCCAGCAATTTATAGTCCCTATTGCCCAGGCTAGAGTGTAGTGGCACGATCTCGGCTCACTGCAACCTCTGCCTCCCAGGTTCAAGTGATTATCTTGCCTCAGCCCCTCTGGCCCAAGTAGCTGGGATTACAGGCACACTGCCACCACACCCAGCTAATTTTTGTATTTTTAGTAGAGATGGGGTTTTACCATGTTGGCCAGGCTGGTCTCGAACTCCTGACCTCAAGTATCGCCTGCCTTGGCCTCCCAAAGTGCTCGGATTACAGGCGTGAGCCATCGCGCTGGGCCAATGTCTATACATTTTGATTGCTACATATACAAATTTGTATACAAATCAGATATCTTCCTAAGCAAAATTTTGCTGACAGTCTCTAGGCTATTTTTTCTTTTCTTTATCTGTATTTTCTAATTTTTCCATAATGAGTATTACAGCCTACATGTTTTTCTTAAAGATTCATTGACAAGGCAAAAAAAAAAAACCCTCAAAAATTATATTTCAAATTATTTACTGTATTATTGCTTAAATTAGAACACAACTGCATTTTTGGTCTAGAAAAATATTACTGGATACTAGATACTATTTGATAGCAATTTCACCCCAGATACAATAAATATGTTGCCAGCTCCTCACCTCTTCCTTTTGCAAAGTGATCAATCCTACATCTCATGTAGTTCTAGTAAGACAATTAATCTTAGAGGCTCAAAGTGGGCTCATGACTCAAAGCCTGGCCACTTACCGTATCCCACTTCCATCTCCACGGAGTTTAAGCAAGGTCAACTCAAACTTCTCCGTAGATTTTGAAACATAAATACTAAAAAGGGGCCAGGTGCAGTGGCTCACACCTGTAATCCTAGCACTATGGGAGGCCAAGTCAGGCAGATCCCTTGAAGTCAGGGGTTTGAGACCAGCCTGGGCAACATAGCCAGACTCCATCTCTTTAAAACACAAAAGTTCTCTCTCTCCTTCTGAGACAAGTATTATGAGGCCAATGCAAGCCATTATGCCACCATACAGAAGGCCTAAAGATGGAAGAAGACAGACCCCTGACATCATCGTTTGATCCCTGGAATCTAGATGTGTTTGAAGCAGCCTCTAGACTTTTCAATTATATAAGTCAATACATTCCACTTTTTGTGTTAAGCTGTTTTGATAGGGTTTCGATCATTTGCAACTATAAGAGACCTAATAAAGCATGGATAAGACAAAAGTAACTCTTCACAAAAAAACTGTTGTCATCAGAGACATGTAAAATGAGAAAATTTAAAATGTACATATTTGAATACATGGTTAGTAATGCCTCTGTAAGAGGGCAATCTCTTCCCTATCTACAATCTCTTCTGTGTTTGTGAGTCACTTCTCAGTAACATGTGACACAATTGATCACTTCCCCTTGAAACACTTTCTTCACCTGGGCCTCCAGATCATCAGGATAACTCTTTTCTTCCTGTCTTTGCCCATTCTTTGAGTGTCCTTTATGGCTTCTCTTGCTTTCCACCTTTTTGTTGGAGAATCCCTGTGCTCAGACCTTGGTCCTTATATATTTGCTATCCATGCACTCACTATATGATCACATGTAGTCCCATTGCTTTACAATGATTTTAATATGAAATGACCCGGGCCAGGCGCGGTGGCTCACACTTATAATCCCAGCACTTTGGGAGGCTGAGGCAGGCAGATTACCTGAGGTCGGGAGTTTGAGACCAGCCTGACCAACATGGAGAAACCCCGTCTCTACTAAAAATACAAAATTAGCCGGGCATGGTGCACATGCCTGTAATCCCAGCTACTTGGGAGGCTGAGGCAGGAGAATCACTTGAACCTGGGAGGCAGAGGTTGCAGTGAGCTGAGATTGTGCCATTGTATTCCAGCCCGGGCAACAGAGCAAGACTCCATTTCAAAAAAAAAAAAAAAGAAATGACCCCAAAATTTCTACCTCCATTCCTAAGCTTTCCCCTGAGCGCCAGAGTCACTTATCAAATCGCCTAGCCAATATCTCCACTTGGAAGTTTTTAGGTTTCTCAACTTTAGTATGTTCAAAACAGAATATTTAAGTTTATCACAATATCCTATACCTCCCTAAGAATTCCTCTTCTAATTAAACAGCACAGTCATTTACCCAGTTACACAAGTCAAATACTGAGAAGTCTCTAACTTCTTTCCTGCCCTCATATCCTAATGACTCAATAAATCTTGATGACTGTCCCCAAATGATAATGAAGCAAAATCTGTATCTGCTTCTAGTTACCAATGCATGTTAAAAGCAATGTTCTGAATTATAACCCAAAATAAGCAAACAGACATAATGCAATAAGGATTTGTTTGTTAACGCTATTGTTCGGCTGCATAATGGGCAATATTTAGAACTATCGGTCTGACTCACAAGAAACCCTTTATCATCTTTCCTCACACACTGTGCTGGACCCTCAGCAGCCATTTCATGCAACAACACTTGCTTCTCCTGGTCACAACTAACTAAAGCACTAGTCAACATCAGACTTTAACTGTGCCAGAGGCTCCTCCTAAGGAGTCTGAAACTAGAAAGGCAGGCAGGATGCATCAAGCTACCTCCTTCCCTTTTTTTTTCTTGAGACGAAGTCTCGCTCTTGTCCCCCAGGCTGGAGTGCAATGGGGTAATCTCAGCTTACTGCAACCTCCGCCTCCCGGGTTCAAGGGATTCTCCTGCCTCAGCCTCCCGAGTAGCTGGAATTACAGGCGTCTGTCACCGCGCCTGGCTACTTTTTGTATTTTTAGTAGAGACGGGGTTTCACCATGTTGGCCAGGCTGGTCTCGAACTCCTGACCTCAGGTGATCTGCCCACCTTGGCCTCCCAAAGTGCTGGGATTACAGGCGTGAGCCACCATGCCTGGCCTGCCTCCTTCCCTTTCTTCACACCTCTCTCTGAACAGGCTGGTCCCCTAACATATAGATGGAAATGCTGAGTGGGGCCATGTTCCACCATCCTGGCTGGGGAACTGAGAAAGATGATTTGGACAGACAGACAGAGGGAGAAATGAAGCAGGTACACAGTAACAAGCTGAGAGAGATGAGAAATGAAAACCAAATACTGCTTCAATTCCTGCTGGATTTCTAGTTTCTGGGCCTGGATCTTTCTGAGGGCCCATAAAATTCCCACTCTTAAATTCCTTGAGATATCCCTGCATCTTTATAACAAATTCCCTTTTTGTTTAATTCCCAGTCAAAGATTCCTACATAATAATATAGGAACAGTAAAGCAATTAGACTTTAATACATATAACATTGGAACAGTAAAGCAATTTACAAATAATTCCCCTATATGTTGTACTCTTTAAGGCACAATTCTTTACCATAACTGGAAACAAACTCATTAATAAACAGTGACAAATAAATAAATAAAGAGTGACATACAACTTGAAAGGAGGTATATTCAGAAATGATCACCTCAAGTAGAGGGAAAAACTTGAATAACTTCTCCAAAACATCTAAAATCTAATGTTTCTTCAGGAACCATCTCATGGAAGGTAGCAAGCTACTTTCAGACAATATCTGAGCACATACATTTCCCTGAGTAACCAAAAAAAAAAAAAAAAAATAAGCCAAAGAAAACAGTGATTTGCTCAAAAAGGCCAAGTAACCCTCCAGCAAGTACCAAAACAAATTTATTACAATATCCAAAAGAGGAGGGCAGGGTGGGAAACCTTCTGGAGATAGCAATTTGCAGCTGTTGAGAAGTAACTTGGTGCCAATTTGCAAGAATGCTACTATCTCCATTAGGGCACCATATTCAATCGCATTAAAGCTTATCTCATATTCTGCATAAACATAAACAAATACAATTATAAATCCATGCAAGTAAATTAAATCTGGTTAACCAGAATGGTGAGAAAATATGTAGGAAAAAGCACAGCTCACTTTAAACAATACTTACATTAAAAAATTTACAAATACTTACATTTTTTGCCGTCATGTCAAACTGTATTCTATTTAAGATTCTGTAAAGCCATTAAAAAAATAAAAAGAAAAAAACCTTCGTCTTCAATAATTCTTTAAAAGAACAACCTGTTAAAGGAAAACAGAGGGAATAGTAATGTAATAATAATAATAGGCAACATTTATGTCATATTTACTATGTGACATGCATTGTTATCTAAGTGAACTGTCTAAATTAATCTTCACAACAACACTATGAGGTTTGTACCATCTTAATCCCCATTTTCCAAATAAAAACTAGGGCTTAGAAAGGTTAACTAATTTGACCATGTCAACTCAGTTCACAAGTGCTGGAGCCTGGGCTTTGAAATGGTATTAGGCTATGCTGCTTTAGAAAATCCACTGAAAGAAACACCAGGGCTTCTTGGAGAAATGGCTGATTCTAGTACAAGATAAACCTAGAACATCTTATTGTGCCTAAAGTAAGGAAGGGCTCAAAAAATGATGGAGACATGTCAAAAGTACACAGAAATCAGCTTAAAGAGCCTACAGCTGGACAATTTTCAACAACTGAACACCAAAGTACATACTGATAGTAACAGATTATAAACCCATTGAATAGAGCCTACAGCTGGACAATTTTCAACAACTGAACACCAAAGTACATAATGATAGTAACAGATTATAAACCCATTGAATAAAATAATAATCCAGGATTACTGGGGCTAAAGGGGGAGATGAGAAATTCTTTGCAGTAGAACGCCAACTAATAAATATAAATGAGTGATACAGTTAGTAAAACTTCCATTTTGGAACCATCATAACTAATAAGAAAAGAATAATTAATACACAGTAAAACTAGTCAGTGAAAATATGGTGAAAAATAGGATATTTCCATAGCGTTGAAATATCTCCCTACAAAATACCTACTAATTCAAATTTTCTAGTGAAAGAAATATGGCATAAATCACTTTAGCCAAGTGATCAAAGTTACCAAATGATTACCAATAATGGGGCAAGCCAACATGTGTCTCTTCAAGCGCACTGAGATGGATACAGCATGAATTCTGAGGTACGTTTGCCCAATATGCAAAATCTAAATTTAATCATGAGGAAATATCAGAGAAATCCAAATTGAGAGGCATTCTACAAAATAATGGCCTGAATTCTTCAAAAAATGTTAGTGTCATGAATGGCAAAGAAAGGCTGAGAAACTTTCCAGATTTAAAAAGACTAAAAACTGCTGGGCGCAGCGGCTCACGCCTGTAATCCCAGCACTTTGGGAGGCTGAGGCGAGTGGATCACCTGAGGTCAGGAGTTCGAGACCAGCCTGGCCAACATGGTGAAACCCCTTCTCTACTAAAAATACAAAAAAATTAGCTGGGTGTGGTGGTGCGTGTCTGTAGTCCTGGCTACTTGGGAGGTTGAGGCAGGAGAATTGCTTGAACTCAGGAGGTGGAGGTTGTAGTGAGCCGAGAACGCGCCATTGCACTCCAGCCTGGGAAACAGAAAGAGACTCCTTCTCAAAAAAAATTAAATAAATAAAAAATTTAAAAAAAGACTAAAAACATATGAAAACTGAATTCAACCTGTGATCTTGGTCAGGACACTGAACTAGAAAAAAAAAACTGCTGTGAAGACCATTATTTGGGTAATTGGAGATTAGATCTACAGACTGGATAATAGTATTGTTTCAATGTTACATTTCCTGACTTTGATCAATGAACTTGGAGTTTTCTTTTCCTCACATCTTTTTGGATTCCAAAAACTATGGAGTTTTCTATAATTGAGTGTCCTCTTTCTTATAAAAAATACACTAAAATATTTAGGAGTGGAGGGGTATAATGGTGGCAACTTACTCTCAAATGATGACAAAATATGGTCTCACTATACAGAGAAAGAATAATAAAGAATATGTGACAAAATGGTTACAACTGGTGAATCTGGGTGAAGGGCATCTGGGAGTTCTTTGACCTATTTTTGTAACTTTTCTCTTATTTTAAAATTATCTCAAAATTAAACTTTAATAAGACATTCAAGGGGAAGGATAAAGTAAAACTTAACTTCGCAAAGATCATAAATAATGGGTGTTCAAAGAAATGGGGGCTTCAAATGGCTGCCTTATATGTTAGAATTTGAATCTACAAGTAAAATTTTGTAGAAGAAAAGCAAGGTTTTTTTTTTCTGTTTTTTTCATGTGCAGAACATGCAGTTTTGTTACATAGGTATACATAGGTATACGTGTGCCATGGTGATTTGCTGCACCTATCAACCCGTCACCTAGGTTTTAAGCTCCACATGCATTAGCTATTTGTCCTGATGCTCCCCCCTCCTTTCTTTTGCTTTTCAATAAAACACTGAATTTGTAATTTTTCAATGATAAAGCATAAATTTAAAAATCGAAGTAAAACCTGAACCACAATTACAAGTTTTGCTTACAGTAGTTGTACAATGTCTATTATGACCTAATCTAAAAATAAAGTTCCTATGCTATATCTGTTCTACATTTATCAATTATTTCTTACGTCCTCTCTAGTGATATAAATTTAAATGTAAGATAAATAATAAAGCACAAATTCCTGATATCCCATTCAACAGACTACCTGGCATATTCAAACTAATAATTTAAAGTTAAAATGTTAAGTATTGCATTTTGAAGATTAATATTTCAACCAAGCTTGATCTAACAGATCTATACAGAATTCTGTATCTAATAGATCTGAAACATCTCTTTAGGCACAAATTTATAAAATTTGTCCATATATGCTATCACCAAGGGGAAGCAAAAATTTCAGAGAGGAAATATTACACAGATTATGGTCTCTGACTACAATGCAATTAAATTAGGAATCAACTATTTTTTAGAAAGTTAAAAGTCATATATTTAGCTATATTATTAAACACTCCATGAATGTGAAATATTTAGAACTAGAATAACAATTAAAAAATAAAATATTCAGAAAGAAATGACAATGAAAATTTAAAAAAACTTATAAAATCCAGCAGAACTAGTACTTAGGGTATATTTATATTTCTTTTTATTCATTAAGCCATCAATCAATTTAAATACGTAAAAGAACAGTGAGAACTCAAAGAAATATGAAAAGAAACAAAGAGCATAAATTAATGAAATAGAAAAAAAATCAACAAATTAACAGCCTGGTTGTAAGTGTCCTGCTTGAAGTCAGCATCTAATAAATAAAGCAGCAGTGCAGTAGAGTGGAAAGAGTATGGACTTTGGCTCCGTCTCAGCTCTGATACTTAGTTGTGTGATCCTGAACAAGTAACCTAACCTCTTAGAGCCTCCATGTCTTCATCTGAAAAACTGATACACTGAATGTTTCAGAGTTATGTTAAGAGTTTATACGCCCTCCAGTTTATACATATTCTGAACACTCCTAACAACAAAAAAGTTCAATTTTAACAAATTTAAGACTATCTCATGACCTGCTGAAATACAGTTATAACAAAAAAACTACTAAGTCTTTTCCATCAAATGGTTTGAACATGTTACATTTTAGAAACACTCTATATTTCCAAAGCAAATACTATTGCCTACCCAATATCATTTTCCTCTTCTTCCTTACAAGCTGAAGTGGCAATGTGCCCCCAACTACAAATACTACATCGTCAACCTTCCTCTCAGATGGGCTAACCATATCACAGATAACATAATTCTGGCCAATGAAATATAAGCAGACATTGTTGGTGTGGGCTACCAGATTCAACTAGTAGGTGTCCTTTTTCCCCACCCTTTGTGTTTTTTTGTGCCCAGAGCATAGTTGTGATGGCTAGAGCTGCTTGTCTCCGGGCATCTGCTCCATTTCTGAATTCAGTACTCAATGATGTTATATTTCCTAAGGGCTGGGCTAATGAGGGTCACTGTGTTATTCACGTAAATAAAATGAAATTAACAGAGTATTACTATTTCAGCACAATATAGTAAGAGGGTACCAATAAAAATAGCCATATTAATGAGCTTCACAGAACAAAGTACAATTTTGTTTGGTATTCCTTTGACTCTCCACACCAGAGTACAGCACAAACTGGAATCTCTAAGTATTACCTAAATAATAAATGTTTGAAATAAAGCCAAAGCGCATGGATTTCTTAAGCAAATTTACCTTAACATCTCTGTGTCTCAATTTCTTCATCTCTAAAATAGTAAGAGTCAGCCACTTAATTAAATGAGTCAATACATGTAAAATTACTAAGACACTGCCTAGCACAAGTTAAGCATTCAATGTTAGAGGGGGGAAAAAAATCTGTTCATTGATTTCTCATGACAAATTAAGGCTTCCTTCTCTAAAATAAATAATACATAATTCCCACATGGTAGAAGTGAAAAATACCATAACATAAACCCAATTTCAAAATAGAAAAAAAACCTGTTTAATTGTGGTTAAAAAAAAAAACTCTTCTAAAATTAACAAGAGTAGGCAATAACTTCATTCATTCATTACTCATCCAGCAAATACTGAACAGTCACTATGTGCATGGCACTATCTCAGGCAATGAAGACAGCCTAGTAGATGAGAAAGACTGTAATCACCAAACGTTCAAATGTAATTTTAAAGAAATAAAGTTACATTAAGATAGACATTGTAAAAACAAATGGGATTGTGATAGAGACTTTCTTCATTCAATTAAAAATTAAGTATGCTGTATTGGCTTTGAGTGATACTTTATAGCATTTTAATTTAAAAATACACATTTCTAAATAGTTTTAAAGTTTTTGTCTTTTTTGACATTGTCTTTAATCTATAAATTATTTGCATTGTATGACTTAAACTTTCCAAAGTGTCTAGAAATTAAATAAATTTGGCACAGAAAGGTTCAAGAAGTTGCCATCTTTGGCAGTATGGATGATTCTCAGAGATAAACCAGTCATGTGCACTGATGCATTATGTTTTATCCAGACTCAACAATTGCACACTTCTTCCTGTCACCAAGCTCTTCTGTTAGTTAAAAAAATAAGTTGGATTTCTTCTTCCAGCTTCATGAACACATTATGTCAAGCTCAAAAAGTCAATCTTTTGACCTCGCCATCTGCCATGATCTCGTCAGTTTCAGACAATGCAACTCCCACAGATGGTCTCAAAATGCAAGCCCTTTCCCATTCCAATCACAATTTAGCAGCTCCAGCCACAAAGCCTTTTAAAATTAATCAAAATACAAGGAAGAAAGCACAAAGTTATGGATAAATTTGTAGAATCAAGCAGTAACATAATTTGAATCAGGATGTGTAGACTTTCTAACACTGCCAAAAAAGCTGCTACTAAAAATTAATAGGAAAGGTAGCATATTTAAATGGCAGATGTTACTAATTTTAAATACATGCTCATGACTCATAATTTAGAAAATACACAAAACAAAAAGCAAGAAACAAATATCAGCCATAATCCTACTTGTCAGAAGCAACTACAATAACTTATTGGCATAAATCCTTTCAGTATTCTCTCTGTGCATTCAAACTTTTGAGATGTGGTATTAATTAGAAGATATTTTCTTTTTTTTCTTTTCTTTTTTTTTTTTTCGAGACGGAGTCTTGCTCTGTCACCCAGGCTGGAGTGCAGTTGCTCAATCTCAGCTCACTGCAACCTCTACCTCCTGGATTCAAGCAATCCTCCTGCCTCAGCCTCCCAAGTAGCTGGAATTACAGGCGCGTGCCACCACGTCTGGCTAATTTTTTTGTATTTTTAGTAGAGACGGGGTTTTACCATGTTGGCCACGCTGGTCTTGAACTCCTGACCTCATGATCCACCCACCTCAGCCTCCCAAAGTGCTGGGATTACAGGTGTGAGCCACCGCACCCGGCCCTAGAAGATATTTTCATAGAAAGGGATAATATGTAACTTTTTCTTACGTGAGCAGCATATCTAGGCATTCTCTCAAGTGCTTCACATGTATATCATATCATTCGCACCTCAACTTTATCAGATAAATAGTATTATTTTCATTTTACAGAAGACAAAACAGTTTTAGAGAGTTCAAGCAATTTTCCCAGTTAACCAACTGTACAAATTACAGTGCCAGAATATGAACTCAGGATCTCACACCAGCAAAAGTGTTCTTAACTACTATAATACTTTACAAAATATATCTGACTTGAGATATAATAAATATATTCTCAAGATATTATAACAAAATGATATATAATTATTATTACAATAAATTCAGAGAAAATGATAACCTACTATGCTGAAAGAATCCTTTAAAATCTCATATAGGACATATACATATGCCATAGAATTTTTCTCCTTTTCAATTCCGTTTTTTGAAATTTCAATATTAAATTGAATTTTTATTTTTTGAGTAGGTTGCGTGAAAGTTGATTACATGCCAGTCAGAGCTTGCCAGCTCCCCAAAACCTTACTAGTGCCAATGAGCTTTCTTGAAGAGTGATATGTAACATTTCTCCTTTTTATAAAACCTCTAACCTCTTTGTTCTTCAGACAGCCAAGACCACATGGTCTGTGTGTATTTCCCAAATTGCCTTTCTCTTTTTTTTTTTTGAGACAGAGTCTGGCTCTGTCACCCAGGCTGGACTGCAGTGGCGTGATCTTGGCTCACTACAACCTCTCCCTCCCAGGTTCAAGCGATTCTTCTGCCTCAGCCTCCCAAGTAGCTAGGATTACAGGAGCCTGCCACCACGCATGGCTAATTTTCTTATTTTTAGTAGAGACGGGGTTTCACCATGTTGGCCAGGCTGGTTTCAAACTCCTGACCTCAAGTGACCCGCCCACCTCGGCCTCCCAAAGTGCTAGGATTACAGGCATGAGCCACCATGCCTGGCCTGCAATTTTCTTCTCAAATAAAATATTTTAATCTCAGAGATTTGTCTCTATATTTCAACTTGACAGTTGTAAATTTCCTCATTCACTTTTTTCACAGCTACACAGTATTCCTTTACATCGTTATACTGTGATTTATTTGACTAGCCTCTACTGACAGATATTTAGATTTCATAATCTAAACTGGTGACAGTAATGACATTTTAATGACTCAAATCTTTAATGTTGTCTAGGATGCTGATGTGGTATATGCCTACCTCTCCAGCTCTATTAAACTCCTTTCCCACACCTCTTTTCTGATCCAGTTCCATTGGCTTCTGTAAGTTCAAAACCGTGCTCCTCCTGCCTCAAGGGCCTCTGTACATGCTGTTCCTTCTGTCTGGAACCTTTACCTGACAAACTCATCTTCCTTTAGATCCTTTCTCAAGTGTCACTTCCTCCGGGAAAAACATCCGTTTTCTACTACCCAGTCTAGGTAAGGGGTATCAACCTATTGCTCTCCTACTTTCTCCTTTAATAGTACACACTGGGTTGCCATTGTCTATTTATTTCTGTGATAATCAGATTGTGGTCTGTCTCTGCCAACTAAAGTATAAATTCCTTGAGCACAGGAACCCTGTGCATTTTGTTCACCCTTACATATCAAATGCCTGGCATATGGTTGAAGCTCAAGAAATATTTGTTAAATGAATTATAGACTCAGTATTTTATTTATTTCCATCCTTTAAAAATGTACGAGAATCCCATTCAGTATGACTTGGCAGCAGAAAATGAAAGGCCATGCAGACATTTAACACATCACACATCTGAAATGTCAGTAAGCTACATTTTTTTTTTTTTTTGAGATGGAGTCTCGCTGTCACCCAGGCTAGAGGGCAACGGTGCGATCTCGGCTCAGTGAAACCTCTGGCCCCTGGGTTCAAGCGATCCTCCTGCCTCAGCCTCCCAAGTAGCTGGGGTTAAAGGCATGCGCCAGCACCCCTGGCTAATTTTGTATTTTTAGTAGAGATGGTGTTTCACCATGTTGGTCAGGCTGGTCTCAAACTAGCAAACTCAGGTGATCCGCCCGCCTCGGCCTCCCAAAGTGCTGGGATTACAGGCATGAGCCACTGCACCTGGCCAGCTACATAGTGTTTTGAATGTCATTTTTCTTTCATGAACAAAAAGCATCCTGGGACCAGCATTTTATTTGTATTCGTTAATTTTTAAAAAGTTATAATAGAGCACAATTAGTTACATTAATTTTTAGCAGAAAAAAATAGTACGCAAGAATTTTTCTAAAAAAAACACTTTTATTTACTAAAAGCTGTTCTTCCTAGAACCATTGGCATTTTACACGTTAAACAGAAAAAGAGACTTATTTTTATGTTCACTGCTCCCTTTATTTTAGAGGCAGGGTCTCACTCTGTCACCCAGGCTGGAGTGCAGTGGCATGATCTCAACTTACTGTAACCTCCGCCTCCCGAGTTCAAGTGATCCTCCCACCTCAGCCTACTCAGTCGTTGGGACTACAGGTGCGGGCGCATGCCACCACACCCAGCTAATTTTTGTATTTTTTGTAGAGATGGAGTTTCGCCACATTGCCCAGGCTGGTCTTGAAATCCTAAACTCAAGAGATCCACCCATCTAAGTCTCCCAAAGTGCTGGGATTACAAGCATGAGCCACCACGCCCAGTCCATTGCTCACTTTTAAAAATTGAAGAAAAAAAAAATGCAGCCAGGCACGGTGGCTCACGTCTGTAATCCCAGCACTTTGGTAGGCCAAGGCAGGCAGATCACCTGAGGTCAGGAGTTTGAGACCAGCCTGGTCAACACGATGAAACCCTGTCTCTACTAAAAATACAAAAATTAGCCGGGCGTGGCGGCAAGCGCCTATAATCCCAGCTACTTGGGAGGCTGAGGCGGGAGAATCACTTGAACCTGGAAGGTGGTGGTTGCAGTGAGCCGAGATCATGCCACTGTACTCCAGCCTGGGCGACAGAACGAGACTCTGTCTCAAAAAAAAAACAAAAAAAAGCTCAGAATTATATAATAATGAATAATGGCATAATGAGATACATGAATAATGTTATCTAAGCACTACTCATTCATTTACTTATTGGATAAATACTTATTGATAGCCAGCTACCCGTCAAACACTAAGTATTAAAAATACTGAGCATTGGCTGGGTACAGGGGCTCACACCTGTAATCCCAGCACTTTGGGAGGCCCTGGTAGGCAGACTGCTTGAGCCTAGGAGTTTCACTCTAGCGTGGGCAAAATAGTATGATCCTATCTCTCAAAAAATACAAAAAAATTCACCAGGCATGGTGGCACACACCTGTGGTCCCAGCTAATCTGGAGGCTGAGGCAGGAGGATCCCTTGAGCCCAGGAGGTAGAGGCTGCAGTGAGCCATGATCATGCCACTGCACTCCAGCCTGAGCAACAGAGTGAAACTCTGCCTTGGAAAAAAAAAAAAGATACTGAGCATTAAATGCTCATCCTTAAAGATACTATGGAAAACAATGACAGTCCCTGCCTTCATGGAGCCTATATTTCAGCTATGAAGGCATGCATTAAATGACAAATTTCACAATTAACTACTTAATGACAGTCACTACAAGTGCTATGATGGAGACATAAAAGATTCATAGAAACAGGCTGGGTGCGGTGGCTCACGCCTGTAATCCCAGCACTTTGGGAGGCCGAGGCAGGTGGATTACCTGAGGTCAGGAGTTCGAGACCAGCCTGGCCAACATGGTGAAACCCCGTCTCTACTAAAAATACAAAAATTAGCCGGGTGTGGTGGCACATGCCTGTAATCCCAACTACTCAGAGGCTGAGGCAGGAGAATTGCTTGAGCCCAGCAGGCGGAGGTTGCAGTTAGCTGAGATCGTGCCACTGCACTCCGGCCTGGCCGACAGAGTTAGACTCTGTCTCAAAAAAAAAAAAAAAAAAAAAGATTCATATAAACATGTAAAATAGAGGACTTGAACTCTGGTGGTTTTACAGAAGACTTCTCTGAAGAAGTCAAGTTTGAGCTGAGCTCACCAAAAAAAGAAAAAAAAACACACAAACTGAGTAAACCACTGGCAAAGAGAGAGGGATATATTCTACTCAAAGAAAACAGCACCGGAAAGATCAAAGGAAGAAAAGCATGTGGGAGGTTCCAGGGTCTAAGGAAGGTCCTAATAATACGTGCCGAAAAACAAAGGGCAAGGCAACGGGCTGCTAAGAGATGAGGTAGGAAGCCAGACCATGCAGGATACTGATTTTTCAAAATTTTTATCAGATTTGGCCGGGTGTGGTGGCTCACGCCTGTAATCCCAGCACTTTGGGGGGCTGAGGCAGGAAGATCACTTGCGCTCAGAAGTTTGAGACCAGCTTGGACAACATAGCGAAACCCCATCTCTACTAAAAATACAAAAATTAGCTGGATGTGGTGGAGCGTGCCTGTAATCCCAGTTACTTGGGAGGCTGAGACAGGAGAATCACTTGAACCCAGGAGGCAGAGGCTGTAGTGAGCTGAGATGGTGCCATTGCACTCCAGCCTGGGCGACAGAGCAAGACTCTGTCTAAAAAAAAAAAAATTAAATCAGATGAGTGGGAAGCCTCAGAATGATTTTAAGTAGAGAGCTACAGCATCTGAACCAAAGACAGAACCAAATTCACCAAAGATTAAGTAAAAATTATTTGCATTCTAATTCTTTAAAAACCAGTAATATTAGCCATATCTTGTAATTCTTCAGTAACTGAAATGCTCACTCATTTCTTGACTATACCAAATAAGTTTCTATTCACTATCTATTTATCTAGCAGTCAAACCACCTTAAACCTCTGTAACAAGATTCTCAGCTCAGAAATAAGAAAAACAAAAAAAATTCCCCAGAGCTCAACGCAGCTTTCACAAAACCATGTACTAGTTAGTAACTCAAGTCCTTAGGCCTTCCCTCATCTTATACGTTTTATTTAGCATAAACTTCTTAGTATATGTGCTTTGATTTTCAGGCTAGGAGCCAATTATACTTAGCAGAAAGACGTGGTAATAGGGAGCAAATGGGCTAACACTGTTACAGGTGAACACATTGACAAAGTGATTGACAACAAGCAGCTTAATACTAAAAGAAAATTGGATACAGAGTGCTATCTCACCAAATAAATTCACTGAGGTAGAATTCTTCTGTCACTCCCTGGCAAATTGATTTTTTTTTAAATTGAGACAGAGGTCTTGCTATATTGCCCAAGCTGGTCTCAAATTTCTGGCCTTAAGACATCCTCTTGTCTCAGCCTCCTGAGTAGCTGGGACTACAGGCACGTGCCACCACACCCAGCCAAAACTGGATTGACATGTTCTACAATAACACCTAAAGGCTACTTTCATTTCAAATATATTATGCAATATTAACAGATTATCAATATGTATTATTTGTTCTTAATTACTGAAAACAAAAGACTGAGGGCAAAAACTTACTTCTGTCCCTACCCAAAGAAGCAATATTAGATGAGAGCACACAAACTAAGAATAAAATCACATTCTGAGACCCTGCCAAGAACCTAATAGAAACATTCTTTTATCAAGCAGTACAAGTCAAATTTTAAACCATTAATTCACTCATGCACAATGACTACATGGATCAGATCACCTGTTACACATATGCTGCTTAGCAAAGTCTCATTTCCAGTTTAACAAAGCTTTAGATTAGCATCACAAATGTTAAGACTTATCTTTACTTGAACCATCAAAACAAGCTAGATGACATTTATTTTTTATTTATTTATTTATTTATTTTGAGATGGAATCTCGCTCTGTCACCAGAATGGAGTGCAGTGGCATGATCTTGGCTCACTGCAACCTCCGCCTCCCGGGTTCAAGCGATTCTCCTGCCTCAGCCTCCCGAGTAGCTGGGACTACAGGCATGTGCCACCACACCCGGCTAATTTTTTTTGTATTTTTAGTAGAGACGGGGTTCCACCATGTTGGCCACAACGGTCTCGATCTTTTGACCTCATGATCCGCCCCGCCTCAGCCTCCCAAAGTGGTGGGATTACAGGAGTGAGCCACTGTGCCCGGCCGACTTTTTGAAATATTATTTGGTATTAATATATGTTTATAGACAAACTGTTGTATAATGAACTATATGCAAGCATGAAATGTTCAATCTGAGTCATTAAAATGTGATTACTGTGACCAACAAAAGATTCCAAGATGACAAAAATGGGGCATTCAAAAGGAAGCAATTGGAGAAGAAAATAGCACCATTTCTAATGCTTATTTAGAATACGACTGTACTTATACAAATACCTAATCTATATTCAAATGAAAATGAAACAACTGTATAATCAGCGTCATCATGGTATTTAATAAGCAATTCCTCAAAATAACTCTACAGAATAGGGCCGGGCGGGGTGGCTCACGCCTGTAATCCCAGCACTTTCGGAGGCCGAGGCGGGCGGATCACGAGGTCAGGAGATCAAGATCATCCTGTCTAACACGGTGAATCCCCGCCTCTACTAAAAATACAAAAAAATTAGCCAGGCGTGATGGCGGGCGCCTGTAGTCTCAGCTACTCAGGAGGCTGAGGCAGGAGAATGGCGTGAACCCGGGAGGTGGAGCTTGCAGCGAGCCGAAATCGCGCCACTGCACTCCAGCCCGGGCGACAAAGCGAGAATCCGTCTCAAAAAAAAAAAAAGGTATAGTTATCTCCATTTTATAGAAGGGAAAATTGAGTCAGCTTAAGTAACTTGCCCAAGGTCACAGAGAAGCAAAATGTATAATGAAGTTTAAATAAATGTTACTATATACATGTTCCATCATATCATAAAAAGACATGTCCTAAGCAGTTTTCATTTTAAAGTAATTTAAGGTTTTAAAAAATATAGGATATTTGTGTTATCTGTATGTATAAATGTTTAAGAATATAAAGTATTAAATAGTTTTAGATGACTAAAAAAAGCCTTATAGAAAAATAAACAATTGCCTTGTTTGCATACGCTCCTCATCCACTTTATTTTTTTCATGTACCATATATTGAAAATCCCTAACAATCACAACCCCCTATCAGACTCCACAGGATATGATGGAGATCGTGAAATTTTATACTAACTAAAGGTTAACTGCAAAAGCTGTCATCATTTTTCTCAATTTTCAAGCAGGATACAGGTTTTTTTTTTCTTTTTTTCCTACCTTCTTAAAAACACCTTTGGAAAGGGAAAGGAAAGTTGAATGATGTATGTGCTCACTACAAAATAATCCAAAGCTATAGAAGAGCACAAAGAAGAAAATAAAAATTACTCTAAATCTTACTATTGAAAGATAAGAACCTAATGATATTTGTACAGACACTTTCAGGTACATGTATATGCATAGATGTATATTTAAATGTAAAGGTATATATAGGAAAATGTACATAAGCAAGTCATATACATTATTCTGTTACTGCCAGTTTTCAAGATGTCCTATAAAGCCTTCCATAAAAAAATTCTTTCAATAAAAAAATTATATATGCTCATAAGAAAAAAAAACTCAACAGTGCAGAAGAAAATACAATACAAAGCAAGTCTTCCTTAATTCCTGCCCCTCCACTTCCACTACAATTCTAACTAGCAGATGAATACCATTAACAGAATTCACTGACATTTATATTTGTGTTCTTATATATATTCTTTTAAAAACATTTAAATTATAGATACATGAAAACATTCTGGTTATTAAAAAGTCCATACAGATAAAGAAAATCTCCGCATCTGAACACCTCAAATATCATTTCTAAACTTCATTGTTATCAGTTTGGTAAATATCCTTGCACAGAGCTCATTCCACGCATTTTCTTTTTTTTTTTTTTTTTTTCTGAGACAGAGTCCCGCTCTCTCGCTCAGGCTGGAGTGCAGTGGCGCGATCTCGGCTCACTGCAAGCTCCACCTCCCGGATTCACGCCATTCTCCTGCCTCAGCCTCCTGAGTAGCTGGGACTACAGGCGCCCACGACTGCACCTGGCTAATTTTTTGTATTTTTAGTAGAGACGGGGTTTCACCGTGTTAGCCAGGATGGTCTCGATCTCCTGACCTCGTGATCCGCCGGCCTCGGCCTCCCAAAGTACTGGGATTACAGGCGTGAGCCACCGCGCCCGGCCCATTCCATGCATTTTCATATAAGTACCTGCATGTAGAGAAATACACTTTTGTTGTTTTTAGTCTTTTTAAATTTTAGTCTTGTTCAATAGTATCATACTATGATGTTGTTTTTTTCATTTAACAATGATAGATTTACTATTGCTGTTAAATGTTACAATAGTGCTACCTTCTTGCAGTAACAGAACAGTTTTGTATCTTGATTGTGGTGGTGGCTATACGAATCTATACATCTAATAACATGTCACAGAACTATACACAAAGACACACCAAAAAATGGGCACATGCAAAAACTAGTGAAATCCAAGTAGGATCTGTAGTCCAGTCAATTATATTGTACCAATGTCAATTTCCTGATTTGGCCAATGTACTACAATTACATAAGATGTTACCACTTGGGGGAAGTTGGGCTACGGGTAAATGGGATTTCTCTGTATTCATTTTGCAACTTTTTTTTTTTTTTTCTTGAGACAGGGTCTTGCTCTGTCACCCAGGCTGGAATGCAGTGGTGCAATCACAGCTCATTGCAACTTCAAACTCCTGGGCTCAAGCAATCCTCCCGCCTTAACTCCCAAGTAGCTGGGTATACAGGCATATACCCTAACACTGGGCTAATTTTTAAAATTTTTGGTAGAGATAGAGTCTCACTATGTAGCCGAGGCTGGTCTTGAACTCCTGTCCTCAAGTGATCCTCCCAACTCAGCCTTCCAAAGTGCTGGGATCACAGGTGTGAGCCAGAGTCCAGCCACTGGTATTCTCTTAAGAGGAAAAAAGAAACAAGAGATGCAGACAGAGGGAAGAAGGCAGTTTCCTAGACAGAGGCAGAGATTGGAATTATGTGGCCACAGCCAAGGAATGCCCAGGGCTACCAGAAACTGGAAGAAGCAATAAAGGATCCTCTCCTAGAGGCTTTACAGGGAGCACGGCCCTGCTGACAAATTGATTGCAGACTTGCAGCATACAGAACTGTAGGAAATAAGTTTCTGTTGTTTTAAGCCACCCAGTTTGTGGCATTTTGTTATGGTGGTCCTAGGAAAGTAACACAATGGGTTTTGCACACTATTATAGTTACACCTAGGTATTTTATTTTTTGGTTTTGAGTTTTTTCTCTGTTTCCTTTTTGCTGTTGTTCCTGTAACTTATGGGGTTCTCCATTATATTTTCCTAGCTGTATGCATATAAGTTACGTTTTTCTTTTTACTAATTTTATATTCCATTACACAACTTAATTCTTTTACTGCTTAAAGTAATTTTACTGTAAGTTCAGTTGACTCTTGGATTTTTCAGGTGTAAAATTAGTCATCTGGAAAAGGATTTTTTTTTTGAGACAGAGTCTCGTTCTGTTGCCCAGGCTGGAGTGCGATGGTGTGATCTTGGCTCACTGCAACCTTAGCCTCACAAGCTCAAGCGATTCTCCTGCCTCAGCCTCCCAAGTAGCTGGGATTACAGGTGTGCACCACCACCCCTGGCTAATTTGGTATTTTTAGTAGAGACGAGGTTGCACCATGTTAGCCAAGCTGGTCTCGAACTCCTGACCTCAAGTGATCTGCCCGCCTCCACCTCCCAAATTGCTGGGATTACAGGCATGAGCCACTGCACCCGGCCCGAAAAAGATTTTTGAACCTTTCCAGGTTTGTAGAACAATGGAGGTAATCTGACTCCAATTCTCCTCCTCACCTTCCCTGAACAAACATAAAATAAACCACAAGAATTTTTAAAACCCACAAAGGATCTAGGCCATCAACATTAGCACTGCTAGGAGACAGAAAACACAGCAACCTTCAAATTACCTATAAGTCAAGCAGAAAAAAAAAAAAAGCAGCAAATAGCAAAAGAAACCCCACTTCCTTACCTCTGCAAGCCTGTGGATGTATAGGGAGAGTGAAGGGAGGTGAAAAAGACTCTGTGAGAAAGAGCAGAGGGGCAAAGGGGATTTGCAAAAAGCACAGACAAAACCAGCCCCAGAAAGAGAGTTAAACAATAAATACAAAAATGCTAAACAGAGGTTAGGAGGTTAGGACTTGATAGCTAATAGACCTGGTGAAGTGTGTCTTGTGTCTAGAAACTTCTGGACCAGAAGCAGCAGCCTCCTAGAAACAGTGCTTCTGGGGGAGAACCAGGTATACATATATAAAGAAGCGCTTTCTCTTGTAAACAAGGTAATGAATGAAAAAAACAGGCGATAAGAGGAGGAAATTAGGCCAGGCACAGTGGCTCACGCCTGTAATCCCAGCACTTTGGGAGGCTGAGGGAGGTGGATCACTTGAGGTCAGGAGTTCGAGACCAGCCTGGCCAACATGGTGAAACCCCGTCTCTACAAAAATATACAGAAATTAGCCGGGTGTGGTGGCATGCGCCTGTAATCCCAGCTACTCGGGAGGCTGAGGCAAAAGAATCCCTTGAACCCGGGAGGCGGAGGTTGCAGTGAGGTGAGATCGCACCACTGCACTCCAGCCTGGGTGACAGAGTGAGACCTTGTCTCAAAAGAAGAAAAGGCAAGGGGCTGGGGGGAGGATTAAAGAGCTTGCAGAAACAAAATATTAATAGAATCAAGGAACAACTCTTCCTCTCCCCCTTTTCTTACCATCATCACTACAAATTCAGAAAAGAACCTTCACAAAAGAGAGCACACTGGCAGAAGAAGCACTCTCAAATTAGGAACTCTGTCCACAAAATGATTAAAAACAAACAAGCAGACCATATGCATACAAATGTACTGCAAAGTCAGAAAATACAAACAAAAGCTTTTCTGCTGATGATTTTCTCCATAAAAACAAACCGTGAGGTTGAAAAACAACTGTAACACAATCCTCTGAACTGGATTAAATATTTTAAACAAGAATTTGAGGATATGAAGAAGACCTTGAATCGGAAGTACAAAAACTAAGTACCAAAATGGACAAAAACAGAAAGAAATGAGTAAGAGCTGATTAAAGAAATAGAAAGAAACAAACAAAAGGAACATCATATAAGAAATGAAAGTTAAATTATTAAATTATTTTTTATTTTGCTTTACTTTGGCATTGAACCAAAAATAAAAACTAAATTATAAGGTATGTAGAAAGAACAGACTGAACGAAAACTTAATAAAAGACACTGAACAAAGAGCAAGAAAATAATGAAGAAAATAAAATTTTAAAAAAAACAGAGAGAAATTGATTGAAATGAATGATAGGCAAAGGAGGTTGAACATTAGTATTACTGGTGTCCCTAATTAAAAAAATCAAAACAATGGAACAGAACTAATATTAAAAGTACATTCTGGCTGGGTGCAGTGGCTCACGCCTGTAATCCCAACACTTTGGGAGGTCGAGACAGGTGGATCACTTGAGGCCAGGAGTTTGACACCAGCTGACCAACATGGTGAAACCCATCTCCACTAAAAATACAAAAAAACTAACTGGGTGTAGTGGCAGGCGCCTGTAATCCCAGCTACCTGGGTGGCTGAGGCATGAGAACAGCTTGAACCCAGAAGGTAGAGGTTGCAGTGAGCCAAGATTGCGCCACTGTACTCCAGACTGGGTGAAAGAGCAAGACACTGTTTCAAAAAAAAAAAGTACATTCCAAGAAAACATTCCAGAAATAAAATACTTGAATCTATACAATGAAAGATCCTACCAGATATTTGAGAAAACTGACTCAGAATGATCAACTCTCACACATATCCTTATAAAATTATTTAAAGAAAAAACTCTCAGTGTATCCGAGCAAAAAGATAAATTATTTACAAAAGCAAAGGAATTAGACTAACATTGTATTTCTCAAAAATAACATACAAAGCAAGACAACAGTAGAACAGCACTTTCAAGAAACTTAAGGGAAAAAAATGTAAACCAAAGATATTATATCCTGCCAAGCTGTCCTTAGAGTTTCAAGGCCATCAAAAAACAGTTTGACTGCTGTGGAAAATAGAATGGCAATTCCTACAAAAATTAAATATAGAATTACCATTTGATCAACATAGAAAATATATTAAAGTAGCTGGGTGTGGTGGCACACACCTGTAGTCCCAGCTACTTGGGAGGCTGAGATGGGAGGATCATTACAGCCCAGGAGTTTGAGGCTGTACTACACAATGATTTTGCCTGTGAACAGTCACTGTGCTCCAACCTGGGCAATATAGCAACACCCTGTCTCTAAAACAAGAAAAAGAGACCGGGTGCAGCGGCTCACGCCTGTAATCCCAGCATTTTGGGAGGCCAAGGCAGGCGGATCACGAGGTCAGGAGTTCAAGACAAGCCTGGCCAGCATGGTGAAACCCTGTCTCTACTAAAAATACAAAAAATTAGCTGGGCATGGTGGTGCGCGCCTGTAGTCCCAGCTACTCGGGAGGCTGAGGCAGGAGAATTGTTTGAACCCGGCAGGCGGAGGTTGCAGTGAGCCGAGATTGCACCATTGCACTCCAGCCTGGGCGACAGAGCAAGACTCCATCGAAAAGAAAAAAAGAAAAGAAAAGAAAAAAGAAGGCTGGGCGTGGTGGCTCATGCCTGTAATCTCAGCACTTTGGGAGGCCGAGACGGGCAGATCACAAGGTCAGGAGATCAAGACCATCCTGGCCAACAGGGTGAAATCCTGTCTCTACTAAAAATACAAAAAATTAGCTGGGCTTGGTGGTGGGCGCCTGTAGTCCCAGCTACTCCAGAGGCTGAGGCAGAAGAATGGCGTGAACCCGAGAGGTGGAGCTTGCAGTGAGCCAAGATCGCGCCACTGCACTCCAACCTGGGCGACAGAGCCAGACTACGTCTCAAAAAAAAGAAAAAAAGAAAGAAAACATATCAATGATATAGTGTTACGTTTTCTTAACAGATAAATGCAATTATTCTAACATGAACAAGAAAAACTGAAAGATTCACATCAAGGGATGCAATCATTAGTAATAAGCATGAACCCATAAATTAGATAAACATGCCATTTACCAGCCAAGTCATCAGTAAAAAATATTTTATTAGTAATAGAATCAGGTGACTGAAATGTTGTAAGCAACTATCCAGCATGTTTGTCAAACTCTCCATATAGCTATTACACAGTATCTTTGCTTATAGCTTTTTCCTAAGATATTTTACTAATAAGATGTAAAGAGAACTGAGGTGGAGACCATGGCAGCTGAAGGTGCTGGGAAAACCTTTATAGCTAACTGTAGCAGTAGTACACTTGAAGGGGTTTCTGATGCCTCACCCAAGCAGCTGCAGTGATGGGAACAACCACTGTTCATAACCCCATGGCACTATTCATTCACTGTGCATATAACCCCTTTTTGGCATCAGAATTCTAAAGCTGCAACGACTGCTTTACCAGCAGCTCTGGGGTTATAGCAGACTAATTTATTTGGATTGTAGAACGGAAAATTAAATTCTCCCATGAGCTCATCAGACAGAGCCATCTGCAGATATTGGGAACTCAATGAAAGAGGCAGCTGCAAGCAGGAGACAGCAATAGTTTATGATGACAGAGAAAAGAACTAGACGTGTGTGTGCCAGCTTTAAGGTATGGATATTCACCAGGGAGATTTGTGAAAGACTCACATTGAATGAATTTTTAAAAAGTCAGAAGTTTTAACCAGCAACTGAGGGGTGATGGGGACTAATGAGAGTCAGGCTATTTATTTATTCAACAAACATTTAGTCAATGCCCATCATGTACCCAGCATTGTGCTCTACCCAAGAGACATAACGGAGTCCCACCCTTCAAGAAGTTCACAAACAAATGAGCAAGACAAATGCATACAGTATAACATGCTAAAATACTACGACACTAGACAGATATTCGGGGCACTATGGAAGCACAAAGGAACAGCTTCTAATTCAGCTAAAGGGTGGGAATCAGGTTCTAACTCGAGTTAAATTAGTAATAGAGATAATTAGTTAAAATTACAGAATTAAGAACTATGAGATGAAAATGCCATCAAACTAGAAGAGTTAACACAGAAACCTAAGCACTTTACGGTCAATCCAACTATTGTATTAAACCAGCTAAAGTGGCTTCTAATTCTTTTGTAAGCAGGTGAGCAAAGAAGAGGTCCTCCCTTGTGCTTCCATAGGCTATACAGATTGACTATACAGTTTAGAAGACTCTTTCAAGGAGTAGCATATGATTAGGATATGAAGTTTAAAAAAGGCTCACACCTGTAATCCCAGCACTTCTGGGATGCTGAGGCGGACGGAACACCTGAGGTCAGGAGTTCGAGACCAGCCTGACCAACACAGAGAAACCCTGTCTCTACTAAAAATACGAAGTTAAAAAAAAAAAAACTTCATTGTAGACATTTCTGAGGTTCTAGTCTGACCTAGGCAATCTAAAGAAGGGGAAAGAAAACACCTATCAGTTACAGCCACCTGTCTATTAAGACCTCAGAGAACAAGTTCAACCATGCCAACTTTCCCTCTGGTTAACGAGAAAACAGTGGAGATCTTCACACACTATGAGGATTCTCTTAAACCCTACTTTGGTAGGAAGTCAGCATAAAGGATCCTTGATCCCAAAGAACTAAAAACTCACTGATTTAAATGAAATAAATAAAAGGCATAATAGAATAATACAGACCAGAGTATCTTAAACTCAAGAAAATCCATAACATTATAACCAGGTCTACAGATACCAGTTTAAATAACAGTGCATCAAAAGTTTACCTGCTCACTTGGGTCCCACATAACGATAAATTCAGTGCAAACTTACACTATCTGTACTCTACCTACCACCAGAGACGGGGTCCTCACTGCCAACCAGCCAGCAAGAAACCTATCTCTAAAATCCCTATCTCTAAAATTTAGAAACCTATCTCTAAAATTTAGTCTGCTACCTAGGATCACTTCCAATACCAACTGTGTTAGAATCATTCCTCCAAAACAGATTCTGAGAGGGAGACTATCATGCAGAAAGTTTCCTGGGAAGTGCTCTGGGGAGATATACCTATAACAAGTGAAGGCAGCAGGATTGGACTTAGGGAAGAAATTGAACCAATGATATTGCAAATGGGGCCTCAGCTGATACAACATGGAGCTCCAGAGCCCTTTGGAGTTGTCCCAAATAGAGACAAGTTAGGTTGGATCTTATATCCAAGCAACACACAGTTACTGGCCACAGGGACACCTCTGGGAGGAAGCATAACCTTGGGCAAGACAGTATTCAGGGCCAAGGGCAATTCCCAATAAGGGATGCAGCTGTGAGCCTAAGCAGGTGGAGAATGGGTATTCTAATATGAAGAGATCTGGGCAGAGTATAGTTAAATAGCTATAGTTAAATAGCTATTAAAATTAATTAATTGCAGTAACATGCAACAACATGGATAAACCTTATAAATGTAACAGAATTTAAAAACTAACACATTCAGTATGATTACGTTTATATAAAGTTTTTTTTTTTTTGGAGACAGGGTCTCTCCGTCGCTCAGACTGGAGTGCAGTGGCGCGATCTCGGCTCACTGCAACCAACTTTCACCTCCCAAGCTCAAGCAATTCTCCTGTCTCAGCCTGCTGAGTAGCTGAAATTACAGGCGCGCACCACTACAGCCCTGCTAATTTTTGTTGTTGTTGTTTTGAGACGGAGTCTCACTCTGACCGACGCCCAGGCTGGAGTACAGCGGCATGATCTCAGCTCACTGCAACCTCCACCTCCTGGGTTCAAGTGATTCTCCTGCCTCAGCCTCCCGAGTAGCTGGGACTACAGGCGCGTGCCACTGCACCCGGCTGATTTTTTGTATTTTTAGTAGAGACGGGGTTTCACCATGTTAGCCAGGATGGTCTCGATCTCCTGACCTCGCGATCCACCTGCCTCAGCCTCCCAAAGTGCTGGGATTAGAGGCGTGAGCCATCGCGCCCAGCAATTTTTGTATTTTTATTAGAGATGGGGTTTTGCCACATTGACCAGGCTGGTCTTGAACTCCTGACCTCAAATGATCCACCTCCCTAGGCCTCCCAAAGTGCTGGGATAACAGGCTTGAGCAACTGCACCCGGCCCATTTATGTAAAGCTATGGCATGCAAAATGATGAAATAATGAAAAGTGATGAATAATTACTTAATAGGATTATATTTTACCAAGAATGTATATGTAATTTTGTCAAATTCCTCTCAAGAATCTATGGATATATTTTTCATTATGCATCACTAAAGAAACAATCCCATTAAATAAAAGAAAGAAATGATTTCTACTATTATCACTCACCACTATTATTTAACAGTGTTCTATAGGTTACTAACCAACACAACCAGATGAAAGATAGAAGTATATAAAGCAGAACTGAAGCAGTAAAACTATTATTATTTACATATGATTACAACTGTTTACAGAGCAACCCCAAGAGATTCAACTGGAGATGACCGATAACAAAATTAATCCCCCCAAATTAGCAGCTTACTTATACACAAGAACCATGTCTTCTAATAACAACTATGTAAAGACATAATGGAAAAAATTAACTCATTTACATAGAAAAAAACAAGAAAAAAACATCAGGAAGAAACTCAGCAAGAAATACATAGGGATACAAAAAACAAATGGAAAAAAATGCCAGGTTCTTGAGTGACAAAACGCAAAATCATAACAATACTAACTGCCCCCAAATTAATCTATGAATAGAATGAATCACAATAAAATTAACAATATCTTTTCCTTTTAATTTGCTCAACTGATTCAAAAGTTAATGTGGTAAAATAAGCAAGAATAGCCATAAAATTATGGAAACACAGAAGGATTGACCTCATCCAATTATTTAAACAAGTTGTAAAGTCACAATAATTAAAATATCATACACTGATAAGTGAAAAAGCATACAGATAGAGGGAACAGAAAAGTATAGGAAAAGACCTAAATCCACAAAGAAATTTAGCTGACACTTCAAATCAGTGAGGTATGAATGCATTGGGTGAATTATTTCAATAAAGAAGTGACAACTGAGTAATCATATAGAAAAAATTAGTTAGAGCCATAATTTATACCTCACTCAAAATAAATTTCAGATAGCCCATAGAATTCAACGTAATTTTTTTGGTAAGAGAAGAAAACACGGAAGTTAAATTTTTTAATTTTCTGAGTGTGGAAGATCTTTCTAAATATGAAACCAAGCCCAGAAAAGTCTTCAAAGTAAAGACTGATATGACTACAAAAAATGCACATTTTTTTTTACATTTAAAGAAAACATCACTATGTAAATCATAAGAAAATAAACTGGAAAAATTGTATCTGCAACTTATACTATAGAAAGTTAACTTCTACCTTGTGAACTATGAGCTCCTAAAAATAAGTAGAAGAGTGACAGCCTAAAGAAAAAGTAGGCAAAGAATATATAACAGAAAACACAAATGAGCTGGGCATTGTAGATTACACCTGTAACTCCAGTGCTCTGGGACGCCAAGGTGGGAGTATTGCTCGAGGCCAGGAGTTTGAGACCAGTGTGGACAACATAAGGTGATTCCATCTTTACCGAAAAAAAAAAATTTTTTTTAAATTAGCCAATCGTGGTGGCATGTGCCTGCTGTCCCAACTATTTGGGAGGCTGAGGCAGGAGGATCATTTGAGCCCAGTAGTTCAAGGCTGCAGTGAGCTATTATCATGTAACTGCATTCCAGCCTGGGTGACAAAGTGAAGCTCTATCTCAAAGAAACAAACAAAAAATCCCACAAATTGCTTCTAAACATATAAAAATACGTTCAGCCCACTCATAAGAGAAATGTAAAATAAGGTTTCAAGACAAGATGAAAAGACTGATACCAATACATTGTCCTGAGAAACATGAGGGAAAACAGAGTTTGCCTTACGTTAGTGGTGGAAGAATAAACAGGCATAATCTTTTATGGAGGGCAGTGTCACCATATCCAACACAAATAGAAATTTATACATCCTTCTATGAGCTTTTTCTAGAGTCATATGAAATCATACACATACACACACACGCACACACACACATATATCTATATGGATACTCACTACAGTGTCATTTATATAGCAAAAGATTGGAAAACCCATAACTGCGTATCAATAGTAGACTAGCTAAACACATCATGGCCTAAAAAAAATGAGGCAGCTCATTGTGTATTGATATAGAGTGACCTCCAGTATAAACTGTTCTGTGAAAAAAAGAAAGTTATAAAGAAGTATGTGTAGTACATTACCATCTGTATAAAAAGATTCTCTCAAGGCAAAGGAACTGGCTAGCTGAGAGAAAAACATTTTAATTTTCTTTTCTTTTTTATTAATTCTTACAAAATAGTAGGATGACTCATGGCCTCTCATATCATTTGTATTTTGTACCATGAACACAAACTATCTATGCAACAAATTAACTTAATTTTTTAAATTGTATATTTTCCTTCACATAGAAACAATATTTGTTTTCTTAATGCAAGCAGAAATAACCTAAAGTAACAGACATATTTTAAGATATTTTAGATAGAACCCTTTCTTAGGGGGCTTGAAAAGACTTTGTTATATTGTAATCAAATCCTATGTCAAAAAAAGTATGTTTCTTCAATAGTATAGAGAACAACTAAACAACACCAAATCCACTAAATCTGACACAGGATGCAAATTAGCTACTTACCAGTCATGGGGTTCCCAGAATTTTTTTCTTTTCTTTTTTTTTTTTTTTTGAGATGTAGTCTCTCTCTGTCACCAGGCTGGAGTGAAGTGGCACGATCTTGGCTCACTGCAACCTCCGCCTCCCGGATTCAAGCGATTCTCCTGCCTCAGCCTCCCGAGTAGCTGGGACTACACATTCCCAGATTTTATTACAGAAACAACACAGTTTTTTTAAAAGCCAGAAGGTGGCGACGTTACTTCATCAAAGTCCCTCTGATACATGTATCTGAGCCTCCTATTCTTTGTTATTAACCTATTTTTCCTCTTCTTTATGTCTCTTATTGCCCTTTTGGATGCCTTTCTATAGTTCTGAAACTGCAATAACCATTAGTAGAAATGCACACAGAAAAAACTCCTGAGTTTATAATAATATTATTTTTACATGAAAATAACATAATTAAAATGTACTATAAGGTTCTTTGGTTAAATATGAACACACAGGTCTCTATCCATCCCTTCTTGAAATTACAGTAAAATTGGCCGGGCATGGTGGCTCATGCCTGTAATCCCAGCATTTTGGGAGGCTGAGGCGGGCAGATCATTTGAGGTCAGGAGTTCAAGACCAGCCTGGCCAACATGGTGAAACCCCGTTTCTACCGAAAATACAAAAATTAGCCAGGCAGTGGTGGCGTGCCTGTAATCCCAGCTACTCAGGAGGCTGAGGCAGGAGAATCGCTTGAACCCGGAAGGCGGAGGTTGCAGTGAGCCAAGGTCTTGCCGCTGCACTCCAGTCTGGGTGACAGAGTGAGACCTTGTCTCAAAAAAAAAAAAAAAAAAATTACAGTAAAATGATGTTAAAAAGATAAAAAAGGATAAACCCATCAAAAACATATATGTTATATATACAGATATCTTATAGATATCTATAAGATGTAATGTATATGTAATTAGATGTATCTACCTATATAATTATATATAGATGATCAGATATATCTATATCCCTAGAGACATACAGATATATGTATCTATAAGATATATCTTAATTATATAACTTATCTATAAGATATATATTAATATTATATATTAACATATTATAGATATTACAGGTATCTATATCTCACACCTCAACCTTCTGAGTCGCTAGGACTACAGACAGACATGTTTCACTACACTCCGCTTTTTTTTTTTTTTTTTTTTTTGAGACAGAGTCTCGCTGTGTTGCCAGCCTGCAGTGCAGTGGCAAGATCTCGGTTTACTGCAACCTCTAACTCCCGGGTTCAAGCAATTATCCTGCTTCAGCCTCCCCAGTAGCTGGGATTACAGGCGTGCACCACTAGGCCCAGCAAATTTTTGTAATTTTTGTAAAAATACAAATAATTTTTTGTATTTTTAGTAGGGATGGGGTTTCACCATGTTGGCCAGGATGGTCTCCATCTCTTGACCTCGTGATCTGCCCACCTCGGCCTCCCAAAGTGCTGGGATTACAGAAGTGAGCCACTGTACCCGGTCAGTATTCTGCTTTTTTAATAAAACTTTTTGTTGAGATGGGATCTCACTGTGTTGCCCAGGCTGGTCCTGAATTGGCCTCAAGCAATTCTCCCACTTCAGCCTCCCAAACCATTTATAAGTTATATATACATAATTAAAATATATCTTACATATATCTCATCACAAAGGCTTAAGAATTGAAGCCATCTGAAAGTAACAATCTCAGTTGGGGCTGTTAATAAAAAGACTTGATTGAAAGTTTGAATAAAGTCTTAACCCATGTAGCTAAGAAACTGCCCCTTCTGGCTGAGCCCAGTGGCTCACACTTACAATTCCAGTGCTTTGGGAAGCCAAAGTGGAAGGAATACCCGAGGCCAGTTCAGGATCAGCCTGGGCAACACAGTGAAACTTCATCTTAACAAAAAGATTTTTTAAAAAAGGCAGAGTGTAGCGGCACATGTCTGTCCATAGTCCTAGCTACTCAGGAGGCTGAGGTGGGACGACTGCTTAAGCCCCGGAACTTGAGGTTACAAGCTATAATCACACCACTGCACTCCAGCCTGGGCAAGAGCAACACCCTGTCTCAAAAAAGAAAGAAAGACAGAAAATGCCCCTTCTGCATCCCAGCAAGAAACAAATGGTTTACCTTTTAAGGACATAGAAACTAGGTACACAAAAGGGTTGTGTATTATATCATCTCACAAAAAGATTAAATGAAGATTTACATGCTGTACAGTGGACCTCAGGCCTCTTCCCCAAACCAGCTTCCAGAACGCAAAACAATCGGCCTGGGACTAGGAGATCCCTCTGCGAGGGAAAGTGATCCAAGAGAAAAGACCTGCAAGCACTCAATCACCCTGTGTAAGGCTTACACTTAACAACTCCCATGGACAAAGAGTTTTTACTCAGCTTTTTATTGATTCGGTCTTTAATCTGAACAGATGGCCAAAGTTTACTAAACAACTGAGGAAAATCTCTAACATGAAATAAAGAGGCCAAGATAACAAAACAGGAGACACCAAATTAACAGACAAAATAGAAAGAAAGAAAGAAAAAAGAGAAGGAAGGAAAAAAGAAAGAGAGGGAGGGAGGGGAAGTAGAACAGAAGCAGGGGATTTGGGGAGGAGAAAGAAGCAAAGGAAGGGTAGGAATTCTCCCACAAAGTAAAACAAAGAAATTTTTTTTTAAAGTAGAAAAGCTTGAGAAGAGTTCTTCCATCCAGGAGGTCCAACTACATGGAATTCCAAAGGAAAAAGAGGAAAAAAGGGAAATAAATTAATTATAAAAAAGAAATGCAACTTTCTTTTTTTTTTTGGCAACACAGTAACTAATATGAAAATGTCATCTTAATAAAACATCTAGAAATGCTGGATAAATTAGTCTGTCAAATGCTGAGCTCACAAAAGAGTAAAGCTTTCAGCAACCCTGGAGGAACCTGTCAATACGAGTAACTAAGATTTTTGGCTTTTAATGCCCTTAAAGTAGACAAGGCCTCAGAAACCTTGTCTGCATGAAGCGCAGAGCTGGTATTGAGGGTTTCACCATTTTTTACACATTCTCAGTGCAAGAATGGACAGGGGAGGCTGGTTAAAAAAAAAAATCAACCAACAGCAAAGGAATAACAAGAAAATGTCTCTGCCTAGCTACAGACTCTAGAAACTGGGGGTTGCTGGAGGAAGTAACAGCTAAAAATCCTCAGATTCAGAAATGACAATGACTCCCAATTAAAGAAAAAACAAAAATAACTTTCCTAGACACAGCAAAACATTACAAATAAAGAGATCTTAAAAAAAGGTGGAGAATGATACCAAAGGCACAGGCAATAAAAAGACAGACATACTAGACAATGAAAAATTTGAAATTCCACACAAAAAAAGACAGTATTAACAGAGTAAAAATGCTCCCACTGAATGGGGGAAAATATTTGCAAATCATATATTTGATAAGGGTTTCATATCTAGAATATATAAAGAACCCCTATAATGCAACAATTTTTAAAAAAAGAACCCAAACAACCAGATTAAAAACTAGGCTCAAGTGATCCTCCTGCCTCAGCCTCCTGAGTAGTTGGGACTACAGGAAATGGTGGCTTGTGCCTGTGGTCCCAGTTACTCAGCAGGCCAAACCAGCCTGGACAACATAGCAAGATCCCATCTTTTACAAAAAAATTAAAACTAGGCAAAGGATTTAAATTTATATTTCCCCAAAGAAGCATGTGAAAAGATACTCAACATCCCTAATGATTAGGGAAATGCAAATCAAAACCACAATGAGATACCACCTCACACTCATTAGGATGGCTACCATCAAACAAACAGAAAATAACAAGTGTTAGCAAGGGTGTAGTGAAATTAGAATACTTGTGCCCTGCTGGTAGGAATGTAAAGTGGTACAGTCACTGTGGAAAATAATACGGCAGTTTCTCAAAAACGTAAAAATAAAATTACCTTATGATGTAGCATATACCCATATACTTTTGGGTATATACTCCAAAAAAATTGAAAGCAAGGTCTCAAAGAGCTTTTTGCATAACCATATTCACAGCAGCATTATTCATAATGGTTAAAATGTAGAAGCAACACAAGTGTCCACTGACAGATAAATGGATCATCAAAATGTAACATATACATAGAGTATTATTCAGCCTTAATAAGGCATGATATTCTGACATATGCTACATTGATGAACTGTGAGGACATTATGCAAAGTGAAATAGGCCAGTCACAAAAGACAAATATTGTATGATTCCCCACATATGAGGTACCCAGAGTAATCTAATTCACAGAGACAGAAAGTAGAATGGTGGTTATCAGTGGCTGGGAGGAAGGAGGAATGGGAATTATTGTTTGTTTGTTTTTTTACCGTATTTACTATTTCTTTTTTTTTTTTTATACTTTTAAGTTTTAGGGTACATGTGCACAACGTGCAGGTTTGTTACATATGTATACATGTGCCATGTTGGTGTGCTGTACCCATTAACTCATTATTTAACATTGGGTATATCTCCTAATGCGATCCCGGGAATTATTGTTTAATTGGTACAGCGTTTCAGTTTTGCAAGATGCAAGTTCTGAAGATGGATGGTGGTGATGGTTACACAACAATATGAATGTACTTCCTAACACTGAACTGTGTACTTAAAAATGGTTAAGATGGGCAGGGCGCGGTGGCTCATGCCTGTAATCCCAGCACTTTGGGAGGCCGAAGGGGATGGCTCACCTGAGGTCAGGAGTTCAAGACCAGCCTGGCCAACATGGTGAAACCTCATCTCTACTAAAAATACAAAAAATTAGCCAAATGTGGTGGTGGGCGCCTGTAATCTCAGCTACTCGGGAGGCTGAGGCAGGAGAATCGCTTGAACGCAGGAGGCGGAGGTTGCAGTGAGCCAAGATCACGCCATTGCACTCCAGCCTGGGCAACAAGAGCGAAACTACGTCTCAAAAAAAAAAAAAAAAGGGAAAACAAAATACAATTGCTATTTACAAGAAACATGCCTAAAGTATACCCATAGAAAGTAACAAATTGAAAAAAGATGACGTGTCTCTATAAACATAGACAAATTGTATTTAGAGTAAGAATATTATTGAGGATAAAGAAGATAGTGATTAAAGAAAGGTAGTATTTAGCAGGAAGACACAAATAGACAAAAATAATCCAAATTTGAATACATTTCATAACATAATTTATAAACATATAAAGCAAAAACTGACTATTTTACAAGGAGAAACTAAGAAATCCACAATCATACAAGACAATTTTAATACACACCTCTCAGTAATAAAGAGACAAAAACTGAAATCAGGGCACATAAAATGTGAGTAACTCTGTAAGTTTGATCTAAGAGACATAGGCAGAAATCTGCTCCCAAAATGCGAGAGTACACCCTGTCTACCAAAGAATTATCTCCCAAACAATGTCAACAAGGACCCATATGTTAAATTGTAAGTAAATTTATGATTAGCAACAAATTAATACAGATCAATACAAAAATTAATAAACACTTGGAGTATATAATGGTAAAGAAAATCCAACACCAACAAAGAATACTTAGTAATAAATGTAGTAAGAAATGCGTAACGCCTATCAGAAAGAATTAAAAACACATGTCTGGCCGGGCACGATGTCTCATGCCTGTAATCCCAGCATTTTGAGAGGCCGAGGCGGGCAGACCACCTGAGGTCAGGAGTTCGAGACCAGCCTGGCCAACATGGCAAAATCCCATCTCTACTAAAAATACAAAGGTTAGCTGGACGTGGTGGCACATGCCTGTAATCCCAGCTACTCGGGAGGCTGAGGTGGGAGAATCACTTGAACCCGGGAGGCAGAGGTTGCAGTGAGCCAAAATCGCTTCATTGCACTCGTCTGGGCAATGGAGCAAGACTCCGTCTCAAAAAAAAAAAAAAAAAAAGTCTAAACAAAACCTTGTATAAAAATGTTCATAGCAATATTACCAAAATAGTAAAAAAGTATACATAATCCAAATGTCCACCAACTGATAAACAAATATGGCATATATGAAACATTATTTTGCAATATAAAGGGATGATTATTGATATACTCTGCAGCATGCATAAACCTTGAAAATGTTATGCCAAGCCACATACTATATGATTCCACTTAAATGAAATATTCAGAATAGGCAAATCCATAGACTCAGAACATAGATTAGTAGTTTCCAAGGCTGGGAAGAGAAGGGGATGGGAAGTAACTGCTAATGAGTATGGGGTTTTTTTAAGAGTGATGAAAATGTTCTGGAACTAGGTAGTGATGATGGCTGCACATATTTGTAAATATACTAAACAACCACATCTTTATACATCTTTTAAAAAACAATGTTATAGGGCTGGGTGTGGTGGCTCACACCTGTAATTCCAGCACTTTGAGACTCTGAGAGGCTGAGGTGGGCAGATCACGAGGTCAGGAGATCAAGACCATCCTGGCTAACACAATGAAACCCCGTCTCTAGAAAAAATACAAAAAATTAGCCGGGCATGGTGGTAAGCGCCTGTAGTTCCAGCTACTTGGGAGGCTGAGGCAGGAGAATCGCTTGCACCCGGGAGGCAGAGGTTGCAGTGAGCCAAGATCACACCACTGCACTTCAGCCTGGGCAACAGATTAAGACGCTATCTCAAAAAAAAAAAAAAAAGGATATTATGACATGTGAATTGTATCTCAATAAAGCTTTAAAAAAAAAAACCGTATGAGGAAAATGTTAAAATACTCCCAAAAGAAACTAAAAGAAGATGAACAATAGAAAAATATATGATATTCTTGGATAAGACAATTCAACATTATAAAGATATAAATTCTCCCAAGTTAATTTATAAATTCAATATAATGATAATAAAAATACTAACAAACCATTTTATGGAGCTGAACAAGCTGATATTGACATGAAAAAACAAACATGTAAGAATAACAGGAAAGTACTAAAACAGAAAAACTACAAAACGAGACTAGACTTACCAGACATTAAAACCTACTATAAAGCTTCTGTAACTAAAACACTGTGGCACAGGTGCATGAATAGACAAATTCATCAAGCTGTGTAATTATAATACTATATGTATAACTTTTTGAATTATCAAATTTCAAATACAAGTATTTTTTGAGGATGTTTTGGAGAGAGTCTTACCCTGTCACCCAGACTGGAGTCCAGTGGCACAATCACAGCTCACTGCAGACTTGATCTCCTAGCCTCAAGCAATCCTCCTGCCTCAGCCTCCTGGGTAGCTGGGACTACAGGTGTGCGCCATCACACCCCGCTAATATTTTTTGTATTTTTAGTAGATATGGGGTTTCACTAGTCTCATACTCCTGGGCTCAAACCTCCTGCCTCCCTCAGCCCTGCAAAGTGCTGGGATTATAGGCATGAGCCACTGCACCAGGCCCAAAAGCAGTTTGTTTGTTTGGTTTTTTGTTGCCCAGGCTGGAGTACAGTGGCACAATCTTGGCTCACTGCAGCCTCCGCCTCCCAGGTTCAAGTGATTCTTGTGCCTCAGCCTCCTAGGTATCTGGGCTACAGGCACGTGCCATCACACCTGGCTAATCTGCTTGTATTTTCAGTAGAGACAGATTTTGCTATGTTGGCCAGTCTGGTCTCAAACTCCTAACCTCAAGTGATCTGCCCACCGCAGCCTCCCAAAGTGCTGGGATTACAGGTGTGAGTCACCACACCCAGCCTCAAAAGTGTTCTGGTTTTGTTTTGTTTTTTAAACCATGGTTTTACCTCTGGCTTAGTGGGACTAAAAATAGGAGGAAGATTTTTCTTTTTAAGAATATTTTAAAATTGAGGGCAGGGCACGGTGGCTCACAACTGTAAGGCAGAAGAATCACTTGAACCCTGGAGGTGGAGGTGGCAGTGAGCCGAGATCGCGCCACTGCATTCCAGCCTGGGCGACAGAGCAAGACTCTGTCTCCAGAAAAGAAAAAAAAAAAGAAGAAGAAGAAAAGGAGGAAGCATTATGAAGGCAACAGCAACTCCCTCTAAGTACAGTGGAAGCACACTGAAAGTGGGGCTGAAAAAAATATAGAAGAAGGAGTTCCACGTAGTCCCAGCTACACCGAAGGCAGAGGTGGGCGAAATTAGCTGGGCGTGGTGGCACATGCCTGTAATCCCAGCTACTCAGGAGCCTGAGGCAGGAGAATCGCCTGAACCCGAGAGGCAGAGGTTGCAGTGGGCCGAGACCGTGCCACTGCACTCCAGCCTGGGCAACAGAGCGAGACCCCATCTCAAAAAAAAAAAAAAGAAAAAGAAAATATAAACTGAGAGTTTCCTATTTCAGACATGAAAATTTTACCAAAAGCAGACTGGTTACTTAAGATAGATGTAAGCTAATTGCGCAAAATTAATCAAAATTGCCATTAGTCACAATATGAAAAATTGCTTTATTCTGCCTACAGCAATGGGAATCCTAATAAATAAATAGTTGGTGGGCTGATAATTACTCTACCCTTGCATTAATTAAGATGATTTTTAAAAGGCAGAAAATGTTTTACATAAATTAGTAAGTCAAATTACTGTAATAGTTCTGTTTTTGCTCACAGCCAATCTGAGTTAATTACTGCAGTTAATTTTATACAAACAGGAAGAAGTATTAAATAAGTCAGAAGCTCCTAATATTAACACATAGATAGGTAGATAGAAAGACAACAGACAAACCTAGATACATAGTCTATCAAGGCTCTGTTTAACAGTTTGTCAGAACACTTTATTATATACCTACAGTTAAGCAAAAAGAAAAAAAATCTGTCTGTGCTACATTTCCTAGTTTGATGACAGAGACATGTACTATCACTTTTATTCTCAAACACAGTAACTTTTCTGGCTCCATATTCAATTTACCAGACATACCAATATCCCTTGTTCATAACAGCATCATTAGCCACAGCATTTCCATGAAGTACAATCGTTTTTCCAGACATGGTACTCCTGCTCTGTGACTAACAACAGACATTGTCACTATTATCGCTATTACAGTTTTTGTTTTGTTTTGAAGATATGGGGTCTTACTACATCGCCCAGGCTAGAAAGCAGTAGCTATACATAGGCAGGATCATAGCATACTACAGCCTTGAATCCCTGGGCTCAAGCAATCCTCTCACTTCAGCCTCACAAGTAGCTGGGACTATAGGCTGTGCCACTGTGCCCAGAACTATTATGTTTTTATTTTTCCTACCTTTGGGAAAACTTCTAGCATTTTTCTCTTCTGTCATCAAAACCTTAAAACTATATGTCATTTCTTGACGTCCATATTTCCTTTTAGCCTACATATGTTTAATTTCTTTTTTCTTTTTTATTATTATTATACTTTAAGTTCTAGGGTACATGTGCACAACATGCAGGTTTGTTACACAGGTATACATGTGCCATGTTGCTTTGCTGCACCCATCAACTCGTCATTTACATTAGGTATTTATCCTAATGCTATCCCTCCCCCAGCCTCCCACCCCATGACAGGCCCTGGTGTGTGATGCTTCCTGCCCTGTGTCCAAGTGTTCTCATTGTCAGTTCCCAACTATAAGGGAGAACATATGGTGTTTGGTTTTCTGTCCTTGTGATAGTTTGCTCAGAATGATGGTTTCCAGCTTCATCCATGTCCCTGCAAAGGACATGAACTCATCCATTTTTATGGCTGCATAGTATTCCATGGGGTATATGTGCCACAATTTCTTAATCCAGTCTATCATTGATGGACATTTGGGTTGGTTCCAAGTCTTTGCTATTGTGAATAGTGCTGCAATAAACACACATGTGCATGTGTCTTTATAGTAGCATGATTTATAATCCTTTGAGTATATACCCAGTGATGAGATTGCTGGGTCAAATGGTATTTCTAGTTCTAGATCCTTGAGGAATCGCCACACTGTCTTCCACAATGGTTGAACTAATTTACACTCCCACCAACAGTGTAAAAGCATTCCTATTTCTCCACATCCTCTCCAGCACGTTGTTTCCTGACTTTTTAATTATCGCTGTTCTGACTGGTGTGAGATGGTATCTCATTGTGGTTTTGATTTGCATTTCTCTGATGACCAGTGATGATGAGCATTTTTTCATGTGTCTGCTGGCTGCATAGATGTCTTCTTTTGAGAAGTATCTGTTCATATCCTTTGCCCACTTTTTGATAGGATCTTTTTTTCTTCTTGTAAATTTGTTTGAGCTCTTTTTAGATTCTGGATATTAGTCCTTTGTCAGATGGGTAGATTGCAAAAATTTTCTCTGATGAAAAAAAATTTTCTCCCATTCTGTAGGTTGCCTGTTCACTCTGATGGCAGTTTCTTTTGCCGTGCAGAAGCTCTTTAGTTTAATTAGATCCCATTTGTCTATTTGGCTTTTGTTGCCATTGCTTTTGGTGTTTTAGTCATGAAGTCCTTGCCCATGCCTATGTCCTGAATGGTACTGCCTAGGTTTTCTTCTAGGGTTTTTATGGTTTTAGGTCTAACATTTAAGTCTTTAATCCATCTTGAATTAATTTTTATATAAGGTGTAAGGAAGGGATCCAGTTTCAGCTTTCTACATATGGCTAGTCAGTTTTCCCAGCACCATTTGTTAAATAGGGAATCCTTTCCCCATTTCTTGTTTTTGTCAGGTTTGTCAAAGATCAGATGGTTGTAAATGTTCTGTTCTATTGGTCTATATCTCTGTTTTGGTACCAGTACCATGCTGTTTTGGTTACTTGTAGTATAGTTTGAAGTCAGGTACCATGTTGCCTCCAGCTTCGTTCTTTTTGCTTAGGATTGTCTTGGCAATGTGGGCTCTTTTTTGCTTCCATATGAACTTTTAAGTAGTTTTTTCCAATTCCGTAAGAAAGTCATTGGTAGCTTGATGGGGATGGCATCAAATCTATAAATTACTTTGGGCAATATAACCATTTTCACAATATTGATTCTTCCTATCCATGAGCATAGAATGTTCTTCCATTTGTTTGTGTCCTCTTTTATTTCCTTGAGCAGTTTATAGTTCTCTTTGAAGAGGTCCTTCACATCCCTTGTAAGTTGGATTCCTAGGTATTTTACTCTCTTTGTACCAATAGTGATTGGGAGTTCACTCGTGATTTGGCTCTCTGTCTGTTATTGGTGTGTAGGAATGCTTGTGATTTCTGCACATTGATTTTGTATCCTGAGACTTTGCTGAAGTTGCTTATCAGCTTAAGGAGGTTTTGGGCTGAGACGATGGGGTTTTCTAAATGTACAATCATATCATCTGCAAACAGGGACAATTTGACTTCCTCTTTTCCTAACTGAATACCCTTTATTTCTTTCTCTTGCCTGACTGCCCTGGCCAGAACTTCCAACACTATGTTGAATAGAAGTGGTGAGAGAGGGCATCCTTGTCTTGTGCTGGTTTTCAAAGGGAATGCTTCCAGTTTTTGCCCATTCAGTATGATATTGGCTGTGGGTTTGTCATAAATAGCTATTATTTTGAGATACATTCCATCAATACCTAGTTTATTGAGAGTTTTTAGCATGAAGGGCTGTTGAATTTTGTCAAAGGCCTTTTCTGCATCTATTGACATAATCATGTGGTTTTTGTCGTTGGATCTGTTTATGTGATGGATTACTTTTATTGATTTGCATATGTTGAACCAGCCTTGCATCCTAGGGATGAAGCCGACTTGACTGTGTTGGATAAGCTTTTTCATGTGCTGCTGGATTGGATTTGCCAGTATTTTACTGAGGATTTTCGTATCAATGTTCAACAGGGATATTGGTATAAAATTCTCTTTTTCTGTCTCTGCCAGGCTTTGGTATCAGGATGATGCTGGCCTCATAAAATGAGTTAGGGAGGATTCCTTCCTTTTCTATTGATTAGAATAGTTTCAGAAGGAATGGTACCAGCTCCTCTTTGTACCTCTGGTAGAATTTGGCTGTGAATCTGTCTGGTCCTGGAATTTTTTTGGTTGGTAGGCTATTAATTATTGCCTCAATTTCAGAGCCTGATATTGGTCTATTCAGAGATTCAACTTCTTCCTGGTTTAGTCTTGGGAGGGTGTATGTGTCCAGGAATTTATCCATTTCTCCTAGATTTTCTAGTTTATTTGCGTAGAGGTGTTTATAGTATTCTCTGATGGTAGTTTGTATTTCTGTGGGATTGGTGGTGATATCCCCTTTATCATTTTTTATTGCATCTACTTGATTCTTCTCTCCTCTTTATTAGTCTTGCTAGCGGTCTATCAATTTTGTTGATCTTTTCAAAAAAACCAACTCCTGGATTCATTGATTTTTTGAAGAGTTTTTTGTGTCTCTATCTCCTTCAGTTCTGCTCTGATCTTAGTTATTTCTTGCCTTCCGCTAGCTTTTGAATGTGTTTGCTCTTGCTTCTCTAGTTCTTTTAATTGTGATGTTAGGGTGTCAATTTTAGATCTTTCCTGCTTTCTCTTGTGGGCATTTAGTGCTATAAATTTCCCTCTACACTGCTTTAAATGTGTCCCAGAGATTCTGGTACATTGTGTCTTTGTTCTCATTGGTTTCAAAGAACATCTTTATTTCTGCCTTCATTTCATTATGTACCCAGTAGTCATTCAGGAGGAGGTTGTTCAGTTTCCACGTAATTGTGAGGTTTTGAGTGAGTTTCTTAATCCTGAGTTCTAATTTGATTGCACTGTGGTCTGAGAGACAATTTGTTGTGATTTCTGTTATTCTACATTTGCTGAGGAGTGCTTTACTTCCAATTATGTGGTCAATTTTAGAATAAGTGTGATATGGTGCTGAGAAGAATGTATATTCTGTTGATTCGGGGTGGAGAGTTCTGTAGATGTCTACTAGGTCCACTTGGTGCAGAACTGAGTTCAAGTCCTGGATATCTTTGTTAGTCTTCTGTCTCGTTGATCTAATATTGACATTGGGATGTTAAAGTCTCTCATTATTATTGTGTGGGAGTCTAAGTCTCTTTGTAGGTCTCTAAGGACTTGCTTTATGAATCTGGGTGCTCCTATATTGGGTGCATATACATTTAGGATAGTTAGCTCTTCTTGTTGAATTGATCCCTGTACCACTGCGTAATGGCCTTCTTTGTCTCTTTTGATCTTTGTTGGTTTAAAGTCTGTTTTATCAGAGACTAGGATTGCAACCCCTGCTTTTTTTTGCTTTCCATCTGCTTGGTAGATCTTCCACCATCCCTTTATTTTGAGCCCATGTGTGTCTCTGCATGTGAGATGGGTCTCCTGAATATAGCACACTGATGGGTCTTGACTCTTTATCCAATTTGCCAGTCTGTGTCTTTTAATTGGGGGCATTTAGCCCATTTACATTTAAGGTTAATATTGTTATGTGTGGATTTGATCCTGTCATTATGATGTTAGCTGGTTATTTTGCCTGTTAATTGATACAGTTTCTTCATAGCATTCATGGTCTTTAAAATTTGGCATGTTTTTGCAGTGGCTGGTACCGATTGTTCCTTTCTACGTTTAGCACTTCCTTCAGGAGTTCTTGTAAGGCAGGCCTGGTGGTGAAAAAATCTCTCAGCATTTGTCTGTCTATAAAGGATTTTATTTCTCCTTCACTTATGAAGCTTAGTTTGGCTGGATATGAGATTCTGGGTTGAAAATTATTTTCTTTAAGAATGTTGAATAATGGCCCCCACTCTCTTCTGGCTTGTAGGGTTTCTGCCGAGAGATCCGCTGTTAGTCTGATGGGCTTCCCTTTTTGGGTAACCTGATGTTTCTCTCTGGCTGTCCTTAACACTTTTTCTTTCATTTCAACGTTGGTGAATCTGACAGTTATGTATCTTGGGGTTGCTCTTCTCAGGAGTATCTTTGTGGTGTTCTCTGTATTTCCTGAATTTCAATGTTGGCCTACCTTGCTAGGTTGGGGAAGTTCTCCTGGATAATACCCTGAAGAGTGTTTTCCAACTTGGTTCCATTGTCCCCGTCACTTTCAGGTACACCAATCAAACACAGATTTGGTCTTTTCACATAGTCCCATATTTCCTGGAGGCTTTGTTCATTTCTTTTTACTCTTTTTTCGCTAAACTTGTCTTCTCGCTTTATTTCATTAATTTGATCTTTAATCACTGATATCCTTTCTTCCACTTGATCAAATCGGCCTTTGAAGCTTGTGCATGCCTCACGAAGTTCTCATGCCATGGTTTTCAGCTCCATCAGGTCATTTAAGGTCTCCTCTACACTGTTTATTCTAGTTAGCCATAACCTTTTTTCAAGGTTTTTAGCTTCCTTGCGATGGGTTAGAACATGCTTCTTTAGCTCAGAGAAGTTTGTTATTACCAACCTTCTGAAGCCTGCTTCTGTCAACTCATCAAAGTCATTCTCCGTCCAGCTTTATGCCGTTGCTGACGAGGAGCTGCAATCCTTTGGAGGAGAAGAGGCACTCTGGTTTTTAGAATTCTCAGCTTTTCTGCTCTGGTTTCTCCCCATCTTTGTGGTTTTATCTACCTTTGGTCTTTGATGTTGGTGACCTACAGATGGGGTTTTGGTGTGGATGTCCTTTTTGTTGATGTTGATGCTATTCCTTTCTGTTTGTTAGTTTTCCTTCTAACAGTCAGGTCCTTCAGCTGCAGGTCTGTTGGAGTTTGCTGGAGGTCCACTCCAGACCCCGTTTGCCTGGGTATCAGCAGCAGAGGCTGCAGAACAGCAAATATTTCAGAACAGCAATTATTGCTGCCTGATCCTTCCTCTGGAAGCTTCGTCCCAGGGGGGCACCCACCTGTATGAGGTGTCTGTCGCCCCCTACTGGGAGGTGTCTCCCAGTTAGGCTACACGGGTGTCAGGGACCCCTTGAGGAGGCTGACTGTCCATTCTCAGAGCTCAAACACCATGCTGGGAGAACCACTGCTGTCAGAGATGTTTAAGTCTGCAGAAGTTTCTGCTGCCTTTTGTTCTGCTATGCCCTGCCCACAGAGGTGGAGTCTATAGAGGCAGTAGGCCTTGCTGAGCTGAGGTAGGCTCCGCCCAGTTTGAGCTTCCTGGCCGCTTTGTTTACCTACTCAAGCCTCAGCAATGGCGGACACCCCTCCCCCAACCCGGCTGCAGCCTCACAGGTCCATCTCAGACTACTTCGCTAGCAGTGAGCAAGGCTCCACGGATGTGGGGCCCGCCAAGCCAGGCACGGGAGAGAATCTCCTGGTCTGCCAGTTGCTAAGACCATGGGGAAAGTCCAGTATTTGGACGAGAGCGTCCCATTTTTCCAGGTACAGTCTGTCACGGCTTCCCTTGACTAGGAAAGGGAAATCTTCTGATCCCTTGTGCTTCCTGGGTGAAGTGACGCCCTTCCCTGCTTCGGCTCACCCTCTGTGGGCTGCACCCACGGTCCAACCAGTCCCAATGAGATGAACCAGGTACCTCAGTTGGAAATGCAGAAATCACCCATCTTCTGCATCAATCACGCTGGGAGCTGCAGACTGGAGCTGTTCCTATTCGGCCATCTTGAACGAAGATCTATTTAATTTCTTTTAAAGTCAAAAGAACATAGGCCAGGTGTGGTGGGTTAAGTTTGTAATCCAGCACTTTGGGAGGCTGAGGCAGCAGATCAGTTGAGGCCAGGAGTTCAAGACTAGCCTGGCTAACATGGCAAAACCCTGTCTCTATTAAAAATACAAATATTAGCCAGGCATGGTGGCACATACCTGTTATCCCAGCTACTTGGGAGGCTGAGGCACAAGAATCACTTGAACCCGGGAGTCGGAGGTTGCAGTGAGCCGATATCATGCCACTGCACTCCAGCCTGGGTGACAGAGCAAGACTCTGTCTCAAGAAAAAAAAAAAGTCAAAAGAGCATGAAATATGTTGCAAAAGGACATATAGGTCTTAAATAAAATATTTATGTTGCAAAGAAGTTAAGATACTCAAAAAACTGGGGATAGAAGGAACACACCCCAACATAATAAAAGCCATATATGACAGACCCACAGCTAGTATCATACTGAATGGGGAAAAACTAGAAAGCCTTTCCTCAAAGATCTGAAACATGACAAGCATGCCCACTGTCACTACTGTTATTCAACAAAGTACTGGAAGTCCTATCTAGAGCAATCAGACAACAGAAAGATATAAAGGGCACCCAAATTGGAAAGGAAGAAGTCAAATTATCCCTGTTTGCAGATGATGCAATTTTATATTTGGAAAAACCTAAAGACTCCACAAGAAAAGTATTATTAATAGAAGTGATAAACAAATTCAGTAAAGTTACATGATACAAAATCAACATACAAAAATCAGTAGCATTTCCATATGCCAACAGTGAACAATGTGAAAAAGAAATTTTAAAAGTAACTCCATTTACAACAGCCACACATAAAATTGAATAACTAGGTAATAACCAAAGAAGTGAAAGATCTCTGTAATGAAAACTATAAAACACTGATCAAAGAAATTGAAGAGGACACCAAAAAAATGGAAAAATATTCCATGTTCATGGATTGAAAGAATCAATATTGTTAAAATGTCAATACTGCTATCAAAGCAATCTACAGATTCAAGGCAATCCCTATCAAAATGGCAATGACATGCTTCACAGAAATAGAAAAAACCATCCTAAGATTTATATGGAACCACAAAAGACCCAGAATAGCCAAAGCTATCTTGAGCAAAAAGAACAAAACTGGAGGAATCACATTACCTGACTTCAATTATACTACAGAGCTATAGTAACCAAAACAGCATGGGACTGGAATAAAAACAGACACACAGACCAATGGACAGAACAGAGAATCCAGAAACAAATCCACACACCTACAGTTAACTCATTTTCCACAAAGATGCCAAGAACACACACTGGGGAAAAGACAGTCTCTTCAATAGATGGTGCTGGGAAAACTGGATATGCAAATGCAGAAGAAAAAAACCAGACCCATATCACTTGCCATACACAAAAATCAAATCAGCCTGGGCAAGGTGGCTCACGCCTGTAATCCCAGCACTTTGGGAGGCCAAGGCGAGCAGATCACTTGAGGTCAGGAGTTCAAGACCAGTCTGGCCAACATGGTGAAACCCCATCTCTACTAAAAATACAAAAATTAGCCAGGCATGGTGGCACATGCCTGTAGTCCCAGCTACTTGGGTGGCTGAGGCACAAGAACTGCTTGAACCTGGGAGGCTGAGGTTGCAGTGAGCTGGTATCAAGCCACTGCACTCCAGCCTGGGCAACAGAGCAAGACCCTGTCTAAAAAAAAAAATCAAATCAAAATGGATTAAAGACTTAAATCTAAGACCTTAAACTGTGAAACTACTAGAAGAAAATATTGGGGAAAATCTCCAGGACATTGGTCTGGGCAAGAATTTCTTGAGCAGTACCCCACAAGCACAGGCAACCAAAGCAAAAATAAACAAATGGGATCACATCAAGTAAAAAGTTTCTGCACAGCAAAGGATACAATCAACAAAGTGAAGAGACAACCCAAAGAATGGGAGAAAACATTTGCAAACTACCTATCTGACAAGAGATTTATAACCAGAATATATAAAGAGCTCAAGCAACTCTAGGAAAAAAATCAAATAATCCCATTAAAAAATGAGCAAAAGATCTGAATAGACATTTCTCAATAGAAGACATACAAATGGCAAATAGTCATTCGAAAAGGTGCTCAACATTGCTGATCATCGAAGAAATGCATATCAAAACTACAATGAGCTATCATTTCACCCCAGTTAAAATGGCTTATATCCAAAAGACAGACAGTAACAAATACTGGTGGGGATGTGCAGAGAAGGGAACCTTCTCAAACTGTTGATGGGAACGTAAATTAGTACAACCACTACAGAGAACAATTTGGACGTTCCTCAAAACACTAAAAATTGAGCTACCATATGATCCAGCAATCCCACTGCTGGGTATATAGCCAAAAGAAAGGAAATCAGTATATTGAAGAGATATCTGCATTCCTATGTTTGTTGCAGCACTGTTTACAATAGCTAAGATTTGGAAGCAACCTAAGTGTTCGTTAACAGATGAATGAATAAAGAAAATGTGGTACATACATACAATGAAGTACTATTTGGCCATAAAAAAGAATGAGATCTATGGCCAGGCACGATGGCTCACATCTGTAATCCCAGCACTTTGGGAGGCCAAGAGAGGTGGATTGCTTGAGGTTAGGAGTTCAAGACCATCCTGGCCAAAATGGCAAAACCCTGTCTCTATTAAAAATACAAAAATTAGCCAGGTGTGGTGGCACATGCCTATAATCCCAGCTACTTGGGAGGTTGAGGCACAAGAATCACTTGAACCCAGGAGGTGGAGGTTGCAGTGAGCCGAGATTGCACCACTGCCAGCCTGGGCAATAGAGCAAGGCTCTGTCTCAAAAAAAAAAAAAGCGGGGCAGCAGGGGTGGAGGGGTTTGAATTTAAAAGGACAGTAAAGAGGAAACAGAAAAAGGGAGTTGGAAAGTACTATGCTCAGAAATCAAATTCTAATTAGATTACAGCTTATGCCACTAGGAAAGAAAATACTTAGTTATTTATTTATTCCTATTTATTTATTTATTTATTTAGAGATAGGGTCTCACTCTGTTGCCCAGGCTGGAGTGCAGTGGCACGATCACAGCTCAATGCAGCCTTGACTTCCTGGGCTCAAGAGATCCTCCCACCTCAGCCTCCTGAGTACCTGGGACTATAGGCACATGCCACCAAGCCTGACTACTTTTTGTATTTTTAGTAGAGACAGGTTTCACCATGTTGCCCAGGCTGGTCTTGAGCTCCTGGGCTCAGCAATCCGCCCACCTCGGCCTCCCAAAGCACTGGGATTATAGGCGTGAGTCACTGCACCTCCCAGAAACGACTTTTAAAACATACATGCATTTTTAAAACAAAGATAACTTTGGCTGCCATACATAAGGACCAGAGACAGAAAAGGACTGGAAGAAGGAAGGTTAACAGGAAGCTATTACTGCAGTACACTAAAGAAGGAATGGTGGCAGACTACGGTAATATTAACAATAGGAGGAATGGAGAGAAATAGATGTACATTACCTTTTTGCTTCAGGCATTTTTATTAAGAAAAATTCTCTTCCGATGGCTCAAGTAAAACAAGCATTGATATCTTGTGCAAAATGGGCATTTAATAAATTTATCAATGAACTGGAGGAAATGAAAGCTCAATATGAACATGAAGATAAAAGACAGTTCCTAACTACTCTAAGTAAACCTTCAACAAGGTATATTGCTCCAAATAAAATTCCACACAGCTGTTGGCAATCATTTAGGAACTATGGTGAGCAGGAGAGGTTGCCAGAAGACTAAAGACAGAAAAATGTAGTACTCGTGTTCAAAAAAAGAGAAATGGGATCCTGCCAACTATTGATCACTGAAGTTAGATGTAATTTTAGACATGATTCTAGCATCATTACTAAGAGAAGTTTGTGAACACTTAGAAAAAGTAGTAATCAGTGCTCCCTTAGTAGCACATATACTAAACGGGAACAAATCAGAGATTAGCATGGCCCCTGTGCAATGATGACACACAAATTCTTAAAGCATTCCACATTTTTACTTGAATTAAAAAATCCTTTTCTCATACAAAAATCAGCCGGGTATGGTGGCAAGCGCCTGCAGACCCAGCAACTCGGGAGGCTGGAGAAGGAGAATTGCTTGAATCCAGGAGGCCACTGCACTCCAGCCTGGGTGACAGAGAGAGACTCTGTCTCTAAATAAATAAATAAATAAATAAATAATCCTTTTCCGAAAAAAAAGACAAAAAAGTAGTAATTAACATATGCTACTGGAATATAGTATAGTTTCACTAAGGACAAGTAATGATAGGGTAAAGAAAACGAAGCATATAAAATCTGGGTTTTAGTAAGGCAACTGTCAAAGTTCCTCACATATTCCTTATGAGAACTTGGAAACATATGAGGTAGATGATGATTAAAATTAGCTGAATTTCTAATTGGGTGACCAACCTGAACCAAAGAATTAATAATAAAATTTTTTATCACCTTTAAGAGAGGTCTTTAGCAGGTAAAGAACTCTGACCTCAGCCCTGCCTAGACAGCATTTTAGTGAAAAATTTGCATGAAAGCAATGCCAAAATTATCAAACTTGTATGTTTATCAAATGCATAGATTTGATATTTATTGGATGACCAAATCAGGATTTTTTTAATGTCAACAGACTAGAAGCAATCTTACAAAATAAAAATATAGATACATGTAAAGTCCTACCAAAAAATATTCTATTAAAGAATTGAGAGAGTATGACTTTAAGAACAGAGAGAGCATGAACAAAATAATTCAACAATTTTAGTTGACAAGGAAACCAATAGTAAAATAGGTATCATACATACATAGTACTGGGATGCCACAACCCATTCTAAATGACTTATATATATATATTAATTATCTTCAGAATTGTGTAAGATAGACACTATTATTAACCCCATATTAGAGATGAGGAGACTTAGGCCCAGAGTGTTTACATAACTTACTCAGGGTTACCCAGCTGATAAACTGCAGAGCTAGGATCTAAACACAGGAAGGTTAGCCCCAAAGTTAATCTTCTTAACTAGTAAATTATTATAAAGTAACAGTGTAATGTGGTTGCCAAAGAAGCAAGTCTACTCTTAAAGTACATGCTTTAAAATTAGAGAGGTAACTTAGTCTTCTATACTAGTTAATACCTAATTTGGGGTACCATGCTTGTCAGAAGAATGTGGATGAACTAAACAAATCCACAAGTGGGCTATGAGTTCTGTGAGGAGATGTGAATGAAAACAATGACACAAAAGTCACTAGCAGAGGTTAAAGACTGAGAATATTTTCTAACACTCAGTGGAATATAAGTATCTTCAAATAGTTGAAAACCCACAATACAGAAGAGACAGTGAGGACACAATTTCTAGTTCAGTGAAAGAAATAATTTTATAAAAATTAGAGTTGTCCAAACATGGCGAGGTGTGTGCCTATAACCCCAGCTACTTGGGAGGGTGAGGTGGGAGGATCACTTGAGCCCAGGAGTTCCAGACAAGCCTGAGCAACATAGAGAAACCCTGTCTCAAAAAAAAAAAAAAAAAGAATTGATCAAATATCTTTGCCTCAGAAACTATGACACTATAAATAGTCTCTCCAAAAAATATACAAATATGCATAATTTTGCATAATATTTCCAAGAGTTCACAAGCCTACTTTCATATCTATTCATGCCGCACACCTAGAGTCATGTATCCCAGATTAAAACGGAAAGGATTTAAGTATGAAGAGGTGAGTGTATTTGATTCTCTTTAAAATCCACTACAATTTAAAATTCTATGATCTAAAAGAACTCTCAATCTATGCCTTCTAGTTTCTTCTGAGATCCATTATAACACATATTGCAATAAGAGTTTAAAAGATGATGACAAGGAAGTACATCCCACTTCATCAGTTATATTGAGGGCACACGGCTCAGACAGTTAAGAATTTTAGCTGCCAGAGAAAAACTTCCATGTGCCACTTGGACTACACATTCACAAGAGTCAGGGTGGGAGGAATTACATGATCACAAAATGAGAATATGAAGTATTACACACTGCAAAAATTCAGCTTTCCTTTTTAAACACCTAGAAATGAAGAGAACTGAAAAGTAAGAGTTTAGTAAGTCTTGAACCTTTTATTAACAAATGTAAGGGCCACAGTGCTCAAACTGCAACTGCACAGCCAGAACAACGCTACAGACACCATGTCTACTCTTAGACTAGACTAGTTACAGGCACAAGATGTTCTAATAAATAACAAACACATCCAGAGCCAGTACACAAGTGTGACAGAATCTGGGGTCTAGGCATTTGATTTTTCTCCTGGTGCTGTCTGAGAATGGACACTGCCATTAAAGATTAATTACAGTAATCTGATAGTGATAAAGTTTAGCTAAATAACAGGCTAAACAATGAAATGGAAAAGGAAGCTGCAATATAGATCAATTAAACTATTTTTATATCTACTTTTAAAGAGAGACAGGGACATGATTATGCCATATAGAAAATAGATGAATATATATTCACGAGCTGAAAAAAAAAACAGGTAAATTATTTATTAGGTGAAGATAAATTCAAGCCATGAAGAGAAAACACATGGCCCAGAAAAAAAAAAAAGTAGGTTGTGCAAGTCAAATGAAAAGACACAAAACTCAGATCTCGGGGAGACAGGGGAAGGAGAAGGCTGAGCTAAAAGAGAGCCTTACTGAAAGAAAGCAAATAAGTGAGAGGGAGTCTGTGCCCTCTGAGATGGAATGAGGAAAAGATAAAAGTATTCATGGGCTCAAAGGCAGCTTCAGCAGTGAATATGGAAAAGGAATGAGCCCGTTCACTGTCTCAACACTAAAAGGGAAATAATATAGGGTCTTTTTCTAAACCAGCATCCATGGCAGTCAATAATAAAAGTGCCTAACTAATGCAAGGCATTTAATACGTGGAGGATTTTCTTACGATTGCATTCCATACATTAGTCCATTCACTCCCCGAAACACACCGAATAGGTGGATGCATCTAATTTACAGATGAAGAAACCGAGATCACACAATGGGAGATAGCACAGGCTGGTAAGAGAGACTGGGGCGCTCATCCACTTCGTTGTACTGTCTCTCAGCGAGATCCTAGGAAAACCCTTACACTTCTTTGTGAAGACAGACCTTGGCTTTCCAGATTTTCTCAAAGGAGTCTGGGCCCAAAAAGCGATCCTCTACTTCAGAGAAAAGTTCCTTTATGGGGCATATGAGGTTCTTCCAAGCACACAAAGCTTAGAAACTCTTTAAAAACAAACAAAACACCTGGTGGACACAGAGGCCTGTGAGTCATGAAAGGAGAAGGGAAAAATCGGAAAACCAGATTTAGAAGCCATCCTTCTTTGAAGAGAACGAGAAAGTAGAAAGCAGCCCTTCCCCTCTTCCACGAGGCGTGACTCAGGGACGTTACCTCCCCCGATTTGCTCTATGCACTAAGAGGGTGACCCTCCTCTGCTTTCGACTCTGGCCCAGACACTCACGGGTTACCCGGCCAGGCCTGGAGAACCCAGGTCTAAACAGATGGGACTCGTGGGGGAACAAGGGGGCCCCTGTGCGCAGGGAGGGAAACCTACCCAGGAACGCGCCCGGCCGGGTCCAAAGGCCCTCCGCGCGCGGGCCCGCGCCCTCGCCCCAGACCTTACCGCCTTCGGCTGCAGAAGAACTGGCGGCCAAGCGAGGCTGTCGGGCCGAGCCAGGAGCGCGTCTTCGGGCGCCGCCGCTTCTGTGGCGCCCGCGCTTAGGCGGCGGCCGGGTCCCGGTGGACTCACACCCGGGGAGACGCGGCCTGCCCGGTCAAGGCCCAGGAGTTTGAGGCCCCAGAACGCCAACCGTGCGCGCGCCCTCGAGCCTGCCCAAAGATGAAGGGTCAGGGCGCGCCCCGCGGGCCGGGCAGCTGCGGCAGCGCCGCAGCCGAGATCGCTACCGATTTCGTCCGCCCTCTCCCTGCCCAGCTACAGCCCCGCTTCCCCCGCGCGAGCTTTGGCGGCGGAGCAGCACAGTGCGCGCCGATTGGCCCTCAGAATGTGCGACGCCTGGCGCCGCTCCCCACGGATTGGCCGGGCCGGCAGTGCGTGCACGGAGTAAACAAACCCCGCCCCCAGGCTTCCCTTTGAGAGTAGGGGGCCAACAGATGGAGGGGCGGGACTCGTGCACTCAGCCACCGCCCCTTGGTTCCCCCTGTGGCCTCCCTGGGAGCCCTCCGCAGGACCCGACCACCCCGCTTCCCCGCCGCCTCCAGGGACAGCTGCGGGCCTGAGGCCTAGAATTTTAGACACACTTCCTTCATCACTCCTATCTCATCCCCCCTACTCCCACCCTGCGACTTGGGTGGGAATCTCTTTTCCAACTGACCCCGAAGCCAGAAAACCCCAGCTCTCTTGGAAGGAGGGGGACTGGGGCAGTTCCATTCGGTCCCCAGGCCTTTGCGGGGTCGCCCTGGGGGAGCATCAATAAGGGACAGGGGGGCGAGTGATCGTGATTGAGGCTATGCGTGGGGCCAACTGTGGGACACCTTGAAATTATTCAGACAATGAGTTAGAGACCACTGGGAATGTGGAGGTTCTTCAATATCAAGGCAAGTTAATACCCAAACCAGGACAGGTCATTCTGTCCCGCGGAAACTGCACACACCCCAAATACCCGTACACTTGGTTCCATATGAAAAGATTTTGTTCATTCGTTCGTGCCGAAGTTAAAAACCCCGTGTGAACAGCGCATTAAAACGATTAGATCTTTCTCATTTTACTCCAGTCAAATCTTATAGATCTTCTATATGCCACTTTGTTTGTTTTTGAGACGGGGTCTTGCTCTCACCGAGGCTGGAGTGCGGTGGCAGGATCACGGCTCATTGGAGCCCTGACTTCCCAGTCTCAGGTGATCCTACCACCACAGCCTCCCGAGTAGCTGGGACTACAGGCCCGCGCCACCACACCCGGCTGTTTCGCCATGTTTCCCAGGCTGGTTTGGAACTCCTGGACTCAAGAGATCCTCCCGCCTGGGCCTCCCAAAGTGGTGGGATTACAGGCGTGAGCCACCACGCCCGGCCCCAAACACTATTCTTGATATGGGGAGACATCAGTGGACAAAATAGAGACAAAAACTCCTGCCTTCATGGAGCTTACATTCTAGCAGGATGGGAAAGATAATATGCAAAAGAATACGTAAAACAAAAACTATATTACATGCTGGTATGTGTGCTATGGGAAAAAAATATAAGCAGAGGTGTTGGAGGAATGGCTTCAGTCCTAAATAGAGTGATCTGGGAAGGTAGCACGGAGAAGGTGGTATTTAAGCAAATGCCTAAAGGAGATGAGATAGGTAAGAGAGCACTTTCAGATCTTTCTCTGGGGCAGGGTGGAGAGACAATTGTATGCATAATTGCATGTAACTAGTCCTGAGAGTCCAAGAATGTCAAATGCAGTACTCCACTGACTGATTCTAAAATGCAAAAACCCCAGTGATTACTTCACATTCTCCAGTAACAAATCAATAAAAATTTAGTTTCCACAAAAAATATAACTTTAAGAAAACTTAAAGTTATATTCAACAAATACTTTTCACTCTAGGTACTACGTATACAAAAATGAGCAAGACAGACAAAACATCCACCCTCAAGGAACTCAGTGTAGCAGAGGAAATGGATTGTAAACCACCTCAATTCAATGCGTAAATAACCATGATGGAAGTACACACACAAAGTGCTTGGGCTAATGTAGGGAAAGGGGTCGCTGTCATAGAGGAGCTGTAACTATCTTAGGATCTCTTTATCTATAAAAGATAGTACTAAAAGATTCAGTACTAAATTTGGAGTGAAGTTATGGCTATGAGGGATTCCCTAACCTCTTTATAGGTCAGAGTCTGAAGATACTAGGTTGAACCACATGAAATTGCTGATATTGGGCAATTTTCATATGGTTCAACTTACTCTCTTGCAGAGGTAGTATGAGGATTTTGCTATGTAATGCATGTAGTAAGTGTTCAATAAATGATGGCAATTATTATATTCATCGTATAATATAGCTTTTGAAAATAAAGATTTAAAAGTCAATGTTTTATAACACCTTCCAACGCCATTACATAAAATGGGCAGTGAAAGTTTCAAATTTTCCATATCCTAGTTTGATTTAGTTGTGAATTTCCATGACCTAATCAGGGCATGTTGTAAAAGACAGTAAATGTTAGTTTCACAGCAGGCCAAGAAATTCAGAATAAGGAGGAACAGCTTGGTTTTTAAGCCAAAAACTGAGAATTCTCCAGAACAGAATAAATTGTCAAGTTGCTACAGGGAAGAAAATTCATGTAAATCAATTTTTCATTCCCACTCATAGTTCCAATTTAGCAATTTGCACAACAGTCAGCTTTCTTTCTTATTTCCCCATTAAGGGATCTTATTTCCTTTGAAAAGGAAAATAAAGTTTCCACCATCTCCAATGCCAGAGAGTAGACATCTGAAATGTGACAGAACATTTATTGATTCTGCAAACATTTATTAAGCACTTATTGTATGCCAAGAACTATGCAAGGCACTGGCAATACAAACAGATGTCCAAAGAGCACCATTCATTGGCATTCCTTATGCTTGGAACAATCCCCCAGTTCACCCACAACTCACCTGCACATGCCTTTTCATCTAAACTTAAACAACACTTTCTCCAGAAAAGCTTCCCCGGAGTCCCCATCTCCAACTGTTTTCCCATAAAATTTTCTTTGACTTTCCAACATTCATTAAACTTGTAATTACTCACTTGCTACCTGCATCCCATTAGACTGTAAGCTTCTAGAGTCAAAGTCATATCATTCTATTCACTATCATCTCCTCAGTGCTTAATGGAAGTTCAATGTTTTTATTGAATAGATGAGAGTCCACAGCCCAGCAAATTTGGAAAGAGGAGAGAGGTATAATAAAGTCTACTCTATTTAGAAATATGCGGGCCACAGAATAGCCAACACAAAGAGGGTTGTGAAAAAGACGGGTCCATTACAGTTAAACCTGAGGCATTTCCACGTGCTGCCCCCTCTGCTGGCACTGGATACTGCTTTTGCAGGTGGAAGTACCAGACTCCTGGACCACTGCCTCTCAAACCTTGAGGTGCACAGTAATCACTTAGGGAATCTTACAATTCAGTCTGTAAGGTGTGGCTTCAATTCTGCATCTCCAACAGGCTTCCAAGTGATGCTGGTGCTGCCTCAGCAGCCAAAAATCACACTTGGAGTAAGAAGGTCCTTAGTGACACCTTTTATCACATGAAAAGATCTGCAGTTGTCAGAACAGTTTCAGATTTTTTTTTAAAGCATCTTCTTTTCACACCAAATCCATCTAGTGACTGACAAAAGAAATAACACTTATAAGTGTTAAATCTGGGTCTTGCTTCTAGAGACAATCCTGTTATGTACAGTTTAATCACCTTAATAGGACAGAGTAGAGGCGAAGCCTCGGAATTTCCTCAGGGAGGGATTCAACCTCTCCCCAGTTTTCTGGAATGACTGCATTAGAGCAGTAGAAAGGTTTCAAAGTCACCCTTAATAAAAGTAACCCCTTAATATCAAACCTAAAATATTTTTAGGATAAAATATTTTATTCACCCTAAAAAATATAAAGTAAATGTGAGATATGAGGAATCATGATAAACCCTCATGTACCTGCTTAAGCAACATATTATTAACACCATTGAAACCTCATGTGCCCCCTACCAGTGTGTCCCCACAACTTTCCCTTTCCAAAATAACATCTTAAATTCTGTGTATAATTTCCATGTTCTTCTTTATAATCTTAACACACGTGTATGTATATCCAAATAATATATTGCTTAGCTTTTCATGTTTTTGAACTTCATAAATTTAGAATAAAATTTATTATTCATCTGCCAATCTTTTTTTGTTCAACATTTTAAGAGGGTCATCTATCTTGATGGGTGGTCATTCATTTTCACTAATGCAAAAATAACATTTACATACTCCATTCTATTTTATTATTTTTTTTTTAATTTTATTTTGAGACAGACTCTTGCTCTGTTGCCTAGGTTGGAGTGCAGTGGTGCAATCTCAGCTTACTGCAACATCTGCCTCCCAGGTTCAAGTGATTCTCTTGCCTCAGCCTCCCAAGTAGCTGGGATTACAGGTGCGCGCCACCAATCCCAGCTAATTTTTGTATTTTTAGTAGAGACGGGGTTTCACTATGTTGGCCAGGCTCGTCTCGAACTCCTGACCTCAAGTGATCCGCCTGCCTTGGCCTCCCATAGTGCTGGGATTACAGATGTGAGCCAACATGCCCGGCAGATAATCCATTCTCTTACTGAAAGGCATTTGGGAGTTTTTACCTTTTTTCATATTCTGATGCTATGAATATTCCTGTCTCCTTTGTACATGTGAAATTTTCCACAGGGTCTTAGATTATGAACAGGGGTGACAGTCAAAATATTTAACAACTGGTAATGCACAGATCTTAGCTGGTTCTCCTTCCCCACAAACACCCTGACACAATTTCTTACATGCAGTTGGTTTATTTTGGGAGATGATTCCAATGAACTGGAGTGGGAGACGGCAAGCGTGAAACACGAAGGAGGAAAAGCCAACCCCATGTGTTATGGGTTACTGAGATGTGTTACTGAGATGATCACTGCTGGAGGCTACTGAGGCTTGATCCTGGACGGGACTCTCCAAGAAGTTTTGAAGAGCATACTTCAAAACTGTCCACTTGAAGGACAGAAGAGGGGCATATTTACACACTGGCTCCCATCCTCACTGTGAAAAAGTTGCTCTGTCGGGTGTCAACTCTCTAGTACTTCAAGGTTTGGACATGGGTGAAAATAACAGAGCAAGTTCAGACAAGTATTCCAAGCTGAGAGGCAAGGAAATCCTAGTCCAGAACAGGAGATATGGTAAGGCACAATGAGGCAAGGTGTTGTCAGCATACACCGGGGCAGCTGATTGCTGCAACAAGTGGAATAAAAAGGTGGGCCAAGATGATAGGAAGTGGGGCAAGAGGTGACCAAAACTGATATAAATAATTGAGTGATAAATTAATGGAGGATAAGAGACAGCTCTTCCATACAGTAGAATTCAATTAATAAATAAAAAGGCATAATGGAAATAGAAAATCACCATTACTAGGCACTCAACACCGGAATGATTGTTGCAGGAGAAAACTATCCATGGACACTAAAACTAGTGAGTGAAAAGTGTGATGGCAAACAGGATATTTACATGGTCTCAAAGTATCTTCTCAGAAAATTCTTATTAACTACTAAAGAAAAATAGTAACCTTAGAGTGGAGAAATCTGGAAGACACTATCTTAATCTATCTTAATCAAGTGATCAATGTTAACATCATCGGTAATAAGACACAGGGATATAGCTTCATGATAGGATGCACTGAGAAGTCCACAATATCACTTCTGCAGTATTTTAACAAAAGTGCAAAACCTCAATCTACACACAATAAAAAATCAGGCCAAGCCAAAGTGAGGAACATTCTATAAAATAACTGCCAGTACACTTCAAAAATGTCAAGGCCATGAAAAAAATAGACTGAGGAACTATCTCAGATTGGAGGAGACTAAGGAGACATGAAAATTAAATACAATGTGGGATCCTGGACTGAATTCTGAACGAGAAAAAGGACATCACTCAGAAAACAGGCAAAATTCAAATAAGGTCTGTAGATTAGTTAAGACCACTGTATCAATGTGAATTTCCTGATTCGAGTAATTGTATTATGGTTATACATGATGTTAATTAGGAGAAGCTAATGAAAAGGGAACTGTGTACTATTTTTACAACTTTTCTGTAACTCTAAAATTGTTTCAAAACAAAAAGTTAACAATTAAATACCAGGGGATCTTATTAAAATACAGATTCTCATTCAGTAGGTCTGGGATAAGGCCTGAAATTCTGCTTTTCTAAAAAGCACCTAGGTGATGTTGAGACTGCTGGTCCCAATGACATATTTGAGTAGCAAGACTTTGTTTCCCCCAGTTGTACTGAGGTATAACTGACATGGAATAAACTGTACATAAAGTGAACAATGTGATGAGTTTTGATGTATGCATATACCCATGAAACCATTGCCACAATCAAAATAATGAATTTATTATTGGGAGATAATTCTAAATAGGTTTCTCATTTCTGTTTGTGTTACAAGCACAGACACTGACTTTTGTTGTAAGACAGAGATGGTGTCTCCCTCCACAGCAGAGGGCAGTTTTGTCCAACGATCAAACATCATGATAATAATTTTCCTCTGGGACAAGCATCAGAGAGGTTTACTTCCAATCTATTAAGAAAGATTCAGGTTTCCTGAGCCTGAGGTTCTTCAGCTTTACCACAAACCACTGCATTCACAGGATTAACCTGAAATGCTCCTCACAGGACTTAGGAGGCAAGGAGAACCAACGTAAATATGAAGATAATTGATGCTTGCTATGTTATGAGTAATAAAGTCTTTAATCCCTGAGGCAGGAGTCTCATATCTTTTGTCATCAGTACAGGTTGAGCACCCCAAATCCAAAACTCTGAAATCCTAAATGCTCTTAAATCTGACATTTTTAATTAAAACATTTTTATTACTAGAGACAGCATGTTGCTTGCCCAGACTGGAGTGTGGTGACATGATCATATCTTACAGTGAACTCCTGGGTTCAAGTGATCCTCGGGCCTCAGTCTTCCAAGTAGCTGGAACTACAGGCATGACCATCATGCCTGGCTGATTTTCTTATTTATTTTTTTTTTTAGTAACAAGATTTTCCTATGTTGCCCAAGCTGGTGAGGCTTTTTAAGCACTGACATGATGTGTGAAGGAAATGCTCAGATCTGGGTATCAGATTTCAAGTTTTCAGATTTTGGATGCTCAATTGGAAAGTATATATAATAAAAATATTCCAAAATCAAAAAAAAAATCTTAAACCCGAAATACTTCCGATCCCCAGCACTTCAGATAAGGGATACTCAACCTGTATCTATAAAACTGTGGGAGGCTAACTTGTTAGCTTCCAAAGTAGAGTAAAATTTCAGACTCTTCTCAGTTCTTGACGGTGTTTGGTGATGAAGATTGGGATGCTAATAGAAATAATGGCTTTCTGGAAGAGAGAAGACAAGGGCTCCCATGGGCTGGGTGAAAGGATATGAGAACTCCCTGGGATCTGGTAGCAAATGTTCTTGCTCAAGTGGTGGGCAAGGGGGAAGGAAAATTTGGCAAATCTAATGTATTTGCCTTATAATCTCCTTTTTTTTTTTTTTTTTTTTTTGAGACAGGGTTTCCCTCTCATGCCTCAGGATGGAATGCAATGGCGTGATCTTGGCTCACTGCAACCTCAGCCTCCCAGGTTCAAGCGATTCTCCAGCCTCAGCCTCCCGAGTAGCTGGGATTACAGGCATGCGCCATCATGCCTGAATAATTTTTGTATTTTTAGTAGTGACAGAGTTTCACCATGTTGGCCAGGCAGGTCTTGAACTCCTGACCTCAAGTGATCCTCCCACCCTGGCCTCCCAAACTGCTAGGATTACAGGCATGAGCCACCACTTCCAGCCTAAGCTCCACCTCTTAATGGGTTCTGTTTCTTTCTAAAGAGCAAAAAATACACGAATACTCAATATTATCATCATTTCTTTTTTTCTACAATTTCTTTTAAATAAAACCCATTCTTCAAAATTATTGCTACAAAATAACCAGAGAAACTTCAGCAACGTCAGCTCCACATATCTCCATAATGTCCCCCGTTCCTTGTCCTCTTCAATAGACTAATATTACTTTGAACAGGAAAAAAAAACAACATATGACAAAACCAAAACCTCTTCCTTTCTTCAAACAACTCAATGTTCATCATTCTTCTACTATGAATGTTCATACATCTTCTACTATGAAATAGTACCCTGGGCTCATGAGAGACTCCACTATGGTCAAGGAATGGAATCCAGATTATCTGACTGAATCTTCCACCCATATAGATGTCACTAAATATGTGTGTGAACTCAAAGCAAATAACAGAGAAACACAATATAAAAATGGCTTTAATATACCAACGTACAGATTATTCAGTTCCATTGTAATTTCCCAAATAATTTTAGATTATAATTTTCAGAAAGGATTTTTAACATCTGCTAGGCTAATTCCATCATATTAGTATATGAAATTATCTTTTCTCCAGTTATTTATAATCTTTCTAAATATTTTAAAATACAGTATATTTTCACAACAAATTTTATTTTCCCCACAACAAAGAATTATCCCACTTCTCTAGTAATTTCCATCGTGCAAGAATGTAGAATATAGACTAATAAGCCTAAATAGGATCTAAAAAGGCAAGTTACCTAAAACCCTTCTTGTCTAACCATATTAAGGCCCAAGTTTACCTAGAGTCACAATTGTAGTTAACAAGTGCTATTTCTCTGGTTGTTTTTTGTTGTTGTTGTTGTTGTTTTTGTTTTTTTTTTTTGAGATGGAGTCTCACTCTGTCACCCAGGCAGGAGTGCAGTGGCGCGATCTCAGCTCACTGCAAGCTCCGCCTCCTGGGTTCATGCCATTCTCTTGCCTCAGCCTCCCGAGTAGCTGGGAGTACAGGCACCCGCCACCACGCCTGGCTAATTTTTTGTATTTTTAGTAGAGACAGGGTTTCACCATGTTAGCCAGGATGGTCTCGATCTCCTGACCTCGTGATCCGCCAGCCGTGGCCTCCCAAAGTGCTGGGACTACACGTGTGAGCCACCATGCCCGGCCTTGTTTTTGTTTTTGCCAAGTTTCACCATGTTGCCCAGGATATCCTCAAACTCCTGGGCTCAAGTGATTCTCCAGCCTCAGCCTCCTGAGTAGCTGGGAATAGAAGAGCATGCCACTGTGTCTGGCTTCTCTGTGACTTTCTTAATGTGCAGAAACCAAAACAGGTAATAGTATTTAATAAGAATGTCCTGGTAATTTTTTTTAAATCTAAAAGTAGACAAAAAGGGAAGGGAAAAATTCATATGCAGATGAAAAATATTCTATTACTGTGGATCCTTGATTTTTTGTATAGATCTTAACAATGATTTATGAGGTTCTCAATGACAATTTAATAAAACTGCAAAATTCATTAAGAGCATCACAGAAGGCCAGGCACAGTGGCTCACATCAGAGAAATAAGATTATGAATTTACTGAGGCATACAAATTGGAATCTACATTTACCATCTTGTACAAATAGGAAAGTTTCTAATAACTTATTAACAAAATCATTCTGAAACCTTTACACAAATCAGCCTGCTTTAAATAAAAAGGTTAGAAACATTATGATAACTATGTACAAAGTATATATCTGTATACTCTAACATTCTAAATAAAGGTATCTTTGAAAATTTACTATTATACAGTATTAGTACCATACTCTATAATGAGCAAAGAAAGAATATGAGAACTCTTGGGCTCAGTACAGTGTAAATATGTTCAAAATGCTATACACATTTTGCCTGGAAAGATTTAAAAAATCCCACATAATCACATAAACCACTGGACTGACTTTTAAAAACTTTAAAAAAGATATTTAAAGATATGGCTCATTAAGCAAACATTTAGTGATCATATCTCACTGCAGCCTCGAACTCCTGGGCTCAAGTGATCCTCCTGCCTCAATTGGCAAATGGGCAAAAGATATGAACAGATATTTCACTGAAAAGGATAAACAGAATGGTTGAAATAAGAAATAGTGACAACACCAAATGCTGGCGAGCATGCAGAGAAACTGGATCACTCATACATTCCTGGTGGGAATGTAAGATGGTATAGCCAGTCTGGAAAACAGTTTGGCTGTTTCTTATAAAGATAAGATTCATTTAAATGGGAGTCTCTATATCATTTGTTTCCTAAACATCACGGGTATCTATCTAAACACAGCCATTTTATAACAGATCAAATTTATAGTAAAGTGGGGAAAGACAGTAGAAATAGAATAACAGAGAATTTCAGAAATATCTGATTTTGCAAGCACCTGTTTCTGTCCTTCCCACTCCAAGATCATTCCTGCATTCCTCTAGGAACAAGGGTCCCATGGGAATATGATACAGCCAATGACTTAGGTGCCAATAGATGCTGGTGCCAAAATATTTATGGCTATGAGGCTTCAAAACTTAAAAAAAAAAAAAAGATTCCTTTTACTTGGAAAGGGGATTTAAAAAGAAAAAACCACCAACACGATTTTGAATCATCTATTTAACTTTTTTAGATTACCCATTTTGACTGGTTCGAACCAGAAGACCTGGCTTTGGGTTTACAATAAGACGATTCTGGGACCAAGTAGGTTGTAAAGGCCCAAGGTATGTTTGGGGCTTTCTCTCTCTCTCTCTCTCTCTCTCTTTTTTTTTTTTGAGACAGAGTCTCGCTCTCTCACCCAGGCTGGAATGCAGTGGCCCAATCTCGGCTCACTGCAACCTCCACGTCCCGGGTTCAAGCAATTCTCCTGTCTCAGCCTCCCAAGTCGCTGGGACCACAGGCACATGCCATCAGGACTGGCTAATTTTTGTATTTTTAGTAGAGATGGGGTTTCACCATATTGATCAGGCTGGTCTTGAACTCCTGACCTCAGGTGATCCACCCGCCTTGGCCTCCCAAAGTGCTGGGATTACAGGCGTGAGCCACTACACCTGGCCTTTTTCTCTCTTTTTTTAAATTGAGATGGGTGGGGTCTCACTATGTTGCCTAGGCTGGTCTCGAACTCCTGAGCTCAAGCGATCCTCCCGCCTTGGCCTCACAAATTGCTGGGATTACAGGTGTGAACCACCACGCTTATCCTGGGGCTTTTAATTCTTACTGAAAATCATAGTCTAAATTTCCCAAAGGGATTCAGAATCCTTTGGGGTACATTCAAGTCTTCTAGGCCATCTCTGGGATGACTCTAGAATAACTTAAAGTCAAAGAACTCCAGGGTATATCTACATCTCTCCTCAAATAATTACAAAATTCTTGCAAGATTCCTGGGCTGGACTGTTTTAAATTAAAGACTGGTCCCTTACAGGAGGGGCTATTTATGAAGTTCCTTCCCTATAGCACCAGAGTGTTTCGCACTCTTAAAATTCAATCTGTTAGTCATCTGCAGTCAAATATATAAAACCTGTGAAGAGAAAGGCTTCAATTAAAGCTTAAAAAGTTAATATATCTATGTGTATTTACAGACATGTGTCTCTACACAAATAGTTTTTCAAATATATAAACATATTAAGAATTTTATTTTATTTTATTAAGACAGGGCCTTGCCCTGTTGCCCAGGCTGGAGTGCAGTGGCACAATCATAGCTCATAGCACCCTCAAACTCCTGTGTTCAAGCGATTCTCCTGCTTCGGTTTCCTGAGTAGCTGGGACTACAGGGGCATACCACCACACCTGGCTAATTTAAAAAAAATTTTTTTGTAGAGACAAGGTCTCACTTTGCTGCCCAAGCTGTAACTGAACTCCTGGCTTCAAGTGATCCTCTGGCCTCAGCCTCCCAAAGTGCTGGGATTACAGGCATGAGCCACTGTACTTGGCCAAAAATTTTAAATAAACAACATGAGGATTCTAGCTCTCACTACAGAGTAGTTCTTCTTTTGTTTTTTTGTTTTTGTTTTTGTTTTTGTTTTTTTGAAATGGAGTTTAACTCTTGTTGCCCAGGCTGGAGTGCAATGGCGCGATCTCGGCTCAACCGCAACCTCTGCCTCAGGGGTTCAAGCGGTTCTCCTGCCTCAGCCTCCTGACTAGCTGGGATTACAGGCATGTGCCACAACGCACAGCTAATTTTTTTGTAGTTTTAATAGAGATGGGGTTTCTCCATGTTGGTCAGGCTGGTCTCAAGCTACTAACCTCAGGTAATCCGTCCTCCTTGGCCTCCCAAAGTGCTGGGAAGAGTATAGTTCTTCTTAATCCAACAAAAAAGTATTTTACTCACAACAAATATAAATTGCCCCCATCAACAAATGTATGTAATATCAAGGATAACGTGTACAAACAAAGTTGCACTAACAAAGTAAAAATTTATCCCACATACATGAAAGCACAGTGCTAAGTTCTGGGGAAGCAGACAGTTTCTGCTTTCAGGGAGCTTCCAGTCTGGTAGAGATTTACACAGAAGGCAGATTAAAGAGAATGATGATCTCCTTTGTTCAGAGATAAAAAGGAAGCAAAAAAGCAGGTCAAATCAAAGATGATCTGCAGAATACATTAACCCTACACTGAAATCATGGACCTACTCCAGTAATTAAGGCTGCAGAGGTGGGGCTGGGTGGATGAAAACATCAGAAGACAATTACAGCATGAGATATTGATTGATTGATTGATTGATTGATTGAGACAGGGTCTCACTTTGCCACCCAGGCTAGAGTACAGTGACACCAACTTGGCTCACTGCAGCCTCCACCTCCTGGAGCTCAAGTGATCTTCCCACCTCAGCCCCCTAATTAGCTGGGACTATATGTGTGTGTCACCACACCCAGCTAATTTGTGTATTTTTTGTAGAGATAGGGATTCGCCAGGTTGCCCAGGCTGGTCTCAAACTCCTGAGCTGAAGTGATCCGCCTGCCTTGGCCTCCCAAAGTGCTAGGATTACAGGTGTGAGCCACTGTGCCCAGCTGAGATTTATTTTTTCTTTATTAATCAGCAAAATAGATACCCTATTTATTTCAAGATACGATTAACTAATTTTTTTGCTAACAACCATTTCCTAAGGTAAAATGAGGCAGAAAGAAAAGGAGTATGACACTATATTCACTGAGTCTTCGATTTTCTTCTAACAGCCTGTATCAGTGGCTCTCAACTGGGGGCAATTTTGCCTCTCAGAATGGCAATGTTTGAAGACATTTTTGGCCATAACAACTAGGGGGATGGTACTTGTAGCTAGAGGGCAGAGGTCAGGGATATTGCTAAACATCCTATAAAGTACAGCATAGCATCCCAAAATAAAGATTTATCCAGTCCAAAATGTCAATGCTGAGATTAGGAAACCATGCCATGGTTGGATAAAAAAGATGAAAAAATCAGTATGTCTATAGTATAAAAGCAATTAGTAGCACTTTAAGATAGATTGAACAGGAACATTCTCTTCCTTTATCAGACAGTTGCAGACCTTCTAAAAATATCTGATAGATCTATAATGGGAAAATAAAACATGCTGAGAAGTAGCACAAATTTTTCTAAACTTCAAATATTAGCATACAAATGAAAAACAAACTTGGAAGACAGAAAGGACAAGCCAGGCATGGTGGCTCACGCCTGTAATCCTAGCACTTTGGGAGGCCGAGGTGGGTGGGTCACAAGGTCAGGAGTTTGAGACCAGCCTGGCCAACATGGTAAAACCCTGTCTCTACTAAAAATACAAAAATCAGCTGGGCGTAGTGACGTATACCTGAAATCCCAGCTACTTGGGAGGCTGAGGCAGGAGGACTGCTTGAGCCCAGGAGAGGGAGGTTGCAGTGAGCCGAGATCATGCCACTGCACTCCAGCCTGGGCAACAGAGCATGACAATGTCTCAAAAAAAAAAAAAAAAAAGAAAGGACAATTTTGTTGCTCAATTGATCTTATCAACTGTTTCTGCAACCACAAAAGCAAATGTGGTCATGTTTCTGATTTTAGTTAAGTCCAAAAATATTTATTAAAGTCTTATCACTAAAAATGGCCACAAATATTAAAAATAAAATATTAGTTTTTAGATTCACAGAAGAAAAAAATAGCCACTGACACTTGAGGAGATGCTCAATTCCGATGAGGGACATTCAAAGTTACTTTCCAACATTATCTGAAAAGTATTGATCCTTTTTTTTTTTTTTTGAGACGCAGTGTCGCTCTGTTGCCCAGGCTACAGTGCAGTGGCATGATCTTGGCTCACTGCAACTTCCACCCCCCAGATTCAAGCAATTCTCCTGCCTCAGCCTCCCGAGTAGCTGGGATTACAGGCTTGCACCACCACATCCAGCTAATTTTTGTATTTTTAGTGGAGACAGGGTTTCACCGTGTTTGACCAGGTTGGACTCCTGACCTCAAATGATCCGCCCACTTCAGCCTGCCAAAGTGCTGGGATTACAGGCATGAGCCACTGCACACAGCCCAAAGTATTTATCCTTTATTTTGTGGTTATATGTTGGGAAAGAAGAACGTGGAAAAGAAGTGAACTAACAAATTTTCAGGTATTAATATTACAATTCAGTACATTCTGACAAAAAGAATTATTTCCTATGAAATTACACCCATTGGCTGGGTGCAGTGGTTCACGGCTGCAATCCCAGCACTTTGGGAGGCCAAGGTGGGAGGATCACTTGAGGCCAGGAATTAAAGACTACCCTGGGCAACACAGCAAGACCCTGTCTCTACAAAAAAAGAAAAAGAAAAAAAAATTACACCCACTGAGAAACAGAATGTGTAACAGTAAAACAACAGAGCAGCTTCCATGTGATTTTGATAGGAAAGCTTTAATTGGTGACTAAGCTTTGTAAAAAGGATGTAAACAGGGGAAAGAATGAAAAGAATAAGATTTATCTACATAATGAAGTTTGACTTTTTACAGTAAATAAAATACCTATTTATTAATATTTCCAAATATTAATTAGATTTAATAATACTATATATTTGTTACAATGCCTTCATCAGAAAATTTAATAATTAAGAAGATACTTGAAGTTCATTCAAATGGCACTTGCAGAAATGCAACTTAATTTCTAGTTCTATCATATCTGTCTCCAAAATGGACATATATGACAGCAAAAACAAAATTCTCTATAAATCTCTCCATTAGTTACATTACTATGTAACTAAAATAGCTAGTTCTATAATAAAAGGATTTTATGTGCCAAATCCTGACCAAGAGAGAAATAAAGTCATTATTGCTGCAAATCCAAATGGAACCTAACCCAAATGTAGGGAGGGGCAAATAAAGTGAAAACATGTTGGAAGGTGGGGTCAACTGCCTTAGGACAATTCTACATCCAGCTTGACACTACTCACGACTTACTCCTCCTCACTGTTTCTTCCAAGAAAGTCTAAGCATGTGAAACTGTCCTTGTTGCTCCCTGTGGATCTCTGGCTGAGTGGCTAAAGGGCAATCCTGAGCATAGACACACTCTCCTCCCTTCTATCAGCTGTCCCCCACACATACTCACAGGGATGAGTAGACTGAACAAACATCAAAAAGACGCAGGAACAAATAAAATACCCCAATAAAGGCAATTCTTAAGTGGTCAATAAATTAGGGCACTTCTTCAAATTAAGCTCTGTCAATTAGGCACTTAATAAAAACAAAAGACATTTATACAAGCATCTAAATAACAAAGAAAGATAAAGAACAAGAGAAAGACAAGATTTATGTTAACTACCAGCATGTTATACTTCAGCCAGAAGTTTTTGAAAGAAACGTTATTTGAGAAGGAAAATAAGTAGTATTTTTCTGTTTCTTAAAAATCAATATTCTTTCTAGTTCATTAACTAAAATTAGTTTTTCAGTGTTTTCAACATAGAAAGAATGCTCAGATTTTGGTTGAACAAGGAAAAATTAAGGCAGTGTCTTTAAGACCAGTAAAGGAAAGCATTAACTATCTCATAAGCTTATCTGAGAGGGACATATTAAGCTCATATTTGGATATAATATTAGGAAATTATGGCTTTAAACATAAAATATTAATGTTTCAAAATTCCACATTTTCTCAGTTATTCTTTCTTTTTAGCTATATGTACTTCAAATAGCCCACTTAAAGAATTAAAGAAATACGTTTCACATAATTTTGGAACAATATGTGCATGGTACTTGACCCAGAACTATTAGCTTGGATGGTAAATCATTATGTTCCTATGTACCACTGACCCAGTATAAAAAGGAAGAGGACCCATAACTGTCAAAATGTGGTTGGAAATGACTAATGTCCTTTGGAATTTGCTACAAAATAGAAGATATAAAGTTTTGAGGTATTGCTGCCTTACCATGGTTTAGGGGAAAAAAATAAGAGTTTTTTGTTCCGTTTTGTTTTTTTAAAAGCAATGCTTCTTAAGTTATGAAGCTTATTTAAAATTTTCTCCTCTTAGTCATTGTCATATGGGTTATCCCTGAGCTTCATCTCATCTGCACGTCACATAAACCAGCTACCTATGGTTTTGATCATTTCATTTAGTGTTATGTCTTGTTATACCAATTCATGGAGCGTTTCACTGCTTTGGCCCAGTTTTCCAGACTCATTTCATATTCTTGACATTTCTTCTGTGGCTTGAAAACCACTTCACTTTGTCTCAGTTTCTTTAGTTCCTCCTTGTCAGTCCAAAACCCTATAGATAAAAAAATTATCCTCAAATTTTAAGGCAAATCATGAGTCCAATAAAGTTTATCCAAAAACCTATACGAGTTGCTGGTAGAAAGGTAAACAAAAACTATTTTTAAAACAATCCAAAATACTTTGTTACTTTTGAATTTTGTTAGATCGATCATTCCTGAAAATAATTATACCAGTATTTTCAAGTCTTTTGGTTTCTAACTTTCAGCTCAGTTTCTGTGTGGTGGGACACCACATCACTTCTAAAGCAGCTACCCTATGCCATCATTTAATTTCATAACTTGCTATTATTAAAACAATCCCAAGTGAAAAACAGTATATTTTCTGGCCAGGCACAGTGGTTCATGCCTGCAATCCCAGTGCTTTGGGAGACTGAGGAGGGGAGACCACTTGCTTAGGAATTCAAGGCTGCAGTGAGCTATGATTATATCACTGCACTCCAGCCTGAGTAACAGAGAAAGACCCTGTCTCTAAAAATAGAAAAACAGAAGAAAAAAAAAGAGAAAGAAATAGGATATTTTCTTTTTTATGCAATTACAATAAATGAAGACAAATTAAGATTTTTGTCTTACAGCTTAAGGTAAATGTCAACTTTCTGGAATATGCATAAAATTCAAAGTTGGAGATTAATGTAATAGTTTCTCTTTCAAACTATAGCCTTTTATATAATTTATTTAAATTCCAGTTTAAGATAATTTTGTAGTTCTAGCATAGACTGCTCTTTGAAGGAAGGATCATATGATATATAATAAAAAGCAAGAGAACTTTTTTTTTTTGAGACAGAGTCTCTTTCTGTCACCCAGGCTGGAGTAGAGTGGTGCGATCTCAGCTCACTGCAACCTCCACCTCCCGGGTTCAAGCAATTATCCTGCCTGGGCCTCTCGAGTAGCTCGGACCATAGGCACGTGCCACCACGCCCGGCTAATTTTTTGTACTTTTAGTAGAGACGTGGTTTCGCCATGTTGGCCAGGCTGGTCTCAAACTCCTGGCCTCAAATGATCCGCCCTCCTCAGCCCCGCAAAGTGTTGGGATTACAGGTGTGAGCCACAGCACCAGGTGAGAACATTTATAACTAAGATCATAAGTAGTCTGAAATGATACAGGTATCTTATTAGTAAGCTTGGCACATTTCACCTACTGAGAGGTCTATCACACCTCTTTTGAAGTACCAAAAGTCTACAAATCTTCATGAAGTACATTTTTTCTTACCAATAAAACTGACACATTAAATTCTCCTTTCTAAAATTTTGTCAGGTCATATTCTTTTTATTTACAGTCAACATTTTAGACCATCTATGTTTAAAGGTATTAATGTAGGCCAGGTGTGGTGGCTCATGCCTGTAATCCCAGCACTTTGGGAAGCCGAGGCGGGCAGATCATCTGAGGTCAGGAGTTTGAGATCACCTTGGGCAATATGGTGAAACCCTGTCTCTACTAAAATATAAAAAATTAGCTGGGCGTGGTGGCACGCGCCTATAGTCTCAGCTACTTAGGAGGCTGAAGCACGAGAATCACTTGAGCCCAGGAGGCGGAGGTTGCAATGACCCGAGATCGCACCACTGCACTCCAGCTTGGGCTACAGAGTGAGACTCCATCTCAAAAAAAAAAAATTTTTAATTAAAAATAAATAAAGGTATTAATGTAGACAAGTTTTTAAAAGAAAAACATAGTTTTCATCAGTATACTATAGTTAGATAAATCTAGTCAGGAAAATAAATGTGTTTCTTAAAATCCTCATTTCCAGAATTTATTGTTTACATTTTAAGACATATATATTTTAAGACATTTTATTAAGTATGTATAGAGCAAATCCAATTTCTGGGTAAATTTATAAAATACAGAGGATATACATAGTCTCACATTTCTGAGACAGAAGCAAATATCTGAAATTAAATATAATGATGTAGATAAAACTCAAGTCACTGTGTTATGTATAAAAATAACCTGCATGTGGGGCTGGGCGCAGAGGCTCACGCCTGTGATCCCAGCACTTTGGGATGCCAAAGCGAGTGGATCACCTGAGGTCAGGAGTTTGACACTAGCCTGGCCAACATGGCGAAACCCCATCTCTACTAAAAATACAAAAATTAGCTGGGCATGGTGGCGGGTGCCTGCAATCCCAGCTACTTGGGAGGCTGAGGCAGGTGAATCGCTTGAACCTGGGAGGAGGAGGTTTCAGTGAGCTGAGATTGCGCCATTGCACTCCAGCCTAGGCAACAGAGGGAGACTCCATCTCAAACAAAACAAAACAAAACAAAACAAAACAAAAACCCTGCATGTGTTTGTTACTTAAAGCATTTTAAATGTTCAAGAGAATCTGACTTATTTAGTCTTATAAGGTGAAAAGTGTAGAAGAATTTGATTAACATAAGTATAAAAATGCTTATGAGACCTTGATATACTATAATTATAGCTTAATTTATTCAATTTGTTTGTTGTTTAAGTATTCGTGATTTACCTTGTTACAGTTCTAAGTTTGCTCAATCAGGCACGTGAAAGTAATAAGAGGAAAATCAAACATACTAAATTTACAGGAGTTGGAATATGAAGGAGTTCAAATTTGCAAATGGGATTGATTAAGGGAAAGTTTATTTTCTTCAACTTCAATCAAACGTTAATCAATGAACAAATGAAAGTAACTTTCAATTTTATTCAAAATTACCAGATTTTTAGTAGAATCAAGTTTAAGCCGAATTTACCAAGATTTTAGGCTTTTTGTAACTTTAATGTACTATTAGCCTAAAACTTTTAAATGTAAAATATCTTATTTTGTACCAAGCATCCCCCAGAAAGAAACACATTAAAATACTCTGAGTATCCTAAGGCATCATCCTGCTTTCTAGGGGGCCCTTTAAATTGACATGCCTACTTTCATTCTTATTCCTCCTCACTGATCTTTTCACTAATTGTCAAAGCGATCTGTTCAAATGCAGATCTTTCTATGGTCCCCACCCCCCCACCCCCGGTTAAAATTCTTTAGTGGCTCTCCAGTGCCTTCAGGATCAGGTCCGAACTCCTCTTTATGAGGAGTCACCACAACTACACCTCTATGTACCTCTCCCACTCCCTTCTTGCTCTCACCATAACAGTACTTCCCATCATTGATGAATGCCTTTGCACAAGTTGCAATAGGGATATTGAGCCAACCATCTCTTACCCTCTCCTCACCTGACTCTCTGCTAGCCCCTTCAAAATTGAACCATATGTGATCTCCTCTGGGAAGCCTAGACCACTTGCTTATTAACACTGTCACTGTTCACTGGCTTTATCAGACAAACTTAATAATCACTTGACTTACCTGTCTCCTCCCACCAGGAATCAGAGACTATGGCTTTTAATCCCTTTATTGCCAGCAGTGATTGTCATGTAGCAGGTGCTCCACAAACGTTGTTCAATAAATAAAAGAATGGAGTGGTTTCTAATGCCATAGGCAAACCTACTGACAAAGTTTCCTCCTTGACCAAACTCCACTCAGGCTCCTCCAAGCTCTTTTCCAACTAGGCCTCAAGGCCTCAACTTTTGGACTTCCATGGTCATCTCTGCATTATCTAATTTGAGCAAGAATACTGCTAAATTAGTGTAGCCCATCCTCAATTTCTGATCAACCTCGATATCTCATCCTCCAGTATCCTCCAGATGATATCTGATCACCCTGGCCTGCCTTCCTGAGAATGTTATTAGGTTGGTTAGCAAGAATTTCCCCTTACCTCAATGTTTCCTCTTAGTAGTTTTCCATCCACTGACTCTCACTCTGCTCTTTGGCTATAATTTCTCACTTTTCCTTATTGTATTCAAAGTTGAGCCTAAATTCTCTCTCCCACCATAAGATCCCACTGAAGTAGTCCCTATACCTATTCTTGATAGTCCTCCAGAATAAAGCCCACCTTACTGTTCTTTTTTTTTTTTTTTTTTTTGAGACAGAGTCTTGCTCTGTCACCCAGGATGGAATGCAGTGGCACCATCTCGGCTCACTGCAACCTTCGCCTTCCCAGGTTCAAGCAATTCTCCTGTCTCAGCCTCCCAAGTAGTTGGGATTACAGGCATGTGCCACCATGCTCAGCTAATTTTTGAACTTTTAGTCCAGAAAGGGTTTTGCCATGTTAGCCAAGCTGGTCTTGAACTCTTGACCTCAGGTGATCCACCCGCTTCAGCCTCCCAAAGTGCTGGGATTACAGGCATGAGCCACTGCACCTGGCTCACCTTATTGTTCTTTAATAAGTGTCACTGAATAATTTTTTTCTTTAACACTATCTATCCAGAAAGTTTACCCAGAGACTGTCTGTTGCTAGAGACTGACGCAGCTGAGAATTAACTGTTCTTGTCTCATACTTCTGACTGAAGGGGTGAGGTGAGGATAGAAGAGGTGCAACCAGACTCACCAACAGAGGAGGTCACAGGATATTTTGTGAGTAATATGCATATGTGTATGGAGTTTAATGGACGCCAAGGCTTTCCAGACTCTCTAGAATTTTGTAATTTGAGAGGAGAAATGCTATCTGTAAGGAAGAGTTTGCAAGAAAACTCTCATTCTTATAAATTTCACACATACCAACAGCAAGGCCAGCTAGAGAAGCTGCACCCAGGCATGACATGTCAATGTCGGCAGGTCTGTCTATATTCTCATTAATCAGGTCTGAAGTCATCTGCATGACAAAACCATTCTTACAAACTCCTCCATCTGCCCTGTGGGGAACAAAATATGTAAGATGAATTACTACAACAAAAGTATCATTCTTTTTCAGTGGGCCACATTTTTTTCCTGAAATCCTTGATTTTATTTTATAAATTTTACTTTTTAATTCTAAAATTAAATCACTTAGCATTAACCTAATGACAGAGAACCTTACTGGGTAATCTTTAAACATTTTCCTTATTTCTGCCACCAATTTTCTCACCTGTCCTTGTTTGTCTTAGGACTAGTTCAAAACAAGCCAGGTATAATAAACTAAGGCAACATAAAAATTCACTTAGATATTACAGAAAAGAAAGTCGAGAAGTTTGATGCTTACATGCCCAAAGGATATACACCCAAAAAAGAGATTTTAAAAATTGATATACTACACATATGGGTGCCAAGATGCACCCAAATTTGATATTGTATTATATTCTCCATAAATCCACAATTAGCTCTCCTTTCCTCTCTGAATTCCTATGACCAAGAATTTTGTTGTAGCTGGGCGCGTTGGCTCACACCTGTAATCCCAGCACTGTGGGAGGCTGAAGAGGGCGGATCACCTGAGGTCAGGAGTTCAATACCACCCTGGCCAACATGGCGAAACCCCATCATTACTAAAAATACAAAAAAATTAGCTGGGCGTGGTGGTGCATGTCTGTAGTCACAACTACTCGGGATAGTGAGGCATGAGAATCACTTGAACCCAGGCAGTAGAGGTTGCAGTGAGCCGAGATCATGCCACTGCACTCCAGCCTGAGTGACACAGCAAGACTCTGTCTCGATAAAAATACAAATTAAAAAAAAAAGAATTTTGTTGTGAAGGAGCTAAGCAGAAATTATTTTTGAAATCCTCAATAATCATAAAGATGAATTATTCAGGATCTAAAAAAGAAATGAGTGGTAGCTCATAGCAGCTACCACTTACTTCTAATTTCTAATTAAGTCTATTAGAAATAAACTTTACATACCGGATTTTTCTTACAGGAATATGAATCTCTTTCTTCATCATCTCATATAACTGTTTGTTTCTAGTTAAAAAACAAGATAACTATTTATAAGAAATTCATATCATAATAATTCACTACTTTATTCTGATCTTGAAAAATACAAACTATAGTTTTATTTATTTGATATTTATAAAATGTACAAAACAAAATATTAAAGAAATAAATTGTGCTAAATGGAAACTGTATAACAGATACTCAAATAAGCAAGAAGCGCAGGTCCTTGTGTTTTTTTTGCCTTCATGTAAGAAGGCATAATTTATATTTTACAACTAAATTTTATCTATTACCATTCTACAAAGAAAAATTTAAAACAAGCATCTATTTAATAGATAGCTATTAAGATGACAAACCATAAGTAAAATCTAATAGAATTCATCAAATATAAAAACAATTACTTTGTAATCACAGAAAATTTTATTTTAAATGTTACAAACATCCCATATTCATGACAGCATCATTCTTAATTTTAATAATTAACACCTGTCTCATAACAAAAAGATTACAGGGAAATATGCAGAAGAATAATTCTGATGACTCAATTTTGGGGTACAACAGAAGCATTATTACTTGGAATTATCTTTCATGAATAAGGATACTAAACCTTTGAAAATCCAAATTTTGAATCTTGCATGCTTAAGAAATTGAATTTTTTAAAAAAATCCTTCAATTTTCAGATATCAAGTCTGAGTGGTGTTGGTACATTAAATATAAGAAAAAATAAGAAAGATACCATGGAAATTAGCAAGAAGAACATATTACATAATATATAGTATCAAATAAGCCAAAAATACAAAGAATTTAATTAAAATTAAGAAATTTTCCATTTAGTAGCAAATTAATGAAAGACATGGCAATATTCTATGGGGAAGGGGAAGTTTAGGGCAGGTTTTCATACCTGAAAGCTATTGACTCCAATATTGCTCGTACAAGATGGTATTTACTGGTAGAAGGCTTCAAACCCATAAAAGAGGCACATGCCCAGGGGTCATTTAATGGAGCCTACAGTAAGAGATAACAAGAATATATTATTATTATTCTAAATTACATCTACGGACTTGAGGAAATACTATACAACAACAACATAGCCACGTTAGAAGAAAATAATGCTATGGTTAAATAATTTTAAAATAAAAGATTATGGTAAATATTGGGATAACTTTTTAACAGCATTTAAGCGATATTGAGTCATAGTTACTGTACTTAGCTTCTGTTTGCATTTATGTCAGAAAGAGGAACTGAAGCATATAGTAACAAATTATTAAATGCTTAGCTTTATAAATGTGGAAAATGAAGAGCAATCACAGCAATCCCCCTTCTCCAGCTATAAAGTTTTTACACTAAAATTGTTTAATATGTAGAATAGCTTTCTACTTTTTACTATGTAGAATAGCTTTCTACAAAAATGTACTTTTTAGTGTCATAACTTAAATCAAATATGTTGTCAGACATTAAAACTATACTCTGGCCAGGTGCAGTGGCTCACACCTGTAATCCTAGCACTCTGGGAGGCCAAGGAGGGAGGATTGCTTCAGCCCAGGAATTCAACACTATCCTGGGCAACAAAGCAAGATACCACCTTTACAAAAAACTTTAAATATTAGCTGGGTGTGATACACACCTGTAGTTACAGCTACTTGGGAGGCTGAGGTGGAAGGATTGCTTGTGCCCAGGGGTTTGAGGCTGCAATGAGCCGTGATCGCGTTACTGCACTCCAGCCTAGGTGACAGAGTGAGACAGGGTCTAAAAAAAAAAAAAAAACACCACTACACTCTTCTCTCTTAGCTTAATAGCCTTACTGCCTAATATCAGAAATAATCCAGCCTAACATGTTCTCAAAAGAGCCAAAATGTTGAGCTGGAAGTATGTATTAATCAGATGAGGTTTCTATTCATCTTTGTATCTCCAGAAATGTAAGGCAATTCTGGGACACAAAGATGAAAAACAGGCCAGGCAGGGTGGCTCACACCTGTAATCCTAGCACTTTGGGAGGCCGACAAAGGTGGACCACTTGAGTCAGGAGTTCGAAACCAGCCTGGCCAACATGGTGAAACCCCGTCTCTACTAAAAATACAAAAAATTAGCCAGACATGGTGGCGGGCGCCTGTAGTCCCAGCTGCTCGGGAGGCTGAGGCAGGAGAATGGCGTGAACCCGGGAGGCGGAGCTTGCAGCGAGCGGAGATGGCGCCACTGCACTCTAGCCTGGGCAACAGAGCAAGACTCCGTCTCAAAACAAAAACAAAAACAAAAACAAAAACAAAAAACATGAAAAACAAAGATCCCTGCTGGAGCTTGCAGTCTCACAGTCTCACAAGGAAACAGACAAGAGTCTCACAAGAGCGCTAACACATCAAAATGGTCATTTCAAGGACATCCAGCGCTGTCAGGAAATTATGATCCTCAGAAAAAGCACCTTCTAGCTTCAGGGTTTTGACACATCATCCCTTTACCTGAAACACCTTCTACCACCCTTTCTCCTAATTAATTCTTACTCCCTTCCAAATCTTGGTTTGGCTTCCTCAGGGAAAACTCTGGACCCCAGAGACTAGATGAGGTCTCTGTTTTTATGGAACCCTGTAACTTCCCATCATACCATGCACCACAGTTTATAATCACATATTCTGCTTGATGGTTTGTTGAAACCCCACCTTCCTCAATACACTATAAGTACCACAGGGTGGAACCTTGTCCGATGTACTCCCAGTGTGTCTCTTGTGCCTAGCACTATATCTGGCTCCCCATGGGAGAACAATACACATTTGGTGAATAAATGAACAAACAATATTTTTCTTAATGACTTAAGAAATTCTATATTACATCTTATCTTTGCTATAGCTATGATTTCCCTCCTACTGAGATTTTATTTTAATTTTTCAAATCTATTAACACCTTCTGGTGATTTTAATTAGTAAAAACGTATATAGTAAATCTGGTTTATATCAGATGGTATAGTATCATAAAACTAAGATTAGTCAGATTTGGCCAGTTCAATTAGTCCCTAGCAATATGCTATGTTTTTTTCCTGCATAAATATGACTTCTTCCAGGATATCACAGAAAATACTGCTTTAACTGGCCTGAAATCTGTTTGGTGCCCTGGGCAAAACTAGTAGTCTCCTGCCCCAGAACACAGACTGCACCATTCAGACATCCTAGTCACTCACAAAACTAGAGATGGCAATCACAGGACTTGCTGGCTTCATCCCCTTCTAAGGAAACTGCTTGAATCCACAGGCCCTGTTAACTAAAGCTGCCATGTTTCATGCTCTAGTCCTAATGCCATCACCACAACTGCAGAGGGTGAGTACAGCTGACTCAGTGTCTGACTGAAACGCAAAAGGACAAGGTGGTCCAATCAGATTCTCTGCCCTGAAAACCAAAACCAGGAAACCCGAAGAAAAAGACCTCATCAATGGGGGAACTGAAGCTAAAAGGATGCATAAGGTAGAGGAAGGTTGTATGTGATATTTCTAAGTTGTGAAGAAGCAAAAAGTGTAAGAAAAATGATGACAATTAAGCAGAAGCTATGGAGGAAGAAAGGACACAGAGCAAAGCTGGTAATGAAAAGAGAAAAGCAGAACAGAGAGAAGCAGGAACCCAAAGACGCTAAGAACTGCTGTCAGTTGCTGACTGCTTTCCAATACCAGTCCTCAAGAGTATGTGGACAAACAGCTTCTCTGTCTATCCTATTACTGCCATCATCACAGTAACTCTAACGTCCAGGTAAATGACCACTGTTTCTTGCCTCTAATACCTATTTCAGTATCCCACTCCCCAAACCACGAGCCCTGCTAGAGGAAAGCCATAATGGTTGCACTAACTGATGCCACCCCCAGTGTATGGCTCCCACCCTTTCTGCCATTCCCTGAAGTGGCTGTCCTAGACTTTCCCATTTTCCTCAAAGCTCACCCAGTACCCCTTTCTCAGTAGATTCCTTTGAGAAAATGAGACTATTAGGGGCCTTCAACATCCAGATCCCAATTATCTAAAGCTGTAAAAATATTCTAAAACTAAAGGCAGTTTCACAGATACATAAACCTTCCTTCCTTTCATGCCCCATCCCTCATTTTCTCTAGTTGTTCACATAGGCAGATTATAGGTGATCTTCCCTCCTATTTTCCAAACAGTTTAGTACTAACACATTATTGCTGTTTGGTTTAACTTTCAATTTCCAGTTAAAGTTTCATTTTACACAGGGAAATACATGACCTACGGTCAACCTACCACCTCTCCCAACTGCCCTCTACTGCCAGTATATGGGCAGGTTGCAATCATGGCAGGACAGGGACATTTTGCTATCAAGAGGAAATTAAAAATCAAACCTGAGATAGTTTTGTCTAAATCTTTTGGGTTTAAAACTTAAAAAAATATACTTTATATTATTATTATTATATAATATATATAATTATTATATTATATTACAGGTATGTGAGGTGATAGAGAAGTCAAAGACAGACTTGCTAAGACAAGGTGACTACTAAGTCCTGTAGCACATTTTTCAGAGAGAAGAAAAGAACCAGTAGTTGCCTAACCAAACCTTACCTTGCTGAGGACAATTATTCATCTAACCTTTTTCCTGAAATCTCAATTAGATAAAAAATTTTCACTTTCTGGACTATGATAGGTGCTATTTAGAGGTTCCCTCACATCATCCTGAAGAGGATGCAATGGAATCAATTCACAAGCTCTCGGTCCTTTAGGATAAAGTACACAAAAATATTACAGGTATTGAAATAATGCTCATTTTAAAATCTAGTTTTGGAAGTATGATATTTTTAAAGATTTAAAACACCCTGACCTAATTTTTTTTTCTACCAGCTTCTATATTATAAACCCAAACTCAAATTTTGGACTTTTGTAACTAATTGCCTGAATATGAGATAAGCAAGAAGAAAGAGAAAGTTGTATTTTTTGAAAGGAAAAAATATTTGGAGGAGGATTAAAAATAGTATGAGCTTTCCCAAAAAAAAGTTTAGTAAACTTTAACTGAAGTATATGATAGACATATAACTTTCATAATAATATACTTGAAAAGTTGTTTTAAAAGTATTTGTAATAATATTCTAAAATTAAAGGTAGTATCAGAGATCTTTCAATTAAATACAAAGTTAAATGTTACAAAATCAAGACTTCTCCTAGGTTCATTTTTTGATTAAGCAAAGTAATCAATACTCCACCACAACAATTAATGAAAGGAGATTTTGATTTTTTTTTTTTTTTTTTTTTTTTGAGACGGACTCTCGCTCTGTCACCCAGGCTGGAGTGCAGTGGCATCTCGGCTCACTGCAACCTCCACCTCCCAGGTTCAAGCAATTCTCCTGCTTCAGCCTCCTGAGTAGCTTGGACTACAGGCACGTGCCACTATGCATGGCTAATTTTTTGCATTTTTAGTAGAGATGGGGTTTCACCTTGTTAGCCAAGATGGTCTCGATCTCCTGACCTTGTGATCCACCCGCCTCGGCCTCCCAAAGTGCTGGGATTATAGGCGTGAGCCACCGCGCCCAGCCAAGATTTTGATTTTTAAAAAAAGTTTAAAACTTACAAATGTACAAGTGCAAAATATACACATACATATACATGTGTGTGCATATGTGTGTGATGTATGTACCTTGACATTATTTATCTTAATTCTCAATGGCTTATTTCCTCTAAGTAAAGAATGCAAATTTACTGATACATTCCCCCCACTGTGAAATGGCTATTTTTGGTCATGATAAAGTAATGCTAAGTCTTATGTAAAAGTTCTATGATAAACCTGCCAACTCTTAGGTTCCACACAGTTCTAAGCAGAAGTCAGCTGAATTCTACCAGCACAAGCCAAGCCAGCAGGGCCACATTCAGGATGCTCTGCTTCCTCATGGAATTCATGCTTGGTCAGAGCATAACTTCTCAGCCCTAAAATCTACCTTTCATCTTAGTTCTGTTCAGTGCTCAAATTTTAAGGTAACAGAATGGTAGATATATAAGTTTGGATGTGGCAGGAGGAGAAAAATATTTGTGATTGCCATTAACTTTAAAAAATACATACCTGTAATCCACTAAAAGATGGAACAAAACAAACTCCTTCAGAATCCTCCAAACTTTTGGCCATTTTTTCAGTCTCAGCAGCATCTGTGAAAAGGTCTGCAAAAACAAACAAACAACAAAAAACCCTAAAACAAAATGAAGAGGTTAGAGAGGCACAAACAGAATTATGTTACATGATAGTATTTACCTGCATCAACATTTATTATGAATATAATGTAAAAGATTGCTCACTTAAAAGGGTCAGCACAAAGACCATTCTGTTCTGGTACTATCTGAATTCTCACACTGCATAGGTTTCCAGGCCCATAGAAGGGAGACAGGAGGTAGAAGGCCCTCTTAGATAGGCTCTGTATGCAGCAGGACTTACGTTTTTTTTCTTTTTTTTTTTTTTTTTTGAGACGGAGTTTCACTCTTGTTGCCCAGGCTGGAGTGCAGTGGCGCAATCTCGGCTCACCGCAACCTCCACCTCCCAGGTTCAAACGATTCTCCTGCCTCAGCCTCCCAAGTAGCTAGGATTACAAGCATGTGCCACCACGCCCAGCTAATTTTGTATTTTTAGTAGAGATGGGGTTTCTCCATGTTGGTCAGGCTGGTCTTGAACTCCTGACCTCAGGTGATTCGCCCGCCTCAGCCTCCCAAAGTGCTGGGAATACAGGCGTGAGCCGCCACACCTGGCTGCTTTTTCCTTTAAAGATATTTGGGCTGTTTAAAAAATCAATTCTATGTAGGATTTTTGGCATTAAAAAATTATCCTCTGAAAGATAAGAGCCATCCTAGGTTTCTGATGAAAGTATCATCTACCTGTAATATAATACCCAAGAAAATTAACTGAAATACTCCATCTAATAAGTTAAATAAGGGGCCAGTAACAGATATATTAAAAGTCAATTTTTAAAAAACAAGCAAACAAAAAAACCAAGACAATTAATTTAGTAAACTTTAACTGAAGTATATGATATACAGACCAGAAAAATGCACAAATCCTAAGTGTATATAGCTAGATGAGTTTTCACAGTGTGAATACATCCAAGTAACTGACACCCAGGTCAAGATACAAATTTCTTTTGTTAAACATCGTACTCGTGAGATTCATTCACACTGTTACATGTAGTTGTACTCCATTCATTCTCACCTCTATATAGTATTCTATTATGTGACTATAGACAATTTATCAATTTATTCTATTAGTGATATACATCTGGGTAGTTCCTAGTGTTTGGCTAATAGAAACAGATCCCAATGAACATTCATGTACATTATTTTTGGTGGACATATGTATACATTTCTGTTTATTAACACAAAGGAATGGAATGGCCAGTTCTAAGGTCTTCACATTTAGAACCAGCTTTAACAGATAACTGCCAAATAGTTTTTCAAAGTGGCTCTACCAATTTAAGGCTCCTGCCAGCGGCAGGCACGAGAGTTCGTCACCTATCTTCCTGCCAATAATTGATATTGTCTATGTTTTTCAATTTAGCTATTTTGGTAGTATTACATGGTGGTTTGATTTTGGATTTCCCTGCTGACTAATAAAGTTAAATACCTTTTCACTGGCCATTTGGATATCCTTGTTTGTAAAGTGACTTCTGAATGAGTATGTAGGACTGAACAGCAAAGATCAGAAGAAAAGACTCAGTCGTAATAAATATTGCTGGCTTTAGAGAGCCTTAATTAAGTTGACTTTATATCATTTTATGATTTGTTATATAACTAAATTAATATACTTAAATTCACTAAAGACATTTAAGGAGCACTTACATTAAAACTCAAGTTAATGAGGATCACTCAATAATAACTACAAATTTTACTCAAAATGACAGTTATCAAATCCGTAAGTTTCATCCATTTGTTCAAAATGTCCAGATAATACATCAAAATATCTCTACCACTTCAAAAACTAATGTTAAAAACACTGGTTTTAAGCCAAGTATGGTGGCGTGCCTGTAATCCCAGCTACTCAGAAGGCAAAGGCAGGAGGATCACTTGAACCCAGGAGTTTGAATCCAGCCTGGGCAACATAGCGAGACTCCTATCTCTTTAAAAAAATTGGTTTTAAAATCTATACTTTTTAATGAATCTTGTCCAAATGTTCAATTTTTACAAGATAAGATGTAGGAAAACATACTAGACAGTTGGTTTGAGGAAAATTGTTGGTAACAGATAAAGAAACAGAAAACAAAGAGAGATTATCTTATTCACATTCCTCACTGTTTGTTTCATTCCTTGCTTGAAGAATTTCTCTAAATAATCTTCCACTTAATCTGTTGTCAAATAAGCTAATTGATAAAAAGTCTTTCAGAGTAAGCACACTCCATTCTCTCTCCCCCACTGAATGTAACTAAGAATCTTGGAGGAATAAATGGAAAAGCCGTCTGGGGACTCCCTGTTTTTATATTTTCTCTGATATTCCTGGCCTAGACTCAGAGGTAGCCTGAAACCCAAGGACTCAGATCTGTACACTGAGTGCAGACATGAAAGAGCTTCAATAGAAGCTCCTTTCTGGTCTGAGCAGTAGGAGACAAGGGTCTCTACAGGACAGAGTGGAGAGATTCTCATTTTTTGTTTTCTTTAGATTTTTTTCATTCTCCCAGGCAATCCTATGGTAGCGGCAATGGCAGCCCAGTAGCACAGGCACATAAAACTGCAAGCTAAGAGTATGGGGGGAAATCCCTGTTGCTTGCTTCTTCCCGTGCGCCCACTCCCCTTGGTCTTGCCTGCCCCTGGCAATCCTGTGGCTGCAGTGACAGCAGACAGAGCAGCAGAGGCAACCAAAACTCAAAGATGAGACGTTAAGAAAATCCCTTTTGCTTTCCCTCTTTCTTTTTTCTTTTTTTTTTTTGAGACGGAGTTTTGCTCTTGTTGCCCAGGCTGGAGTGCAATGGCGTGATCTCGGCTCGCCACAACCTCCACCTCCTGGGTTCAAGTGATTCTCCTGCCTCAGCCTCCAGAGTAGCTGGGATTACAGGCGCACACCACCATGCCCGGCTAATTTTGTATTTTTAGTAAAGACAGGGTTTCTCCATGTTGGTCAGGCTGATCTCGAACTCCCAACCTCAGGTAATCCACGTGCCTCAGCCCCGCAAAGTGCTGGGATTACAGGCGTGAGCCACCGCGCCCAGCCTTCTTTCTCTTTCTTTGTTTCCTTTCTTTCCCTTCTTTCCTTCTCTCTCTCTCTGACCCCCCTTTTCTCCTTCTCTCATCCCTCTTGCCACTAAGCTAGGGAGGTAGAAGTAGTAGCAGCTGTTCAGTAGAGAAACTAAAGCACCAGCTTTCTAGCCAGAACACCAATATGGGGATCCCAAGAGTCAAAAGGTACCAGGGAGATTACTGAGAGAAAGGAGCTCAGGAAAAATTACCTTATAAAGGTTTTTATGAACTCCTAGTCTCACTCTTGAGCAGCACATGTGAAGATATGACCCTAAACAACAAGCTTAAGGCTTTGAGAACTAATCTCCAGGCAAACCACCCCCCAGACTGACCACTGGGTGGCACAAATGAGGGGCGGATCCAAATAGCACTGCAAAAGCACTGAAAACTGAACTGACACTGGAACCACAGCCCAAAATGTGCATTTCTTTAATTATCGTACGTGAACAGCATTTCATTATAGTCATTTGATCGTAAAATACCTGTACTTCGGTCCTTTGCCCATTTTTGTCATGTTATTAATTTTTCTGACATATGCTACAAATTGTTTTTACCAATTTGTCTTTTATTTTGCTTATGGCATATCTCTCCTTACCCACTAATATTTTACATAGTTAAACTTATTATTCTTTTTCTTTATGGTTCCTGTCTTTAAGACCTAGCCTTTTACCATTTCGATATCATAAAAATACTTTATATTTTCTTTTAATAGATGTCATTTTATTTTAGTGTTTCATTTGAACAATCCATTTGCTTCCTACTAATCTGCAATCCTGTGGCATTCTTGAATTCTTTAGGTCTGGCTTGTGAAATCCATTTAAAAGACAACTTACCTAACTGCTGAGCCCATTTTATGGCAGTACCAGTGTCTCCTGCATTGCTTTCAGCTAAGCATACGACTTCTTGCCCAATCTTCCACCCAATTAATGGATAAAAGCCTTGCAAAACAAACAACGAATGTTAAGTCAAATATATGCATAATTCATTATAGAGACTTCTACAATGTAATGATTTGGTTATCTCAAAAAACTGCAAAGTGCCTCTGAAGTCAGACTGTGGACGTTCAAACTCTAGCCCACTTACATTTACTAGCTGTAGTCTTGCAAGTTTCTAACCTTTTAGCCTCAGTTTCCTTAACTACAAAACGGCCTACCTCAGAGAGCTACGAAATGAACAAACTGAATTAACACATAAAAAGAACTTAGCACAGTGCCTGGCACATAATATGAACAATAAATACTAATTTGTATTAGCTATAGGCATGTCTACATCTCTAGAAATATGGCAATAAATATTTTACTTGAGAAATAAAAGGGTACTATGAGATTGGTTTGCTAGAGAACTATGCTATTGTATTTATCTGTGGTTTTCAAACAAGGCTCCTAAATAGAAACAATCTAATAGAATTATCAACATTTTCTAATTCCATCTTCCTAGTTAGGGGAAAAAGAAGAGCTTGAGGAGGGATAAAAGGTAGGAAAAAGGTTTTTTAAGCCACCTCTTAGTAACCATGTTATGGAAACAGAGCCCAAACTAGTATAGTTCTATAATCTAGATTTCTTGGTCTGTAAATCCCAGGATTTGTTCTATTAAAAAGAGCAAATTCTTAGCAATTGTCATTATCCATTGCATTGGTCACTAGCTGAGGACTACCACTCAAAGAAATTCACAAAATAATTTTCTAACAAATAGAAAAAAAAAATTTAGAACCCTAGTAAGAAGATTTTTTTTTTTGGAGACAGAGTCTCACTGCATCACCCAGGCTGGAGTGCAGTGGCGCGATCTTGGCTCACTGCAACCTCTGCCTCCCCGGTTCAAGTGATTCTCCTGCTTCAGCCTCCCAAGTAGCTGGGATTACAGGTGCCGGACACCATGCCCCCAGCTAATTTTTTTGTATTTTTAGTAGAGACGGGGTTTCACCATGTTGGCCAGGCTGGTCTCGAACTCCTGACCTAGGGTGATCTGCCCACCTCAGCCTCCCAAAGTGCTGGGATTACAGGCATGAGCCACCATGCCCGGCCCCTAGTAAGGAGTTTTGAACAAATACAACATGTGTTATAGAAAAATACCCAGAAAGCTGACCATATATCCTGAATTTTTCAACAATATCATTCTTGTTTTTTATGCTTTTCACTTAAAGGGAAAAGAAAGGGAAATGATAATTAACTGTCTTTAAGAATAATAAAATATGTTAGAGAATATCACAAAATGGGAAAATAGTATAAGTATCACAGAAGTTAAATATGAACAGAAGTGATATTTTATTAATAAATAGGATAAATCCTAACTACTTACCTCCAGTAGTCTGTTGAAGGCTATTTCCAGTGTTAATATCCAAAAATGTCCCAGTTCCCATGGTTAATTTCACATCACCTGTCTGGAAGCAGCACTCTCCAAACATGGCTGATTGCTGGTCAGCAACCTACCAAAAATGTTCAAATGTAAACCCATTGCCCTTAACAGTGGCCAATTTTATTATAGAGCATTGTCTCACTTATTGTACTCTCATGATTAAACATCTTCGTTTCTTTTTCCTTTTCCTTAAAATTAAAAAAAAAAATCCCAAAGAGAATAGGGAGCAACAACCATAGGATAGGAGTCTCCCTAGGACTAATACTCTGCAGATAACTGACATGCCTCAGGAATTGTTTTTATTTTGGTTTGTTGTTGTTTTGTTTTGTTTTTTAGAGACAGGGTCTTGCTCTGTCACCCAGGCTAGAGTGCAGTAAGATCACAGCTCACTGCAGCCTCAAACTTCTGGACTCAAGTGATCCTCCCACCTCAGCCTCCCAAGTAGCTAGGACTACAAGGCAGCTAGGACTACAGGCGCACACCACCACATCCAGCTAATTCTTTTTCATTGAGACGGAGTCTTACTCTGTCGCCAGGCTGGAGTGCAGTGGCGTGATCTGGGCTCACTGCAACCTCCACCTCCTGGGTTCATGCCATTCTCCTGCCTCAGCCTCCCAAGTAACTGGGACTACAGATGCGCGCCACCACGCCAAGCTAATTTTTGTATTTTTAGTAGACATGGAGTTTCACCATGTTAGCCAGGTGGTCTCGATCTCTTGATCCACCTGCCCCGGCCTCCCAAAGTGCTGGGATTGCAGGTGTGAGCCACTGCACCTGGCCATTTCTTTAAAAATTTTTTTGTAGAGATGGGGTTTCACTCTATTACCCAGGCTAGTCTCAAACTCCTGGCCTAAAGCGATCCTCTCACATTGGTCTCCCAGAATGTTGGGATTACAAGCATGAACCACCATGCCCGGCCTGCCTTAGGAATTTTTAATGGGTAACCTACTTCACGACTTTTAATTATCTATGAATAATCTTAGAAATGAAGGTAAGAGGCCAGGCGCGGTGACTCACGCCTGTAATCCCAACACTTTGGGAGGCCGAGGTGGGCAAATCACGAGGTCAGGAGATCAAGACCATCCTGGCTAACACGGTGAAACCCCATCTCTACTAAAAAAAATACAAAAAATTAGCCAGGCGTGGTGGCAGGTGCCTGTAGTCCCAGCTACTCGGGAGGCTGAGGCAGGAGAATGGCATGAGCCTGGAAGGCGGAGCTTGCAGTGAGCCGAGATCGCACCACTGCACTCTAGCCTGGGCGACAGAGTGAGACTCTGTCTCAAAAAAAAAAAAAAAAAAAAAAAAAAGAAAATAAGAATAAAAATGATAACCAAAAAAAAACTAAGATTTTTTTCATTTTCAACTAACATTTGTTTCATTCATTAGTCAAAATAACCAACCCTCACAAATTTATTTATTTTATTAAACAATATAAAACATAGGTAAATGTTTTGATATAAATAGATGTAAGTAAAAACCATCTATTTCCCAACCATACATTTTTGTTAAAATAAAAATTGTAACATTTTGTTAATATAGTCAAATGTAGATATACAAACAGCAACATTTTAAGGATCAAAACTCATCTAAAGGCTGGGCCTGCTGGCTCATGCCTATAATTCCAGCACTTTGGGAGACCTGAGGTCAGAAGTTCAAGACCAGCCTGGCCAACATCGTGAAACCCCATCTCTAGGAAAAATACAAAAATTAGTCAAGCATGGTGGTGCACACCTATAGTCCTAGCTACTCAGGAGGCTGAGGCAGAAGAGTCACTTGAACCCGAGAGGCGGAGGTCACAGTGAGCCATCGGTGAGATCATGCCATTGCACTCCAGTCTGGGAGACAAGAGTGAAACTCCATCTCAAAAACAACAACAACAACAACAACTCATTTAAAGAACCCTCTGTCACTAATTGGTAACTCTTCCAGCCATACCTTAATCTAACCCTGCACCTATGCCTAGATTGAATAAGACCGATCCTCTCTAAATGATAATGATTTTGTAACTTGGAAATTAAATTCCCTTTCCCTCAGCTGCTCCCCCAGCTACTGTGGAGACTGCACATCTTGCAACAGGTGGTCTCTACCTCCTGCTTAAGCTGCCACAGGAAATCAAAGGCAATGTGAAAGGACTCTTAAAAATCAAAAACAGGCTTGGCACAGTGACTCATGCCTGTAGTCCCAGCACTTTGGGAGGCAAAGGTGGCAGAAGGCCCCAGTCTAGGAGTTCGAGATCAGCCAGGGGAACACAGCAAAATCCTATGTCTACCAAAAATACAAAAAATTAGCCAGGTGTCGTGGCACACACCTGTGGTCTTGGCTACTTGGGAGGCTGGGGTGGAAGAATCACCTGAGCCCAGGAAGCCGAGGCTGCAGTGAGGCATGATTATACCACTGCACTCCAGCCTGAGTGACAGAGTGAGACCCTGTCTCAAAAAAAAAAAAAAAAATCAAAAATGGCAAATATTTCATTATTCTACAAACTTATTTACTGGTAGATGATGGCTAAGGACTTTATTAAATGTACATACAACTTTCTCTGCTAGTTTAAGTTGCCCTAACACTGTTTGTGGTTACACATTATCAAACAGAACATAAATATTCGCCCCATCACTGTGTTTTGTCTCAGAGTACCAAATGTAAACTAAATACCACTCAGAATTAAAAAAAATTTTTTTTAATTTAAGTTTTCTGATAAACAATATACAAGCAAGTCAGAAAAGGTTATAAAGTACTTCCATGATAGAATACTGGCTCAATGGTCCCCTTCCCAAAAATATAGCAGATATTCTGGTCATATCCAGGGACCTTTAACTTAAAAAGAAAAAAAAATACTTTAATCTTACTCTGCCAAAGACCTTCTGTTTCTCTTAAAGCTAGTCTCAATTATTAATACATATTACTTTAGTTTATACTATACAAAGGGAATCCCTCAAGTTTCCTACTTACCAAGGCAACTATTGGTATAGGCACACCAAATATCTCTTCATCCACTGATCCAAAATTGTGGCTTCAAATAAAATTCATTAAAAAGTTAGTTACAGCTCTAGAAATATTAGTTTTAAAACTCAGCAAATTGTTTTTTTGCATAAGCCAAAAAGTTACATAATGAACATACAAGTCCTTCAAACATGTAATAAAATGCTTTTCCCCACGAAACAAAATGAATTCAAGAACCATTGTGCTGGTTACTATGTCTGATGTTTATTATTACCTTGTGTCCCTCACAGGAGGTAGGAGAGAAAGTGGTATCGAAATTAGAGAGGTAATCATCCCACTCCAACACATCTGAGCATAAAAACGTATCATCAGAATATACATATTTACATATATCAAACCTCTAAACATATATCAAAACATCATGTTGTACATGATATATTTGTCAATTAAAAATAAACTAATTTTAAAAATTTAAATCTATCTATATTACACAAAAATGTGTGATTCAAAAAGAAGAAAAAAAAATTTTTACCTTATATGGGTCAAAAAGTCCAGTTGTACTAGCATTTGAAAAATCTGTGGCATATACAGAACCTAAATTTAAATAGGAAATAATACATTTATTATCAGATAGTATAAATCAACACCTATCGATAGTATATAATATAGACCTTTGTCTACCCTCAAATTCATTCCAAAATGTGTATTTTCTTTTTTTTTTTTTTTTTTTGAGACGGAGTTTCACTCGTTGCCCAGGCTAGAGTGCAATGGCACGATCTTGGCTCACCGCAACCTCTGCCTCCCGGGTTCAAGTGATTCTCCTGCCTCAGCCTCCCGAGTAGCTGGGATTAGAGGCATGTGCCACCACACCCAGCTAATTTGATATTTTTTAGTAGAGACGGGGTTTCTCCATGTTGGTCAGGCTGGTCTCGAACTCCCAACCTCAAGTGATCCGCCCGCCTCAGCCTCCCAAAGTACTGGGATTACAGACGTAAACCACCGCACCTGGCCCAAAATGTGTATTTTCAATGTGAAGTCTCCAAAAGCAATTTCCCACTTAATATTTATGAACTTTTATAGTTGTGCAAAAGTACTTACATACATGTTGTCACTTTACGATCCCCCAGTTTAAAGATGACAAAGAGGCTCAAAGATGTTAATGTCACCCATAGTTATACCCACTAGCAAAATGGCAGATTTGTTACTGAACTTGTCTTATCATTCTTGAAATTAAGACTGTTCCCCAGTCTTATATTGAAGTTTCATCACAATTTATTTAAAAATTGTCCTCCTCTTATAATAAATCTAGAATAAGTCTAGCTTTACTAGAACATGTTGTTAATAGGGTACCAAAGAGCAGTATGTCTGGAGTACAGGAAGGGGGAAAAAAAAAAAAACTTCTGACCAGGTGCAGTGGCTTACGCCTGTAATCCCAGCACTTTGGGAGGCTGAGGCAGATGGATTGCTTGAGTCCAGGAGTTCAAGACCAGCGTGGGCAACATGGCAAAACCCTGTCTCTACTAAAAATACAAAAAATTAGCCAGACATGGTGGCACATACCAATAGTCCCAGCCACTCAGGGGGCTGAAGCGGGAGGATCGCTTGAGCCCAGGAAGCTGAGGCTGCAGTGAGCCATGATTACACCATTGCACTCCCGCCTGGTTGACAGAGCGAGACCCTAGCTCAAAAAAAAAAAAAAAAAGTAACTTCTACTTTTTTTAGGCAAATCATTTCTCTTGATCAAATTTCGGTTATTTAAAATAGATCTTTCAGGTCATCTTTACCTTTTGTGAGCTTATATAACAACCAGGTATCAATAGTCCCAAAGCAGCAATTTTCTTCTTCAACTGCCTTTTGCACCTTGAAAACACAACAGCACAAAATCGATTCAAAAAGGCTAAATTACTAAGTGCATGATTAAATGCAGATCAGTGATACAATATAAACCCATTTTTATAAAAATTAATATGTACACAAAAACATTTCTAGAATATATTCCAAATGGTTCTAAGTGATTATTATATAGGGCATGAGATCTAGCCAGGGGAGAGAGGGAAGATTTTCATTTTCTGTATAATATTTCTGAAAGGTTTTAGTTGTATACCAAGCATGCGTTAGTTACTTTTGTGTTTTTTGTTGTTTTTTTTTTAAAAAAAACAAAGTATATACATTTTTAGTTTAAACATACACTAGTCGGCTGGGTGCGTTGGCTCACGCCTGTAATCCCAGTACTTTGGGAGGCCGAAGCAGGTGGATCACCTAAGGTCAGGAGTTCAAGACCAGCCTAGCCAACATGGTGAAACCCCATCTCTACTAAAAATGCAAAAAATGGCCAGGCACGGTGGCTCACACCTGTAATCCCAGCACTTTGGGAGGCCGAGGCGGGCGGATCATGAGGTCAGGAGATTGAGACCATTCTGGCTAACATGGTGAAACCCTGTCTCTACTAAAATATACAAAAAAAAATTAGCTGGGCATGGTGGCGGGCACCTGTAGTCCCGCTACTTGGGAGGCTGAGGCAGGAGAATGGCGTGAAGCTGGGAGGTGGAGCTTGCAGTGAGCCGAGACTGCACTCCAGCCTGGGTGGCAGAGCGAGACTCCGTCTCAAAAACAAAACAAAACAAAAAAAAGCCCAAAGCTGGGATGGCATACTATGGCCCACAGGCCAAATCCAGCCTACTCTCTGTTTTTGTACAGCAAATTAAAAATGGTTTTCATAATTTTTAATGGTTAAAAAGACAAAAGGAGAATATTTTGTGACACATGAAAATTATATGAAACTCAAATTTCAGTGTCCATAAGTAAAGTCTTATTGGAACACAGCTATGCTCATTTGTTGCCTACGGCTGCTTTCATGGCAGAGTGGTTGTGACAAAAAGCTTATACCCCCAAAGCCTAAAATATTATTAACAGGCCGATTCTTGGCATAAAGCATGCCAAGAGAAACAGAAGTTGTCAACACCTCTGTAAACTATAATAGCTAGCAGAGAAACTGAAATGCCTGTTAGGGTGTTATTAACATACTGAAAAACAATTTCTTGAAACAAAGTTTATCACCTCTATAACTCTTATTTGTCCTTCAAGACCAGCATTTCCTGGCTTTGTCCAAGCCTGCCCCACTCCCACACTCCTTCTAACTCAGTCTGTAGCATTCTATAGATAGCTTCCATTTAGCCATTATCTCACACCATTACTGCCTCTCTACTAGACCCTTAGCTCTTTAAGGGCAGGGACAAGATTGCATTTATATTCATATCCCCAACACCTAGGGAGGTTCCCAGCAAATAGCAGATGTTCCAAAAAATACTTAAGTAAGTAAATAACTGAAATAAAAAGAAAAGCAAATGGAAACATTTAAAGATAAATTATACTTTAATAGTAGAAAGGATCAGTAAAATGAAAACAAATGACATGAGTTCCAAAAACGAGGTCATTTGTAGGTTATTTATAATACAAGTACTTTAAGATTCCATTCAAGAGTTATGCCACTTAAATATGGAGCGCCTTCAAGTATTCTTATATTTCAAACTCTTGTTAAATTTAGAAATTTTTATTCTAAAATTTGTTCCAGATACAACTTTTTTTAATAGCCAAAAGTTAACCTGTATTTCAGTGAGTAGCACAATGCCTGACAGGTGGTAAATTCATCCATCTATTAAAAAAATATTTATGAGTCAGGGCCTCTGATAGGTGCTAGGCCCTTAGGAGGCTAGGGTGACACAGAGTAGACATCAGGGCTTCCTAAGGTAGGAGGACCTAGGTCAACCCCCCTCACGTTGGCTAAGGACTGCAAATGGCTCTACCCTAAGAGTAGGAGTAAACTAGGACCGGCTCTCATAGGAACTACAAGTCAGATTTGAATCATCTCAATTATTAAGTTGGATTGAGATAATCCTGTTAACTGGAAGAATGGAAGAAACAAACATAAATCTTATCTAGAGCAAGACAGCATTATGTTAAGGCTCTCAAATTCTACACAGAATTTTACAAATATAATATCAAGGTCACATATATACACATATATACAAATAAGTAACCAGGCATATGAAGAAACAATAACATGGAAGAAAAACAAAAACAGGAAAAAAAGACAGTCCACAGTCCATGGGAGCTACAGATGATGGAATTCACAGTCGTGGACTTTAAAATAAACATGCTAATTATATGGGAAAAAATAAAAATTATAGAACTAAAATATTAAGAACTTGATGGGTTTTAATAGCACATTAGAAACAATTGAAGAGTGAATAATAGATTGGAAGACAGGTTGGAATAGACTGGGTAGAATGAAGCACAGAGAGACAAAAGGATGGAAAATATGTAAGATAGGGTTAGATATACAGGGGATTCAGTGAGAAGGTCTAAACTTAAAAATGTACAAGAGGGGACTCCAATTTCCCGTCTGATAGGTAAAGAGCTTGGAAGTCATTACTTACATCCTCACAAAAAAAAAGTTGAGCAAACTGAAAATCAACAACTCTCCTTAGATCCATAGAGAATTGA